>NC_000002.12:97792648-98095678 GCF_000001405.40 Homo sapiens
GCATGGTGCTGGCTGCCGTGCTGGCTCTGCTTTGCCCCTTTGGACTTTCTGCCCGCTGTATGACCTTGAGTCACTGTGTTCGAATCTAAGACAAGGGGGCTTGTTTTGTTAGCAGACTGTGAAGAAGCTGCTTGAGCAGAAGTCCTACTAGAGGTACTTGAACTGTTTTTGGCTCTGACGTTTTCCACGTCAGCTGAGTTTCTATTGCTGTGACTGCTGTGTGGGTGGACCGATGGGCCACACTGCTTATGACTCCCGGCACTGGGTCGGGATGATGAACCGCCTGCTCCACAGAACCCCCTACTGTGACCGGGGTCACAGCTGAGTGTGTTCAAGCTGAAAAAGGGACCAACTGCAGATCAGTAAATAGCAACCTACAAAATCTAATATTAAAAAAAAACTTCAACTTCATCAGTACAGCCACCATAAATATAAACTACACTAGGGAAAAAATAGCAAGAAATAGGGAAATTTCTACAACTCTCTAACATCTGTTCTATCTGAACATTTATAATTTACCATCAGTGATCTAACTAAAAGTATTTTAACCCTTACCAATATAATAAAAACACAGTATCCAGCATGAGCTCTAAGTCACTCAGAGTTCCATACAGGGTGTTATTAAGTAATCAGAATTAAGATTTTTTTTCTCCTGAGCAAAGATGAAAAGAAACTTATTTTTTATTGTAATTTTATCAGCCAAATCTATGTACACTAGGGAATTTATTGCCAGCATGTGAACATACTTTCCTTCAGATGAAATACCAACGATTCTCCTGAGATCAAATGGCCTTCCCACATCGAAGGGCGGGTTCGAGGCCTCAAAGGATAGCCGCCTTCGAAATGGCTCCCATATTCCTTGAGCTTCCAAATAGGCTGTTCCAATGACCAAAAGAAACAGTGCACTGCAGGGGTAAAAAAAATTGGAAAATCAGGATTCATTTGTTAGTAGACAAGCAACAAAATTCGATGTTAAAGGCAGAGTTTCTTGGTAAAGTACAATATGATGTAATAGAAAACCAAGTTGTCTGTGACAACTTTTAACAGACAAAACCCACAGTTTTGGCTGGGCACGGTAGCTCATGCCTATAATCCCAGCACTTTGGGAGGCCGAGGCGGGTGGATCACGAGGTCAGGAGATCGACACCATCCTGGCTAACATGGTGAAACCCCGTCTCTACTAAAAATACAAAAAATTAGCCGGCCGTGGTGGCGGGCGCCTGTAGTCCCAGCTAGTCGGGAGGCTGAGGCAGGAGAATGGCATGAACCCGGGAGGCGGAGCTTGCAGTGAGCCGAGATCGTGCCACTGCACTCCAGCCTGGGCAACAGAGCGAGACTCTGTCTCAAAAAAAAAAAAAAAAAAAAAACAAAAAACCCACAGTTTTATGGATAAAAGTTTGCACATCAGTTTTTCTCTTTCTTTCTTTTTTTTCCTGAGACAAAGTTTCGCTCTTATTGCCCAGGCTGGAGTGCAATGGGGCGATCTCAGCTCACTGCAACCTCAGCCTCCCCAGTAGCTGGGATTATAGGGATGCATCACCACATCCGGCTAATTTTTTGTATTTTTAGTAGAGACGGGGTTTCACCATGTTGGCAAGGCTGGTCTTGAATTCCTGACCTCAGGTGATCTGCCCGCCTCGGCCTCCCAAAGTGCTGGGAATACAGGTGTGAGCCACCGTGCCCGGCCTGCTCATGAATTTTTATAGAATGCCATCTCACATGGAGGTTTTATATGGAGGCAATAATTATGTGTATTAGAAGAAATGCCTGGAATTTGATTTTTCTTTTACTAAGAAGAATTTTAGTTTCAACTCTCCAACCCGTTTCCTCTAAAGGATGTGTGATATAAATATGTAAATTAGTTTAGAGGTGAATTTATCTGACTCTTGAAACACAAAGTAATATATTGAGAACAGATGAAGACACTGAGAATTTAAAAAATATTTCTAATCAGTTTCAAGTGGCCTAGGTACTATTGTGTTAAGTATATTATATATATGCCCAAGTCAAGTAACTTTATCTGAGCATTTTAAAAAGATGTTAAAATGTACTTAATTTGTATAACAAATTTCAGAGGTAAAGAACACTGTTTATTATATATGCCACCCAAGAAGGGCTCTGTTTTAACTGTTCCCACCAGTCTGTGAGATTGATAAAGGCAGAGTTCTGTCTTGTTTGCTGGCATATCCTAGCACTCAGAACAGTGGCTGGCACACAGTGGGCACTCGATCAACAGTGTTAAATGTTGAATGAATATGAACCTTGAAACAAGACACAATACCTCATTATTCCTGAGATGATGATATACAGAGCCAGTTCCCAGTTAGGTCTGGGTAGGGCTTCTGCACAGGTTGCTAACATATGGTAAGGAAGGGATGCATTCAATATAAATACAAACTCAGAGCCACTGGTTGTTATAAACTTCAGTTCCCGAATAACTCTAGAAGCTGTAAAATCAGGAGTAAACCTAAAACAGAATGATGGTAGTAAGGCTAAGTTTTAAAAATATCTCACAAGCAGTCTGCATATAATACTGGTCCTATAAGCCTTTGAAATATAACACAGAATTTGCGTTTGATACTTTTACTCAACTTCCGTATTTTAAGATGAAAAAAGTATTGTCCCATGGTCAGTAATAGGAACAACTGTATTCTGTGAATAATTAGAGAAATTACACTAAAAAATAACAATAATCAAATTCTCATAATTATTAATTCAGAAAATGGTCCTGAGCTTCATGTCCTTCTCTCCTTCTTTCTTCTTTATCTAAATCCATGCTCTTTTCCCAGGCTACAATCCCAATAATGTCTTTTTTAAAAAAACAAACCAACTGGCTGGGGCCTAGTGATTTTTCCATCATCTCCTGCAGTATGGATTACTGTTGCAATTATTCTATTTTTATTTTTTGCTAATTGTATGTACCTTGAGGAAAGGTGTCTTATTCCTCATTGCATCTTTAGGTGTCAAACATTATGCCTTATATGCAATAATGTAGCTACTTATTAAGTAAATATTCATTAAAGATCACTAAATTAAATATTCAATTAAGGGACAGAAGTTGCATTTTATTGCATAAACTTTATAACAGAACAAGTTATCAATTAATTGTTAAAATATGCTGCAGCTATTACTGAGATAGGTATTAAAACTGTCTTCTGACCAAAATATTACATATCCGTATACTGCAAAACGTGAAAAAACTGTACATGTATGAAACAAATCTCTGTTGCTGAGGGACTGTGAATTTACATCAACATCTTTTGCTTTAACGTAACCCTGAAAATAATTTTGAAATTGATTTCTAAGATTATCTGATCCACTTCGGAGATAAAGTTTTATAACTTTTGAAAACTGAGATATGAAGAAATGCCTTAACCAAAGATTAAGTGAAAAAAAATTTACAACTTTGAAAACTAAGATATGAAGAAATACCTTAGCCAAAGATTAAGTGAAAAAAAAACAAATGAATGCATTTGTGGATAAAGACCTTTGGTAAATATGAAAACATATCTTTGCACAGAGTTTGAGGAAAGTTAGTGATTCATTACACCTTAAAATAAAATACTTACAATATGATTATATCTCTAGAAGCATTGGCACTTAGAGTAAACTCTTGACAATTAACAACTTTAAAGCCATATCCTTCACATGAGTATCCACTGATTTCAATGGTTTCTATGTGAATTTGAAGTTGTCCTGTATTCTCTACCTTAAATGTTCTTTTCAATGTGAAATTTGGTTCTCTTAGTTTTAAACCTAAAGGATAAAAAATCAGGAATAAGACTAAATCTTGCCATCATGTGCTCCCAGTCCAAATGATAAATACATTATTCATGAATTACTATATGTCACAGGTTATAAACCATCCCTGCATGTCAGAGAGATCAGCTGTTCCTCAGATTTCATCATGAGGTAATCTACTTTGATAAATCATTTTAGATGGCAAAAGTTGACTATACTTCACATTTCATACTGAGAGTAAATCAGCTAAGGTATGCAATGAGTGCAAACACTTTAAATCTTTTAAGATCCAAATCAAACAACTCTAAACACAACATGGAATTTCCTTAAGCTCTTAAGCATTCATAACTAATATACACAGGTGCACATACAGAAATAATGTTGTTTTTGAAATTATTTACTGTTGAAAGCAAATGCTGAAATTAGTGTCCTTGAAACTGTTAGGAAGACTTACTATCTGTACAATCTTTTAACAATGCTTCCGTGATTTTAAAGCGTAAGGAGCTTCCTGGACCTGGAAGCTTGCCTGCCACCCTCAAGTTCTCAGTTGTTCCTTGTCCTTGGACCATCACAGCATCCATCACAGTCAGGTTATTTCTATGCAAGAATGAGAATTACAGATTTTTCTCTCATTAAATCTGCACAATCTTTTGATTTGCAATTTCTACTGTTATTTTACAGAGCACCACATAGAAATTAAATTTAATGGTGAGAATTTATACTTTAAGAATTCAAAAATACACAGAGAAGAGCAAGTTTTTATTTTTAAGAGACACACATTAAGACACCATTCATGTTTTTGAACTATGCATTTGATAACAAAGGTATGTTTCATCAGGCATGGAGTGTGTGCATGTTTTGGACAAAGTGAATTCAAACTATTTCATAAGTTAGACATGCAAATTCATCTTAAAACAAGTGAGGACTTCTAAGTAAGTAGTAAAAATGAACCCACACCTATATCACAGAACCTACCTGACTATGATAAGTGAAGAAACAGTTCTGTTGTGAACTGGAGTAAACTTTACTTTGACAGATTTCTTTTCTCCAGGTTTTAAAATTAGGTTTAAAATTAAATGTCGAGAGAGGCCCTCCATAAATCCTGTTGAACTCTGCAGTGGATGAGCCTTGAATCATTGGGTAAACAGAGAGGAGTCATGAATATATTCTCTGGAAGAATGTTTCTTCGCTTACACCCCATCTAGAGCCCAGTATAGTTTCTCAAACTGATTAAATGCATAAACAATTTTATCTGTCATGTTTAGATATGGGTTAGCTGGAAAGCAGCACAGAGTAACCAACGATGAGATTCATATTCTACATTAAGTCCAAAAAGGGGCTTTCTTCCCCAGGTCACCAAATAAAGTCCTCAATGTTTGCACAAGGCATTTGTTTTTGGATACATATCTTTTTTGTTTTTAACCTAAAAATTTGAAATATTCCACACACAGAAAAGGACACAAACCTAAGATGATCAGCTAGACACATTAGCACAAAGCAAACACTTGTGGAACCAATGCCAGCACCCCAGGCCTCCTGATGCTTCCCGCCACTGCTCCCCTCTGAAGGGGACCAGGGCCAACACCTCAGGCCTCCTGCCACTGCCACGCCACTCCTCCCCTCTGAAGGGGACCAGCTGAAGGGTCTTCAGGCTGCACCGAATGTTTAAATGTAAAAAGATTTCCAATTCCTATACATTTCTCCTTGAATCTTATTTTGAAGGTTACACACGCTTACTGTTTCATAAACACCCAATGATTTAAAGTTTAAAGCATAGCTTAGTTTAATATTCAAAATATGACTTTTTGACAGCCAGTTATAGTTAAGGTTGAAAAACATTTGCTTTTTTATTACAAAAACAGTCACAGGTCACATATAAGGATATACCGTTCTGGTTTTTAAGCAACATTAAGTGTAAACTTTTTTGAGGGAAGGGTTGTCAACGCTTGGCTATAAACATCCACCAGTTCTTCATGGCTTCTGCTATCATGGAAGGAGGGTGCATTTTGTATTGTTTTCTACTCCCCCTGGCATAGATCGGTGTGTGTTTCACACATAGAGATCTAGCTACTTGCTTCAGCATGATTCCACAAACATTAACTCAGAGTCAACAGACTTTATGAAGCACATTACTTTTAATTCTTGCTTCTGAGGTAAATACGGTTGTCTCTGTACATGCCAGAGATTGGTTCCAGGATTCCTGGCATAACCAAATCTGCGATTTTTCAAGTAGCAGTTGGCCACTGTGGAATGTGCCTACAAAAAGTAGGGCTCTCCATATATGCAGTTTTGCATCCTGAAAACTGTATTTTCCATCTGCACTTGATTGAAAAAAATGTATGCGTGCGTCAGCACAGTCGAAGCCTGTGTTGTTCAAGTGTTAACTGCTATTTTTTTCCTTTCTGTCAAAGTCCACTAAGACAGAAGAATATTCCAACTGCTTCAAGATGGTTGGTGAGTAATTTCCCTTTTAAATCAACTACTCTGATTAACTGATGGACACAATGATGTACTATACATATATTCCCAGCAAGCACTAGCTAATTTAAACTCTCATGGTTTGGGGAAAACTTTAAGATGTTGTGATGCCTCCCGTATACCATTCAGGACCTTAATAATTTTATAGTGGTGGTTCTCCAAGAGTGACCCTTGGACCCCTGGGGATCTCAGGGATCCTGTCAGAGTATCCACCACGATGTCAAAACTATTTTCATAATAATACCGATAGACGTTATTTGTCTTTTTCACTATGTTGGCATCTGCACTGATGGTCAGCAAAAGCCATGGAGGGTAAAACTGCTGACCCCTTAGCATGCATCAAAGCAGTGGTATCAAACTTTCCTAGCAGCCATTGTGTTTTTCAGTGTCATTCATTTGTATTTAAAAAAAAAAAAAGTCCTCGATTATGCCATAAAAACTTCAACCCTGGAGCATGTCTTTAATATTCTGTGGGATACAATGGGAAGTATGTAAAAAGTATTTCTACAGCTACCATGTTGTTTTGAAAAGCTGTTTGAGATGGAAGCTGAACTAGCTGCTTTTCTCATGGAACACCGTTTATGTCTGAAAGAATGACAGACAGTCCATGGTTATTCAGACTTGGGCATCTGGCAGGTATTTTCACAGAAATAAGTGAGCCTACTGAAGTATTTGTTTCTAATAAAATTCAAGCTTTTGAGCAAAATTTAGGATTTTGGATAATTTGTATTCACCATTGTGAGCATGACAGCTTCCCAATACTTCAAGAGTTTCCTGATGAGCCTGGTGGTTAGATTAGCGAGGATGATTCATTTTTGGATAGTGCATAGTGAATTGTGGCAACATTTGTAAGGTCTGCATGTCTCCGTGAACCAGTATTTTCCAAAAGACTGATGTACAGTGTTATAAATAAAAAGGCAACTAAAATACTCCTTCTTTTTGTAATTACATGTCTGTAGCAGGTTAGATTTTCATTACATACTTCGATCAAAACAATATATCAAGAGAGACTGAATGTAGAGGCAGATATGAGAATCTACCTGTCTATTAAGTCAGGGAGCCAGCCATTAAAGAGAGTTGTAAAAATTAAAAAAAATCCATTCTCCTTGCTAAATGATTTTTTAAAATATAGGTAGTTTTCATTTTTGATGTTACCTATGTTGAATGGAATAGGTTTATTATTATTTTAAACAAATTAAATCACTATTTTAAAGATCTTCCATGCCCGGCCTCAGTTTCAGTTTCTAATATGGCAAAACACTGATGGATGTAAACCAGAAACCTCTCTGGGGTCCTTAATAATTTTAAGACTGCAAGGGAGTCCTGAGACCAAGTATTTTGAGAACCACATTCTATAGCACTGTAGAGATGCCTGAGATAGAATTTACTCTAAGCTCACTCTAGGACCTCCTCCTGAATTTCTTATTTAGAATACATTTCTGACGTCTAGAGTACTCTTACTTATTTTCCTATCTCTCACAGTGCTTAGTTCAGTGTTCTACATCTTGTAAATATGGCTTGTAGTTAATAAAATAAGAAAGTTAAATATTAGCTCACTTAATACTTATGTGAAATTTCTCCCTATTATAAAAGCAGAGTGGGCCGGGCACTGTGGCTCACGCCTGTAATCCCAGTACTTTAGGAGGCCAAGGTGGGTGGATCACCTGAGGTCAGGAGTTTGAAACTAGCCTGGCCAACATGGTGAAACCCCGGCTCTACTAAAAATACAAAAAAAAAAAAATTAGCCAGGTGTGGTGGCACGTGCCTGTAATCCCGCTACTCGGGAGGCTGAGGCAGGAGAATTGCACAAACCCGGGCAGCAGAGGTTGCAATGAGCTGAGATTACACCATTGCACTCCAGCCTGGGTGACAGAGCCAGACTGTCTCAGAAGAAAAAAAAAAAGAAAAAGAAAAGCAGAATGAAAGGAAGTTCTGGTTACTGAGCCTTCTAGATAACTTCCAATAACATTTGTTACTTTGGCATCTTACAGATGGGAAAAGCAAAGCACGAAAAGATTCCCAGAGCCGCGCATGAGGCTGGAATACAAGACTGTCTAAACTTTAGTCTAGTGTCCCAGCCATTATTTGACAGAAAAAAATACTACTTTGAATATTACTTTCTTATGTAAGCTCGCCTTAAAGACAGAGTTATAAAAACTATTCTAATAAGGATTGGGCTAATATATGCCTTACAGATTAAAACATGGAGCTATGGGAAAGAATACAGTATTTCAAGAACTACAAGGGATCTGGTTTGAAAAGGCTCATAGCAATTCCTGATCAGCAGTGACCACATGATACAATGGTAAGGGCAAGGCTTCTGGAATCAGAGAACCAGATTTGAATTTGGCCTTGGGCAGAAACAAGGGCATGGTGGCCAAAAGGCTTGGACCAGTTTGCAGGGAGCCTTAGCTCCAAGTGTTAAGTTCCCAACACACACCCTTACATTAGGTCTTATTTAATAACGTGTGGTTAGTGGTTGCTCAGCCTGGCCTAAATAATAGAAAATAGTTTGGTTCCTAGAACAAACCAGTTTATGTATATGTTTATAAATAAAAGATTATCCATTGAGTGAAAATCATGCATATTACCATGCTAAATACAAACACAGCCAGTCATGGGTTTAGCATTCATGGATGGCTTACAATTTAATTACAAAGTATCCAGAATGAAAATGTAAATGACTGAGCTCAATATTTTGATGCTTAATAAAAATCAATGATGTATTAATATTTACCTCATCTATATATTCTCAGAATTTCTGTAATTATTATTACAAACCTTCATGGGCTTAATGTTTAATGCCCATAAATACGAACCTTTTACTCAATGTGCCTCACCTTGATCTAAATCCCACCTACTCTTCCTGATTTATTTTGCCTCTGAAATAATTACTGGACTGCTCTGACTTCTTCAGTAACTTACCCTTCAGCCAAATTTAAGAGTAGCCAATAATTTTCTTTCATATTTATATTGATCATATTATAAAATAATTTCTTTGGAATAGTATGAAGTTTGAATACTTACACTGTTTCTGAAGACTTGAAATTCTAGTGTTCTCAAATCTATCTTTGCCACCTTACTCAAGTTAAACCTAAAACAAAAAATGTACACATATTTATTCATAAGCAACATCACAGTTAAGGGAGTTATGGAGTGATTATCAGGTGTGTGCTTTATTTTCAAATTATTGTCTGTCAGGTTTTGAGATCAATATGACCAGATTTATAGCCTTAAGAAAATTAAAGGCCACAACTTGTAATTAATATTTTGTTCACTTTTCAAAACTAGAATATTTGAAAGGTTTCATCTACTTTCTCTTTACACATTTTTAGAAGGGAGTTCCATATTACTTTTTCTTGCCTTATATTGAAAGTTTTTCTGGATGCTTTGCACAGTATCAACCTAAACCTCCCTAAAACCTTCTCTCAACCTTATAGATCCAGAACTTCTCGTCAAATCTATTAATCTGTATGAGCTGCAAATAAGGCTTTTTAAGTGAATAAAATACTAATTCAATACTACATAGAAACACTGTGATGATCCCAAGCAATACTTACCTTGATACTAACTTATCTACAAACACTGAAGGGTTGGAATATAAAGCCAGAGGAATAAACTGAACATAGACAGGAACATCTGCAGGATTTTCTAAAGTAATCTCTTCTTCCTTAAACAAAATAATGAAACATTAAATGAAAGATTTCTATAGTTAAAGCTAAGAGTAAATACTTTATAATCCTAGTATGTATTTCCAAAAACCAATGTCACTTTGAATACTTACTGAGGAGCAGTTTGTATTAGTAAGTGGAAATTTCAAGTGCCGGGGTGAGCTAAGTATGGAAGGCCAGGAGAGCTCAGCAGTGATTTTTGATATTATATTTTTTTGAAGGTCTGTATTTACTTCAAATATAGCACTCAATCTAGAAAAACAATTTGTAAGTCACTGTATCAAAATGAAATATTTGAGTCTTCTGAACATAAGAAATTCAATTAGGCTTATGTACTTGAGAAATTTTTTGCTGGCCCTGAAAAAACACATTTATTCATTCTAATATTTTACTATGCTTGTAATGCTATATGATGTCTCTATATTGGTGCAAAGAGTTGCCAAAATATCTGTCACAGATCCTCTGTTTCTGTACTGAATATAGAAAGGATGATAAATCTTAGGAATAATACCAATGGCATTAATGTAATCCCGCGTAAGTTTCGAAAAACCTTTCCAAGTATAAATTCAGTAAGAAAAGCTGGCCTATAGTAGATAACCTATTTAGAAAAGGCAGGCATATAAAGATAATACATGATGTTACGCAGATCCTAAAGGATCTTATGTGCCTAGAGGAAAGATCTAGACATCTACAAGCAGGGTGCTAAAAACATTTTCAGTAGGACTAATGAGAAGGCAGTACATTGCTTGGCATATGGCTTTTTTCCCCCTTGATATAAAGACAAAACAGAGTCCTCAGATTCAATGAAGACATCAGTTGACAACAGAGGTAAAACCTACGAGGGTTTTGTGCAGACACATGTAAAGTTTTCAGCAATATTCAAGACCTCATCTGAATATCTCCCTACTTATAAGTGTGTATAAGCCAGTTGCTTAGAACTCAGAACACATTCCCAAAGACACAATATTATAAATGGAGCTAAGATTCCTGGGACTAAACGCTGAAGCATATTTTAACCCCTAACTCTATTGTTGTAGTGTTATGATACTCTAATACTGGTAAGAGTACAAGTTTATATGACTAGTAGCAGAAATCCTCTGTAACACACACATAACAAAGTAACACAAAGGCAGGATCAGGGAGAATATCACATCTACTGTGCACTCAAGATAGACAGGGAGCCAAGGTCTTAGCAATGGGGTGCTGGGGACACAGAGAGGAGGGCAGGCTTTTTGTGGGTAGGAGGTGAAGAGGCCCCTTAGCAGCTGAGCATAGGACAACACTGTAAGTTATTTGTTCATAACTGGACATTAACATTTGGGGCTTGCTTGTCCTTTATAATGTCCACTGTGGAAATACAGGGTACAAAGGAGAGTTTTAATTAGTGTTCTCTTAGCAAGTCCATTAGAGGAAGTCTCTTTTGTATTCATTTTAACCATCTTTTTAAAGTAAACATTCGACTTTCTTTTGCCTTAAGAAAACTTTTCATAGCAGAGAGTTCAGATAAACAAACCCTCCAATTATTAATGGTTTGAGAATTTACAGTACTCTTAAATGGGAATATCCTGATACTAACAAATATATTTCAAATTAGCAGCTTGAGAAGAGCAGTTTCCATCAGCTGCCATACTATCATTATTCTAGTCAAATTCTTTTCTGAAGTACATGAAAAGATCAGATTTCTATACTACCAAATCAATACATTTTTTGTTTTTGAATCTGGGTGCAGTATTGATTTGTCATTAGATGCACATTTCCTACCTGCCAAAGAAACACTGTGGGGCCTGTCTGAATGGAGCCCTGTGTGCTCCCGAATAGCTCAGCACTTAGAAAGGAAGGGGGTGGGCTGGGCACAGTGGGTCACGCCTGTAATCTCAGCACTTTGGGAGGCTGAGGTGGGTGGATCACGAGGTCAAGAGATGGAGACCATCCTGGCCAACATGGTGAAACCCTATCTCTACCAAAAATACAAAAATTAGCCAAGCATGGTGGCATGTACCTGTGGTCCCAGCTACTTGGGAGGCTGATGCAGGAGAATCACGCCACTGCACTCCAGCTTGGTGACAGAGTGAGACTCCGTCTCAAAAAAAAAAAAAAAAAAAAAAGGAAGGAGGTATTCTTTTCACAATAAGAAAACAGACACTCTGGTCTTGTACCAAGTGCCTAGGTGGGGGTAAACCTAGAAAATGTTTCCCTTGCCTTTAACAGACATCAGTGGTAGGTAAAAAACTTTCTTTCCTATGCAAATGGATGAGTCTAAGGTGAATACTGTCGTCATCCTACATAAGAACAACTTCAAATATTTTCTTGGAGTGTAAGAAATATCTAAAGCACCACAGAAAAGAGAAAAATGACAGTATGTATATTTCCAAGCAACATACAGTTAAAATGGCAATTTAAGATGCCTCACTAATAACTTTCTGAAAATTAGGCATTCTTTCTTAGCTATAAAGCAAAATAATCTAACATAAGAATATAATTTAGAAAGCATTATGTTTCAATAGTCATCTTGTAAAGATGGCTAAAATAAATAAACATAAACCACTCACCTATGACCTGAATTTTCCTTTATTCCTGTCCATCCCTTGAACAGGCTTTGATGCAAATCCCAGTCAGCATCCCACATATCTTCCTGCATGGCTACACCAGGCTGCACTTTGGGTTCAGCTAAAACAAGGAAACATACTTAACCTGCATCTATACTCACTTGTCAATTTTCCTTCAAATAATTTCTATAGTAACAAAAGACAGCAATGTACTTTAAAAGTGGCGGCCTCTTACTAAAAGAGTATTTTGGGGGAAGTGAAGACATGAGAGAGAACAGCAAGGTCACTTACATTTGGATAGAAAAGGCAAGCCAACATAGCAATGATCCCCACACTGTAGTCCAGGATCAAAATAAATGTTTGCAATCTATAAAGAGGCACAGGAGAACCATGAATCCCAAATCCACAGGAGGTCATAAAACAAAATGTTAACCAATGGGAATTCTCAAATATAATATCTTCAAACCTTTGATTTTTTTCCTGGCTCCAAGTCTTCCTTATTGCCCCGTAATCGTTTATAGTAAAATCGCACATCTTCTGACAAAGATCGTATTTGCTGTATTTTTACCTTCTGTGAGAAGGAATTCATAATATTTAAACTTTGATGAACTATTTTCCCCTGAAGGAAGAAAGCAAAGAACAAACTCATTTGTATATGGTTAAATTTTCTTAAGATCACAAGTTTCAGAGTAGACAAGCATACTTCTAGGAAACCAAAGCCCAAAAGACATCTTAGAATGTTCATCAATTGATAATCTTTAAATTGTAATCAACAGCCAAAAAACCTCACCAAAAAACTTTTTTTTCTTGCTGTGGCATGTTACAGAAAAATCAGGAGGACAAATCTTTGCAATCTTGTGACAACTGATTGACGTTAACATTCACACTTTCATGTTAAGATACTGAGGATGCCAACAAAGGTACAAACAGAGATAGCTTTAGATAAAGGGAATGGTTACTTTCAGTTTGGTAAGCAAGGTTTGTTTACACCCAGGCAAGAATGCCCTGAAATCACTGAATTCTAAAATCTAAAGCCAAAGGGGACAAAATCACAATTTTTTTTAAAAGAAAGTCTCTTCATTAGGAAAAATATATGTCATTTGTATCAAAGAGAAATTACACATCTTTTGAAATTATGGGTTGTCAAGTATCTTATTAAAACAGTACACAAGCTGGGCACAGTGGCTCATGCCTGTAATCCCAGCACTTTGGGAGGCTAAGGTGGGTGGATCACTTGAGGCCAGGAGTTCGAGACCAGCCAGGCCAACATGGTGAAACCCTGTTCCTGCTAAAAATACACACGAAAAATTAGCAGGCATGGTGGCACACACCTGTAGTCCCAGCTACTGGGGAGGCTGAGGCAGGAGAATCACTTGAACTCGGGAAGCGGAGGCTGCAGTGAGCCGAGATCGTACCACGGCACTCCAGCCTGGGTGACAGAGTGAGACTCCATCTCAAACAAACAAACAAACAAAAACCCCAGCACACAAATAAAACTGTTAAATAACCAGCAATTGCTCTTACCAGTCACAAGCTTCTGTCTGTGACAGGGTACCAAATTTTAAATTAAAAAATTAAATAATTTACGTAATCCTCCAGAAGAATATTACAATCTTTCTTTTGGCTGAATACAAAATTTTACTTTTTGTAGATTCCTACTCATTTGAAGAGGTCTCTGAAATGATTAAACCCACTTTTTAAATATTTGGAATAAAAAATACAGAAGTGAAGAGCGTGCACAGGAAAAAGGGCGCAATGACTGTGACACTGAGGCCAGCGCTCCTCATTTACAGCCCAGTGAGGCTAAAACACCCGACAGCCAGCAGAGGGCGGGCATGCAGCTGCAATGCCGACAGGAGCCCTCGGGCAGTCACCGCACTTGGCGTACTTGAAATAACTACTTCCCTCGTGCCTTGTCTCTTGGGGGTGTGGGGGATCAAAAGAGCTCACAGATATAAATGCTGCTCTCACAATTCTATTCAAATATTAAGCTATGAGTTACATGAAATGTTTATTCTGAGGTATTGTTTCCAGTAAGCTCTAGTATTCTCCATCTGATAAAGAGATTGACAGGATTTGGTAATATAGAGGTAATTTAGAATTCCAAGCAAGTATCTGGTCCTGTAAGCCTCCTAGAGATATCTGAAAGCTTAATCTGAAGCAGTTCAAAACCAACCCCTCTAAATCTCATGCTGAAATGTGATCCCCAGTGTTGGAGGTGGGGCCCTATGGAAGGTGTCTGGGCCACAGGGGTGGATCCCTCATGAATGGCTTGGTGCGTTCTGACCTCGTAGTAATGAGTTCTCATGCCATTAGTTCACACAACCACTGGTTGTTAAAAAAGAGCCTGGCACCTCCCTCTCTTCTCTCTTGCCATGTGATCTTTGCACATGCCAGCTCCTCTTTGCCTTCCAATATGAGTGGAAGCAGCCTAAGGCCCTCACCAATGCAGACACTGGGGCCATGCTTCCTGCACAGTCTCCAGAACTGTGAACCAAATACACCTCTTTTTTAAAAATAAATCACCCAGCCTCAGGGATTCCTTTATAGCAACACAAATGGATCCAGACCAACATCTTGTTTTTATACACATGCTTTCTCATTTATTCCACTCATGGGGCTTTTCACTGTGTCATCTGCTGTCTTCTGAACTGAACTTTTCCCTGCCAGAGTTTACGCAGAGATTAAGGACATCATTGATTGAGAAGGTAATGGAAGGAAGAAACATGGCTCTTTTGGATAAATAACGAAGAGTTTAGTATAGTCAGTACAAAGTGGAATGACAGGAAGATGAGGATTTAATTAAGACCCAAACTTAAATGTGATGAAACTAGTAATTCAAAGTTTGTATTTTTAAGGAGTTAAATATTGAATTCAGGTTTTACTGTAAGGGTTGAGTATCCCTTATTTAAAATGCTTGGGGCCAGAAGTGTTTTAGATTTTTTTTTTGGAATATTTACATATATATAATGAGATATCTTGGGGACAGAACCCAAGTCTAAACATGAAATTCATTTATGTTTCATATACATTTATATGCATAGCCTGAAGGTAATTTTATACAACATTTAAAATAATTTTGTGCATGAAGCAAAGTTTTGACTGGAACCTGTTACAAGAGGTCAGGTGTAGAATTTTCCACTTGTGGTCTCAAAATGTTTCAGATTTGGGAACATTTTGGATTTCAGATTTTTGGGTTAGGGATGCTCAACTTGCATACAGCATTAAGATTTTGCAATGTCTTGTTTCTCTTAACCCACTACTGTCTCCTACCACTAGGATGTGAGACACTTTTACATCTGCCCTGGTATTCCTGAATGGACTGCACCATCTTCTTGCAAAAGGCAGCATCTTCTCCTGGTTTTCTCATTTGTTTTGTCTTTGTTCTCCAGGCTCAAACTCTAAGCCATATTCCTGCCTCCTCTACCCACCCTCCTCCCCATACTTGTTTCAGTTTGTATGACCTCTTTAGGATATAAGCACAGTTCAAATGATTCACCTGCAATGTCTCTTGCCTATGTTCCCTCTCCATCATTTGTTCCTTCATCCATACATTATGTACTAAGTGCCTGCTATTGGGAAGAAACGATCTCTCATCCGTTTCCTAGAGGATCTCAGACTCTCACTGGGGAGGCCAACTTATAAGGAAATATTTATAGCACAATACGAGGCTTGCAGCAAGAGGGGTAATTTCAAAGTATTCTAGGATCACACATGAAACAACCAGTATTGTCTAGAGGAGTCAAGAAATCTTCAGAGAGGAGATGACAATGGAATTGAATCTTGAAAGACACGCAGGAGTTCTTTGAAGGAAGGACAGGAGGAAGGGCATTCGAGGCAAAGAAACAACAAAGGCTTGGAGGTATGAAGGGACTTTACTGCCTCAGCCACAGCCATGCGCTCAAACTCCCCTTGGCACTTTTCACATGGACTCTGGCCAGTCTGCGGGTTGGCCTCCAGGCACTCTATTGTTACTTTCATCTGTGTCCTCTATTTCTTTCTGCAGAGAGCCAGTCTTTAAAGCTCAGCTCTGATGATGTCAAGTCTTCACTCAAAAACTTCATATTCCCATGAACTTAAGTGCATTTAAGTTTTTTCCATGTTATCACCCCCACAGACCATTCCATTTTCTCTCTTAAAACTTTTCTCAATTCTTGCCAAACTGGACAACTCACTATTGCCTGAACCAACTTCAGACTTTACTGCCTCTGCATCCCTGTTGAGCTTGCGCCCTGGCCCTAGATTCACGTCTCTGCCACCCCTTCTCCATCTCTGTTGGAAGAAATTCTAAGCTGGCTCCCATAGCCCCTGCATCAGTGAGACGTGTATTTCCCTCACAGCACTTTATTTTCACTCCTCTTAGGGCAACTTCTACATTCCGCTTTATAGCTCTGAATTGTGGGTCCATTTCCCTTTCTAGATAGAAAACTTTTTGAGGAAAAGGACTGTATCTCTTTACATCTTCTAAAGAACCTGGTATAATGTCTTTAAAATAAATGACTAATAAAGAATAACTGACTTTACTCTAAGATTCTAGGAACACAGAGCTAAAGGCAAAGGCAAAAAACGAGCAATAGAAAAATGTGTGTATTAATGGTCTTACTGGAAAGGAAGGTGGAAGAACCACGTGCTTAGGGAAGCAGGTCAGTGAGCCTACTGCAATCACAGCCTTCACAGGGATTGTCAGGATCTGTGAAGTCAAGAAGATGATGATAGATAAGTAGTTAAGACTTAGCCTGATCTTGATAACTATTGCATTATATTTTGGGGTTAACCTAATTTTGGGACTAATATTGACAATAACCAGCTCCATACCAATATTAAAATCACCCATAGATACTGTTTAATCTGTCCAATGTACTCCATAAAATGTAATGAAATATAACACATTTCCACAGATTTCTCAGTGATTCATTGAAAACACGTAAAAAAGACTAAACAACGGGGAAGCAATGAAGACAGATTTTTTAAAAATACAAATATTTTTGTATTTCAAAATACAAATAATCTATAAAAATAGATTATTTTAAAAAAGAAAGTCAAACTGTACTCCTAAAACAATGTATGTAAAATCCAGCATATCTAGAGTTATATAGCTTTTTTTTTGATACAGAAATAGACATCAACCTAATTTTTAAAAATGCACTGAACATTCTAGAGTTAGAATCCCATCCCATACTGTTAGTAACTCTCAAAGCTACTTCTCTAGGGTATTTTTCTTAATTCTTATTTTCACCCATATTAACAAAAATTTATCTGAATTCTGAAATGTACTTATTTCTGTCATGAGTGATAACCATGAATTCCTCACCTGACATACTCTCAACAAATCATTTATTATTAAATGGCCAATTCTGTTTATTTTATAATTACATTTTTTTTCCACGTGGGAGTTGTGTCCACTGAAAACATCTATGAGGGCAAAGGTGGTAAGTTGTTGAATTTAACAGTGCTTGACTTTCCTAAGAGCTTTTAGATATACAATTAAAAACATTTAGGTCTGGCAGAAATACATCCATTCAAAATCTTACTGAATGCAAAATAAGCTCCACACAGAATATTTTAATTAAAAGCTTAGTAACCTTTAGTCCCTTGACTTTGAATGACTCATGAAAATATAAATGTGAGCACTCAGATTAGGACATGATCTCCTGATTTTATCTTCCTTTTCAGAAATGTTAGACCCTGACTGCTATTTATGATTGTAGGAACAATCAGAGGTATCTAACTCAGGACACTCAGCTGGGGTCTGTGCAATGATATAACCATCTGTTTAAGCAGGTTTCTAACAAAGCAATTCTAAACGTGCTAAAGGCATTCTTCTGAAGTTGCTTTTTAGGTTAGGAGGGTTGGGTTTTATCAAAAAACTATGAGCCTATGAACATCAATATTCTATAAACTATTCTCGAAAGCTCAGTTTTTAAGGTATGAAACTGGTAAACTGTAACTCTGAGTAAACTTAATTCTTTGGTTTCATAAAGACAAGAAAGGACTGACTTATTCAGAAAAACCCCACTGCCATGAATCCCCATAAAGTCCTTACCTCATAGTCTGTTGTGATCTGGATGGCTCCATCATGAATCCCCTCTAATTTTTTTGCAGTAAGTTTGACTCTGAAGACTGCAAAATAGCCTGAAGCTAATGTTACCTGTAGATAGTAGAAATGGTATCATTCATTAGCCTTGTTAGTTGAAGTTTCCTATTAAAATGGACATGAAGGGTGTAGCGATAAAATGACTAACAAATCCTAACATATACCAGTATGACACTGAATTACCATATCACTGTGTACAAATATCTCAAAATAGTGTCCATCCCTTGATATTTCTCTACTACACTTGTTCCATGGGCCACTGAAAAAGCTGGTTCCTGAAAGAGGGAGGGGTGTGGTCCTCTTGCTAATAAAGCTCCTCACTCTTTACCCATGGACCTGTATGGCCAAAGGGGCTGGAGCAGAGGGACACAGCCTTCCACCAACCTTTCAGGCACACTGGAGCCACAATTGTATACACAGCTGGCTCTGCTTCAAGCTGTGGATGTCACTCTGTAATGTTAATATTCATATCTTCAGGGCAGCTGAGGTCAGATATAACAAAACACCAGACCTATGGCATTCCACGGAAACGTGTTTGTCAACACTCTCTGTGTATAAGGACACTTGCTTTTCCTTTTGTAAAACTGCCCCAAGAAATTCTATTCTAACCTGCAGATGAGATTATCTGATGCTCCTTCTCACAGATTGTGATTCTAATTCTTTTCCCAGTAGGTATAAACTCCAAGTTCCCCTTTCAGTACTGGTGAGTGCTGAAACTAATAAATTTGTTTTCTCTTGTTTAGCGCTCTCTGACAACCAACTGTAACATGTTTATTAGACAGGTAAAAATATGTGGGCAGACTCACAGTGATCAAACAATGTTTGCCTCACTGATACTGAGGCAGTATCTGGACAGACGTATTATTGCATAATTGAAAATATTTTCTACCAATGTTCAGGGCCATCTCTTTTTCCCAGTAAACTCAATGAACACAAGGTTAGTTTAGTACCCATGGGAATCTCTCCTGTAATGACACTTGTGTTACAAAAAGATAATTAAAAATTTGTGTGTTATAGAACTTTTTATGACAAGGCAGAATTAAACCCCTTTGGGTTTCAGTGCCCTCATCATAAAAATAGGGGGTTGAATTACATTACCTATAAGGTCCTTTTAATAGCAAGTAACCAACACTATTATGAACTGCATAAAAATAATAGTGATACATGTAGCATAGCAATGATCTTCCACTTGCAGTTTAGACATCCATCTTACTTTAAGGAGACAATAGAAAGTTTACTTACCGATGATTGATCTGATAAAGAGGATTTTTCAAACTCTGGCAGGCTTGAAATTATTGTAGTTCTATTGCCTCTTTCCACAGCTACAAGTTCTATTGATAAACCGTCTCCTATGATATGCCAACTTTTTATAGCCAACTTTAAAAAAAGATATGAAAATGATTATCACAACACAAGCATAAAATCCTTAAATGTGATTTAGAATAAAAACAGGTTTTTACCTCAATTGGATTGCTGTTTATAATTGCAAATAAAATATTACTTGCTTCTGTAGCACTCAGTACTCCAAAATCTATGAAACGTTCCTCTATTTTGGGGGGCAATACAAAGTACTGGAAAGATATAAAAGAACCAGATTAAAAAAAAGTCACATTGATCTAACAATATTATGAAGAGAAAGTAACTATATTAAAGATGTATTAAAGTTCCCCCCAAAATTAGCTGGGCATGGTGGTGTGCACCTATAATCCCAGCTACTCGGAAGGCTGAGCTCAGGCAGGAGAATCGCTTGAACCCGCAAGCCAAGATTGCACCACTGCACTCCAGCTTGGGAAACACAGCGAGACTCCATCTAAAAAAAAAAAAAATTACAGTTCTATGCTTTCCTATGCTTTTGTATATATGCATAAAACCACACATTTATACGACATAGTTGAGGGCTTTGTATGACGAAAGTCTTTTGAGTAATCAGAAATGAAAACAGCCATGGCTTCTGCTGAGTTGCTATTCTTCCTCTGAGGGCACATGAAAGAGGCAGGAAGCTAAACTACTAAGAGAGGTTTAGTGGAACCCTAGGGGATCGGGCAAAAAGCATGTGGTCTCAGCAAGCATCACCAATGATCACTGAAACAAAATAACTGAAGCAGGAGCGAGACATTACTGAAGGTCCCTCCAGCTCTAAAATTCTAATCGATGCCAACTATTTAAAGGGCTACATTTCTAGATGTCCTAGCTTTCTTTTTATCTTTCCTAACAGTTTTCTCTCTTATCTAAGCTTCTTTCATTGATCACTCTCAAGATAGCTTTGTTTGGAATTTTTCCCCCTGCTTATTTTCTGTACCAGGAGTACCTTCATTGTTTCCTTCTGTGTCATATATAATCTTCCAACTTTGCGTCTTTACTACCTTATTTTCTTCTTTACTATCTGATTCTCTTCTTTGTCCCGATATTTCTTGGTTTTGATCATCTCTTCCCTACGTATATCCCTCTTCACCTTCCTTGTATTATTCTTTTTCTACCTATCATTTTTCTATTTAGTTCTTTTCTATATTCCCCATTATTACAATAGTTTAAAAGCATATCCAAGAGAAAGCAGAATGTGGAAAAGATCTAAGTAGAGACTGTAACTAGAGAAGTCAACTGTATCACAAGAGAGAGCTGCCAGAAAAGGTAAAAACTAGTTACCTGGAAAGGTAAAAACTGACTAGGAGAATTAGATCAATTTGCAGAGCACAAATAATGGCAAACCGTATGTAACACGACTGCCTAATAAGATCTGAAAACATTAAAGGTGGGCAGGGAGTTTAAATGTTAAAGATGGATAATATACTTACATCTAAAAAGCCTGTGTATACCCGCACGGGTAAATGAAATTTAGAAGCATTGGTAATAAGTAAAATGTTGTTATCAATGTGCATGGATGATGTGGAAGGCATAAAAAGCAGGGTAAAAATGTATCCTGATTCATTAGGAAGAATTAAGACTGGTTTGCTGAAGTTGTGAACCTGAGAAATGACAGAAGAGAAAAAAAACAAAGTGTCAGCATCACCTAGTTGGTAGACCAGGAAAATTAAAAGTATGAGGGCTCCTGGACATACTTTAAACATTGTTTTGGCTTCTTCTGGTAGCAACACATCGTGAATGAGGATCGCAAAACTGAAAGTGTTAGTAAGGTAAATTGGCCTTTCCACAGGATCAGCAGGGCTGTCTCGGATGTGAAATAATGTTGCAGCATGATCAAATCCCAAATAACTATTAAAAAAAACAACAAGAACAAAATAAATCATTTTTATTTCCATGTGTTAATTTAAAATCCAAGTTCTTCTGTTGTAAGTAATAATTTACATTTAGCATTAGGGATTGTATTAAAGATTTAGAACTATAATATTTTAGTGATTGACTATATGATTTAAAACAAAATTTAGCTTGCAAAATACTGAAATTAATACAAACAACCATTCTCTAATGAATTATATGAATCATACAATTAGAATCAAAGACATATCAACAAAAAAAGCTTTACTTTGAAAAAAATCATGCTTATCACTGAATTACAAGGAGCTTTGCTAAAATGAATCTTTGCCAAGTTGAGTATTAAACTACTATTGGTTAAAGTACAATAGAAAATGAACATGTCACTTCCCATTTATAAAAAGTTGTAATTCTAGAAGTGTTTATGAATTTATAAAGGAATATAAAGAATTCTGTTTCGAGTGTCAAAATACTTTAATAATAGGCCACAATCACTTACATATTACAAACAAATGTCAGAAAGGAAATGGTTCAAATGATTTAAATAATATTTAAAAAATCAGATTTTTGAATCATTAAGTCTTCATTTAAGCCCAAATCCTATCATCCCACTTACCCTTTTCTTCTAAAAAAGTAAAATATAAACAAAATATAGGAGGTTTTCTCTTTTATAGTTGGGGCTGTTCTTTCAAAAAATAATTCCATCAAGTTTATGTGAACGTGGCTAGTATTTCTGCAGGTCATTTAGCAGGAAAATATAATTTACTGATTAGTAAAAAGTAATAGAATTTATTTTAAAAAGAAACTCACCCATCTAAAACTTCTGCTTGATATGGTATTTCAAGTTTAGAATAACTCTTTTCCTTTGCTTTAACTGTTATTTTCCCAGAAAACTGAGATGGCTTTTTTGCCTTCGATGCTGAAAGGAAGCATAAAAAATAATCTCTGTTACCTTTTACTACCAAAGAGAATTAGTGAATTTATGTAAATTGACAAAATCTTAAAAAAAAAAAAAGTTGAGCTTCCAAATTGGCCAACAGAACACTTTTTATAACATTTTAAATGAAACATCACATTTTTCATACAAAAGGGGGAAAATGTTTTATATTTCCTGTAATAAGATAAGCAGATAAGGAATTAGCTGGTGAGCATGGTTCAGGAGGTAAAACACTGTACCTAAGCTGCTTTGCTGTAGCCACAGGCTTTGGCTTTACTTACAGCAGAATTTCTCATCCTTGGCACTGTTAACATTTTAGGCCAGATTAATTCTTCGTTGCGGAGGCTGTTGTGTGTACTGTAGGATGTTTAGCAGCATCCCGGACCTCTACTTGCTAGACGGCAGTAGCATCCCTGCAGCTGTGACTACCAAAATGCCTCTCTGCATTGCCAGATATCCCCTTGGAGGCAAAATTACCCCCCACTTAGCCCTGCTGATTTACACTTGAACTGAGAAAGAAATAACATTTCTTGTATGGCCAAAGTCTTGCTCTATCACCAATAAAGTAGCATGGTATAAGAAAAGTCAAGAATTCAGAGCTCTTCTCAAAAACCAGCCAACCCTAAAACTCATGGTATAAGAGGAGATAAATCCCCTCCTGTCATCATATTATATTGTCCTCATCTTAGATGAAGTAAAAACTTCAGATTTCATAGCAGTTTTGAATAATCCTGGCTGGGTGCAGTGCCTCACATCGGTAATCCCAGCACTTTGCCAGGCTGAGGCAGCCAGATCACCTGAGGTCAGGAGTTCGAGACAAACCTGGCCAACATGGTGAAACCCTGTCTCTACTAAAAACACAAAAACTAGCCAGGTGTGGTGGCACGTGCCTGTAATCTCAGCTAGTTGGCAGGCTGAGGCAGGAGAATCGCTTGAGCCTGGGAGGTGGAGGCTGCAGTGAGCCGAGATTGCGCCATTGCACTCCAGCCTGGGCAACAAAGCGAGACTCTGACCCAAAAAAACAAAAATTAAAAAATAAATAAATAAATAAGGAATTACAGAAATTGATTCAGTTGGGTCCAATCTAGGTACCCATTAGATGGTTCTTTTCAAAGCAAATAAAGAAGCTGTTTATGTTTATCCTCTTAGAGTACTTTAGGAACACTTCCATTTATGTGAAGAATTCATATGTGAGTTCCGCAAATGTGTGTCATCCAACCTCATGACAAAAAAGAACAAGGAAATGGTATGACATCTAGTGTTTGACTATGGCAGACACAGACTTTCCATTTTAAAAATTCCCATTCAGCCTCTTATTTCTCTGCTTGCTAGTTAGCCATCTCTGGATGCTTTCAATTTTTCACTATTTGTTCTGACGTAAGACTGATTACAAGGGCCACATTTAAGCATTTCATGACATTGTATCATACATAGCAAATAAAGTGGTCAAAAAGCTCAAGAAAATTCTGTTGAAAATCATGAAGAATAACTTTTGATGAGAAAGATGCTTGATAAATGAACACTGCAGAGTTAATACATATATAAGGTGCATTCTAACAATATTAAAAGTTAAATAACACACACTTCCTGACTGATTTTCACAGCAATCTCAGAGGTATTTTGTGTGGGGATCCAGCATGGCAGTGGGAGAGGTGAATGGTGGGGGGATTTTCACATGATATTAAAAACCTACTTTTAAGAAATGTAGCATTTGCTCTTAAAGATGCTTTCCCTTTGCTGTTGTTATTTAATTTTACATATTTCTTTAAGAAACAATTATCTTAGAGCCTACGATCTCAGAAGAACCAACACTAATGACATCGCATTTATCTCAAGAAGGGAAAGATTAAGTGGGTGGTCAATACAGGAGCTAGAGAAGAGTAGCTCTTCACCCTTGCAGAGCAGCTCTTCACCCTTGCAGACCATGTGGAGAATTTTCCGGCACATCTGTGAAGGGTGGGTCCTAAATGCTCTTATCCTGGCTGGGTGCAGTGCCTCACGTCGGTAATCCCAGCACTTTGCCAGGCTGAGGCAGCCAGATCACCTGAGGTCAGGAGTTTGAGACCAGCCTGGCCAACATGGTGAAACCCTGTCTCTACTAAAAATACAAAAATTAGCCGCCTCCTCCTCTGTAAGGGAAGACAATGTACCTCGTGATACTGACACTGGTAGGCATGAATGTGGTCTCTCAGCAGCATAGAGAACACTTTACCACAAATGTAGAAATTACTGTGGCATTAATGTCTTCTATAATACTATTTCTTGACAACTGTATCATGAAGTATGCTGCCTATGTGATTTTTATTCCTTGAGAGTCCTCACTGAGCTCACAGGATGAACCCTGAGGCCAGCCCCACCTCCGTAGCTGCTCCAGACCCTCCCTAGAACTCTCCACAGTGAGCAGCAGGCATAGATACTCTCATAAACACTGTGTGAAGTGTGCCAGTGTCCTCCTACATTCATTGATCAAATATTCTCATCCGATGAGGAGCTGAGCTTTACTATGTGGACTCTGAGCACAGATGGCTTTATCATAAAGCCAAAGTTTAAGCTTAATAGCAGCTACTCAGTTGCATGGGTGCCTATGAAAAAAGCCCTGTTCAGAGGTTCAATTCTCATTTAATTATCTGTATGGTTAAGCAGCCATTAAGTCATTATTTTAAAAATGTTGTGACAGCAAATTCAATGAATGTTCCAATTAAAGTAGGCAAAACTAAATAAAAACATGCTATAAAAATGGTATAGTCTGGCTTAACACCTCAAGTATCAAAATGTATACTATACACATTAGAAATAATAGCTAACTGGACAATTCTGTCATAAAGTCTATTATTTTAGCTTAAGTAGGGGATCTGCTTTGCCTATAAAAGCCAATATATGAAAATGTTACAAAGAATACTTTTTATTTTTGCTCTCAAATTCAAACATGTTTCAGAACTTCAAATATATTGTAACTTCATAATTAAGATGAATTATAATACATAATATGTGTAAAAAGGCTAGCCCAGATTATGGAAATGATTCCAATCCTAATGTATTTGCTAGTGCTTTTCTATTGCTAATACTGATTTAGCTTTATAAAGTTGTGGTATTTTCTCTCATGAATCAATCAAGTAAGAGTTCATGATGGTTTACAGCGGGGGGGGGCGGGGGGGGATCAACCTAAGCAGTAATATAAATTCTGATGGTAAAACAGTTTGGATTTTTATATTAAGACGTTAATACAGATGCTTTCTAGTTTATCAAAATAACATCACTCTATCAGAGAGAAAATGGTGAATACTTGCCATCAAAACTAATGCTTGCAACCTTGGTGTATTTACTTTCTGATGCTTTTAATGTAATTGGTTTAAAGTGTACCGTTATAGCATCATTTTGTGGTGTAGGTCGAACACTCTGCAAAGAGAACAAAAATACATACATGGCATTATTTCAGACTAATGGTTCAGTTGCCTTATACTTATACTGGAAAGTATACTGGAAAAGTAAAGTGGACTCTAAATTTGAAAAGTTTAACTTATGTTGTCCCTTTAAATGGAGTAGGCCACACTGGAAAACTTCAAATTAATTTCATCAGAATATCTTTATAAAAGAAAATGACCAGAGAATAAGCATGACAGATTTGTAAGTGTAAGAATCTATTACATTTGGTGTGAGTACATAAAGCATTTAAAAAAGGTACTTATTTTCCAAATGAATGCCTAATTCACACACCAGTGGAGGCGACATGAAAAAGACTTATGGATCCCTCTTAAAGAAATTCACAATACTGAGGAAATATCTGAACCATATGACGGTGAAGAATAAACATGAACTTGGAAGCTGGTGTGTCAGTGCCAAGGTAGTTCTGCACACTTCATTTCTAATGGCATTTTCTCTTTCTCTCTAGACATGGCTCTGCGAGTGAGGCATGCTGCTATCCAGAGAGAGGGCTATACTGCTGGCTATGGGATTGAGCACTGAGGCAGCCCACAGGGATGTTCAGCTTGAAGCCAGAATGCTTAAATAACAACAAACAGGAAAACCTTGTACTTGGAGAGCATGCTTTTTAAAAATACATTTTAAGGTACAGTTATTTTTTATTTCCTCACTGACACAAAGCCCTTTCAATTGGAAGGGACGTAAAAGATTCCAACCTCCTTCTCTGTTTTACTAATGAAATTTCCAATATTGATGTTTTAATAGCTAGGCATCAACAGGTAGGAATGAAACAAGAATCCCTGGGTTGGTGCAGGGCCTTCATCTGACATCCTGTTGCACAAACATGTATCACAAAATCGTGGTACTGTATACAACTCTTGATTAAAAAATAATCTTCCTTTATGATTACTTTGAATCTGAACCTTGGTCTGAACCCTCGTGGGTTGTATTTGTTGAATTATGAAGGGCTTTAAAAACTTGTCAAAGCCTGCTATTTCCCGGAGAAAAGAACATTGTCCTTTTCTGTGAGACTTATCAGGCAAGCCCCTTAACAGGAGCACAGTCAGATCCAGCAAGTCACTATGTTCTTCCCCCTGGATCCCTGCCTGCTCTTTTCCGCCCGTTTATAAAGGTGAAATCTGCCTCAACAGAACATCAAAGGGCAGTCTCTTGAAGGTGCGATAAGCACCTGAGAAGAGCATGGAGAGAGAGAATGATCCTCGTGCCTTGTGTGTGGGATCACAGGGTACGGATCTGATTATATGATAATGATCAAAGACACTGCTAGAGCAGCTCCCTTTCCATTGGTGGGTTAGTCCTGGGCTGTCAGCAAGTGTTCGTTCACAGGGTCTGAAATGAAGGCCCTAAGGATGGTTCTGTGGACCTCAGGCTCTCTTGGCATTTTAACTCTTTTTAACTTCCTCCGTTTTTCTTCTTCAAGAACTCCTTCTCAATTGCTTTTGGATCTCTAGCTGGGGCTGGGAATGATTTGTTCATGTAATATTTTTACTTATCAATAAGTTTGCTGTTATTAGCGACATTTAAAATACAAATTTCTTCATTCACTGAAAGGTGAGTGTGTGTATTTTTAATAATAAAACAAAGTAGAGTTTGAACTGTAAGACAAACTGGGAAAAGTTCCATTTGGTTATACTATACTATATTACCATGCTAATACTTTTTCCAAAGAGAGGAAATCAGTACAGAAGTATATGTGACAATCCAGTGGCATCACTTTATGCAATAAAAGGATGTTTAACTAGAGATGTGAGCTTGAGTCAGCTGCCCATCTACTCTGGGGCTCATTTTTCCCACCTGTAAAAAAAATCCTGGCTGGGCATGGTGACTCATGCCTGTAGTCCTAGCACGTTGGGAGGCCAAGGCACGTGGATCATGAGGTCAGGAGTTCAAGACCAGCCTGGACAAGATGGTGAAAGCTCGTCTCTACTAAAAATACAAAAATTAGCCAGGCGTGGTGGTGGGTGTCTATAATCCCAGCTACTCGGGAAGCTGAGGCAGATAACTACTTGAATCCGGGAGGCGGAGGTTGTAGTGAGCCAAGATTGGGACACTGCACTCCAGCCTGGGCAACAGAGTGAGACTCCTTCTAAAAAAAAAAAAAAGCAGCCCAGCCAGGGGAATGGGTTGTTTTCTGAGATCCCATCATCTACAACATTTTGTGAGTCAGTTAATTTTGCTTTTTTTCCCCCCACAAATGAGCCACTTTATCTTGAGGCCAAGCTTTGTTACAGGTGATCACATGAAGCTCTGTAGTTTGCAGAGGACTTCCACAGATATGGCTCCTGAAGTTCCTCATTTGCTCTACTGAATATGATCCAGCAACAATTCAGAGGTGAAGTCAGCTGGACTTCCTGGGTTGAGTGGGGACTTGGAGAACTTTTTTGTCTAGCTAGAGGATTGTAAACACACCAATCAGTGCTCTGTGTCTAGCTAAAGGATTGTAAATGCACCAATCAGCACTCTGTCTCTAAAGGACTGTAAATGCACCAATCAGCACTCTGTAAAAACGCACCAATCAGTGCTCTGTGTCTAGCTAAAGGACTGTAAATGCATCAATCGGCATTCTGTAAAAACGCACCAATCAACACTGTAAAATGGACCAATCAGCAGGACGCGGGCAGGGCCAAATAAGGGAATAAAAGCTGGCCACCCGAGCCAGTAGAGGCAACCCGTTTGGGTCCCTTTCTAGGCTGTGGAAGCTTTGTTCTTTCACTCTTCACAATAAATCTTGCTGCTGCTCACTTTTTGGGTCTGCACTACCTTTATGAGCTGTAACACTCACCACGAAGGTCTGCGGCTTCACTCCTGAAGTCAGCAAGACCACGAACTCACTGGAAGGAAGAAATTCCGGACACATTTTGGCGACCCACATGGGATACATTTTGGTGACCAGGAAGGGACTATCGCCAAGCAGTGAGCACCACTGGACCCCTTTCACTTGCTATTCTGTCCTATTTTTCCTTAGAATTCGGGGGCTAAATACCGGACACCTGTCAGCCAGTTAAAAGCGACTGGCACAGCCACCGGACTAAAGACACAGGTGTCAGGCTTTCTGGGAAAGGGCTAACAACCCCCAACTCTTCAGAGTTGGGAGCATTGGTTTGCCTGGAACCATCTTCCACTTTTCCTGTACTTCTGGGCTGAGCTGAGGGTCAACAGAGAGGAAAGCCATTCAGCTCCGGGATCCCGACAAAAAGTTGGTTGACTGTGGCCATGAGCGGAATTCTCAAAGTTATGTTGCCCAAGCGAGACTTGCCTATCTATCCTATCTATCCTGACCCTTGCCCCCTGGGTCCTAATGCCTGTCAGACAAACTTCCTCTTGCCTCTCTTCTCCAAGGATAGTTCCGCTTCTAAAAACCACTCTCTGTCTCTGATGCCTTTCTAGTTTCTCCTATAAGAATGATTTCCAGTATAAACTCCAGGACTCTATTCCCTCCTTTAGGCACCTGGACTCACCAATCAAAGACATAATTTTTGCCCAAAGCCCCTTCGAGGGCAGGGGGACTACCTGGAATTTTAGGATCCCTCCTCAGACTAGCAGGCCTAACAAAAGCTATTCCTGAAGCTAGGATACGGGGAGCCTCAGAAACGATATCCTTCCTTTTCACATGATGAGAAGTGAGGATAAAAGGCGTCACTCTTCCAACCCTGGAGATCCCTTCCCTTGCTCAGGGTACGGCCCTCCACTTCATTTTTGGGGCATAACATCTTTATAGGATGGGGTAAAGTCCCAACACTAACAGGAGAATGCTTAGAACTCTAACAGGTTTTCGAGAATGCGTCGGTAAGGGCCACTAAATCTGATTTTTCTTGGTCCTCTTTGTGGTATAGGAGGACAGGCAAGGGTGCAGGTTTTCGAGAATGTGTTGGTAAGGGCCACTAAATCCAACCTTCCTTGGTCCTCCTTGTGGTCTAGGAGGAAAACTAGTGTTTCTGCTGCTGCGTTGGTGAGTGCAACTATTCCGATCAGCAGGGTCCAGGGACTGTTGTGGGTGCCTGGGCTGGGGGGAAACAAACAAACCAAAACCACAGGCAGTTTTGTCTTTCAGATGGGAAACACTCAGGCATCAACAGGCTCACCCTTGAAATGCATCCTAAGCCATTGGGACCAATTTGACCCATAAACCCTGAAAAAGATGTGGCTCATTTTTTTCTGCACTACGGCCTGGTCCCAATATTCTCTCTCTGATGGGGAAAATGGCCACCTGAGGGAAGTATAAATTATAATACTATCCTGCAGCTTGACCTTTTCTGTAAGAGGGAAGGCAAGTAGAGTGAAATACCTTATCTCTAAGCTTTCTTTTCATTGACGGAGAATCCACAACTATGCAAAGCTTGCAATTTACATCCCACAGGAGGACCTCTCAGCTTACCCCCATATCCTAGCCTCCCTATAGTTCACCTTCCTATTAATGATAAGCCTCCTCTAATTTCCCCCACCCAGAAGGAAACAAGCAAAGAAATCTCCAAGGTACCACAAAACTCCCCGGGCTATCGGTTATGTCCCCTTCAAGCTGTAGGGGGAGAGGAATTTGGCCCAACCTGGGTACCTGTCCCCTTCTCCCTCTCTGATTTAAAGCAGATCAAGGCAGACCTGGGGAAGCTTTCAAATGATCCTGATAGGTATACAGATGTCCTACATGGTCTAGGGCAAACCTTTGATCTCACTTGGAGAGATGTCATGCTATTGTTAGATCAAACCCTGGCCTTTAATGAAAAAAATGCGGCTTTAGCTGCAGCCCAAGAATTTGGAGATACCTGGTGTCTTAGCCAAGTAAATGATAGAATGACAGCTGAAGAAAGGGACAAATTCCCTACCGGTCAGCAAGCCATCCCCAGTATGGATGCCCACTGGGATCTAGACTCAAGATCATGGGGACTGGAGTTGTAAACATCTGCTGACCTGTGTTCTGGAAGGACTAAGAAGAATTAGGAAAAAGCCCATGAGTTATTCAATGATGTCCACCATAACTCAGGGAAAGGAAGAAAATCCTTCTGCCTTCCTCGAGCAGCTACGGGAGGTCTTAAGGAAATATACTCTCCTGTCACCCAACTCCCTTGGGGGTCAACTGATCCTAAAAGATGAGTTTATTACCCAATCAGCCACAGATAACAGGAGGAAGGTCCAAAAGCAAGCCCTGGGCCCTGAACAAAATCTGGAGGCATTATTAATCCTGGCAACCTCGGTGTTCTATAATAGGGACCAAGAGGAACAGGCCCAAAAGGAAAAGCGAGATCAGAGAAAGGCCACAGCCTTAGTCAAGGCCCTCAAACAAACCTTGGTGGTTCAGAGAGGAAAGAAAATTGAGCAGGCCAATCACCTGGTAGGGCTTGTTATCAGTGTGGTTTACAAGGACACTTTAAAAAAGATTGTCCAATGAAAAATAAGCCACCCCCTCACCCATGTCCACTATGCTGAGGCAATCACTGGAAGGCACACTGCCCCAGAGGGCAAAGGTTCTCTAGGCCAGAAGCCCCCAACCAGATAATCCAACAGCAGGACTGAGGGTGCCCGGGGCAAGTGCCAGCTCATGTCATCACCCTCACTGAGCTCTGGGTACGTTTAACCATTGAAGGCCAGGAAATTGACTTCCACCTGGACACTGGTGCAGCCTTCTCAGTGTTAATCTCCTGTCCTGGACGACGGTCCTCAAGGTCCATTACCATCCGAGGAATCCTGGGACAGCCTGTAACCAGGTATTTCTCCCACCTCCTGAGTTGTAATTGGGAGACTTTGCTCTTTTCACATGCCTTTCTCGTTATGCCTGAAAGTCCCACACCCTTATTAGGGAGAGATATATTAGCCAAAGCTGGAGCTATTACCTACATGAATATGGGGAACAAGTTACCCATTTGTTGTCCCCTACTTGAGGAGGGAATCAACCCTGAAGTCTCTGCATTGGAAGGACAATTTGGAAGGGCAAAAAATGCCCACCCAGTTCAAATCAGGCTAAAAGACTCCACTACTTTTCCTTATCAAAGGCAATATCCCTTAAGGCCTGAAGCTCATAAAGGATTACAGGATATTGTTAAACATTTAAAAGCTCAAAGCTTAGTAAGGAAATGCAGCAGTCCCTGCAACACCCCAATTCTAGGAGTACAAAAACCGAATGGTCAGTGGAGATCTTAGACTAGTGCAAGATCTTAGACTCATCAGTGAGGCAGTAATTCCTCTATATCCAGTTGTACCCAACCCCTATACCCTGCTCTCTCAAATACCAGAGAAAGCAGAATGGTTCACTGTTCTGGACCTCAAGAATGTCTTCTTCTGTATTCCCCTGCACTCTGACTCCCAGTTTCTCTTTGTCTTTGAGGATCCCACAGACCACATGTCCCAACTTATGTGGACGGTCTTATGCCAAGGGTTTAGGGATAGCCCTCATCTGTTTGGTCAGGCACTGGCCCATGATCTAGGCCACTTCTCAAGTCCAGGCACTCTGGTCCTTCAGTATGTGGATGACTTACTTTTGGCTATCAGTTCGGAAGCCTCATGCCAGCAGGCTACTCTAGATCTCTTGAACTTTCTAGCTAATCAAGGGTACAAGGCATCTAGGTCGAAGGCCCAGCTTTGCCTACAGCAGGTCAAATATCTAGGCCTAATCTTAGCTAGAGGGACCAGTGCCCTCAGCAAGGAATGAATACAGCCTATACTGGCTTATCCTCACCCTAAGACAAAACAGTTACGGGGGTTCCTTGGCATCACCAGCTTTTGTTGACTATGGATCCCCGGATACAGCAAGATGGCCAGACCACTCTATGCTCTAATCAAGGAGACCCAGAGGGCAGATACTCATCTAGTAGAATAGGAACCAGAGGCAGAAACAGCCTTCAAAACCTTAAAGCAGGCCCTACTACAAGCTCCAGCTTTAAGCCTTCTCACAGGACAACACTTCTCTTTATACGTCAGAGAGAGAGCAGGGATAGCTCTTGGAGTCCTTACTCAGACTCGTGGGACAACCCCACAACCAGCGGCATACCTAAGTAAGAAAACTGATGTAGTAGCAAAAGGCTGGCCTCACTGTTTATGAGTGGTTGTGGCAGTGGCCATCTTAGTGTCAGAGGCTATCAAAATAATACAAGGAAAGGATCTCACTGTCTGGACTACTCATGATGTAAATGGCATAGTAGGTGCCAAAGGAAGTTTATAGCTATCAGACAACCGCCTACTTAGATAGCAGATGCTACTCCTTGAGCAACCGGTGCTTCAAATATGTACATGTGTGGCCCTCAGCCCTGCCATTTTTCTCCCAGAGGATGGGGAACCAATCGAGCATGACTGCTGACAAATTATAGTCCAGATTTATGCCACCTGAGATGATCTCTTAGAAGTCCCCTTAGCTAATCCTGAACTTAACCTATATACTGATGAAAGTTCATTTGTGGAAAATGGGATATGAAGGGCAGGTTATGCCATAGTTAATGATGCAACCGTACTTGAAAGTAAGCCTCTTCTCCTAGGGAGCAGCACCCAGTTAGCAGAACTAGTGGCACTTACCTGAGCCTTAAAACTGAGAAAGGGAAAAAGAATAAATGTGTGTATACAGATAGCAAGTATGCTTATCTATTCCTACATGCCCATGCTGCAATATGGAAAGAAAGGGAGTTCCTAACCTCTAGGGGAACCCCCATTAAATACCACAAGGAAATTATGGAGTTATTGCACGCAGTACAAAAATCCAAAGAGGTGGCAGTCTCACACCGCCGAAGCCATCAAAAGGGGAAGGAGAAGGGAGAACAGCAGCATAAGCAGCTGGCAGAGGCAGGGAAAGACCAGCAGAAAGGAAAGAGAGAAAGAGACAGAAAGTCAGAGAGAGAGAGGAAGAGACAGAGACAAAGAGGAAGTCAGAGAGAAAGAGAAACAGTGAGAGAGGGGAAGAGACAAAGAGGAAGTCAGAAAGAGAAAAAAAGAGAGACAAAAAAGAAGTCAAAGAGAAAGAAAAAGAAATGGAAGTAGTAAAGAAAAAAGTGTACCCTAGTCCTTTAAAAGCCAGGGTAAATTTAAAACCTATAATTGATAATTGAAGGTCTTCTCTGTAACCCTATAACACTCCAATACCACCTTGCTGTCAGAGTAAACAAGGACATAGCCTGAAAGCACTGAGGTCACTGACAACCAGTAGCCTTCCTATCAAAAATCCTTAACCCAGCAGGTTTCCTAACAGGGGATCTAAATCTTAACTAATTACTATACAAAGGTCCGACCAGACCTAGGAGGAACTCCCTTCAGGACAGGACGATAGATGGTTCCTCCCAAGCAATTAAGGGAAAAAGACACAATGGGTATTCAGTAAGTGATAAGCAAAAAAAAAAAAAAAAAAAAAAATTTTAAAATCCCAAACTTACAAGGTTTTCAACAAAAGTTTGCTAAAAGTTAACAGTGTTGGGGAGGAGTGGCAGCGGCAAGGCAGCCCAGTTTCGTGAAGGCTCTTGGCGCGCCGCGGCCCGCAGGCACCTGGCACGCGCCTTCCCCGCCGCCAGGATGCCCAAGAGGAAGGTCAGCTCCGCTGAAGCCGCTGCCAAGGAAGAGCCCAAGAGGAGATCGGCGCGGTTGTCAGCTAAACCTCCTGCAAAAGTGGAAGCAAAGCCGAAAAAGGCAGCAGCGAAGGATAAATCTTCAGACAAAAACGTGCAAACAAAAGGGAAAAGGGGAGCAAAGGGAAAACAGGCCGAAGTGGCTAACCAAGAAACTAAAGAAGATTTACCTGCAGAAAATGGGGAAACGAAAACTGAGGAGAGTCCAGCCTCTGATGAAGCAGGAGAGAAAGAAGCCAAGTCTGATTAATAACCATATACCATGTCTTATCAGTGGTCCCTGTCTCCCTTCTTGTACAATCCAGAGGAATATTTTTATCAACTATTTTGTAAATGCAAGTTTTTTAGTAGCTCTAGAAACATTTTTAAGAAGGAGGGAATCCCACCTCATCCCATTTTTTAAGTGTAAATGCTTTTTTTTAAGAGGTGAAATCATTTGCTGGTTGTTTATTTTTTGGTACAACCAGAAAATAGTGTGGGATATTGAATTATGGGAGGCTCTGATTGTCTCGGGTGTCAGCTTAACATTCCATAGATGGGGGGTTAGTTTTTATATCCTATAATACAAAGCATATTAAATGGCAATATGGAGTCAGTCCTGCATTTAATGTCTTGAACATTTTAAATTACTTCTATTACCATGTTGTTTTTTAGTAGAATTGTTTCCTAAAGAAAACCACTCTTTGATCATGGCTCTCTCTGCCAGAATTGTGTGCACTCTGTAACATCTTTGGTTGTGGTAGTCCTGTTTTCCTAATAACTTTGTTACTGTGCTGTGAAAGATTACAAATTTGAATATGTAGTGTACGTGCTATTGAGTTGTGAACTGGTGGGCTGTATGTAACAGCTGACCAACATGTGAAGATACTGGTACTTGATAGCCTCTTAAGGAAAATTTGCTTCCAAATTTTAAGCTGGAAAGTCACTGGAATAACTTTAAAAAATAATTACAATACATGGCTTTTTAGAATTTCGTTATGTATGTTAAGATTTGTGTACAAATTGAAATGTCTGTACGATCCTCAACCAATGAAATCTCAATTATGAAAAAAAAAAAGTGTAACATATATTATCCTAACTTCTAATCTTATGGAAATCAGACATAGGGTCTGTGCCCCTCAAAGCTCAAGTGTCTCAGCACAGGGCCATACAACTAACACCCCTACTTATAGGGTTAGAGATGGCCACTGCTACAGGAACCAGAATAGCAGGTTTATCTACATCATTATCCTACTACCACAAACTCTCAAAGGATTTCTCAGACAGTTTGCAAGAAATAATGAAATCTATCCTTACTCTACAATCCCAAATAGACTCTTTGGCAGCAGTGACTCTCCAAAACTGCTGAGGCCTAGACCTCCTCACTGCTGAGAAAGGAGGACTTTGCACCTTCTTAGGAGAAGAGTGTTTTTTTACACTAACCAGTCAGGGATACTACAGCGTTTACAGGAAAAGGCTTCTGAAATCAGACAACGCCTTTCAAACTCTTTCAATGCCTTTCCAACTCTTATACCAACCTCTGGAGTTGGGGAACATGGCATCTTCCCTTTCTAGGTCCTGTGACAGCCATCTTGCTATTACTCGCCTTTGGGCCCTGTATTTTTAATCTCCTTGTCAAATTTGTTTCCTCTACGATCGAGGCCATCAAGCTACAGATGGTCTTACAAATGGAACCCCAAATAAGCTCAACTAACAACTTCTACCAAGGACCCCTGGATCGACCCACTGGCCCTTTGACTGGCCTAGACAGTTCCCCTCTGGAGGACACTACCACTGCAGGGTCCCTTCTTTGCCCTTATCCAGTAGGAAGTAGCTAGAATGATCATTGCCCAATTCCCAACAGCAGTTGGGGTGTCCTATTTAGAGGGGGGATTGAGAGGGGAAGCCAGCTGGATTTCCTGGGTTGAGTGGAGACTTGGAGAACTTTTCTGTCTAGCTAGAGGACTGTAAACACACCAATCAGTGCTCTGTGCCTAGCTAAAGGATTGTAAATGCAACAATCAGCACTCTGTAAAAATGCACCCATCAGCGCTCTGTATCTAGCTAAAGGATTGTAAATGCACCAATCAGCACTCGGTAAAAACGCACCAATCAGCGCTCTGTGTCTAGCTAAAGGATTGTAAATGCACTAATCAGCACTCTGTAAAAATGCACCAGTCAGCACTGTGTCTAGCTAAAGGATTGTAAATGCAACAATCAGCACTCTGTAAAATGGACCAATCAGCGCTCTGTAAAATGGACGAATCAGCAGAACATGGCGGGGAGCCAAATAACGGAATAAAAGCTAGCCACCCAAGCCAGCAGAGGCAACTAGGGTCCCCTTCCACGCTGTGGAAGCTTTGTTCTTTCGCTCTTAATAAATCTTGCTGCTGTTCACTCTTTGGGTCCGCACCACCTTTAAGAGCTGTAACACTCACAACGAAGGTCTATGGCTTCATTCTTCAAGTCAGAGAGACCAAGAACCCACCAGAAGGAACCAACTCTGGACACACAATGAAGGCTTGACCATTTTTCAATATGCTTAAAGGCTAGAAGTGGGAGTTCATCAACAACAAGCACAATATTTTTTGAGTGTTATCAGCCTGTACAACACCAAGCCAGAAATAGCAAAGCAAGGATGTTTGTTAAAATATAGTCACTATTAGTAAGAATTTAAAATAGTTGATGAAATTTTTTTCATGTGAAACACACCACTTTAAGATTTTCCTTACCAGATAAAAACTTTACATTAGTATTGCTACCTTAAAATACGCTGCAGTAATAACAAAGAAATATTCAACTGAAAACTCATGTTTTATACAAATGGTCTGAATTCTTCACTCATTATCAGTTAAAAAAAAAAAAAAAAAAAAAAAACCAAACCCAAATTGTTAAAACCCATTTTCCAGGGAAACAAAAAGCCAACAAACAAACCCAAGACAAAACACTTAAGTAGCTGGCCCATTCTGGTGGCTTTAAATGACAACTCATACACAATCAACACCTTGTAGTAAGCATATTTATACAACAACCTGTTAGTGACTATTGCTAACTCAAAGATAATCAAGAAGTATAAAACTATTGCAAGTTTCCCAGGAAAGGCAGTTCGCAAGCTTGCATATGTTCTAAATATAGTTCTAGGCTTTTCTCACAACATTCAGACCCAACTAATGCTCAGTAACCCTCAAGTGAAATTCAACGGTCCGGAACATTCTAAAACTGCTTATAAAAGCACTTGAGCAAATAAGGAAAAAAGCACTTTCAGCATTTAACATTGTATTTCTAATAATTTGTGTATGAGTTCACTAAAGCATATGTTAAGCTGATATTATGATTCCGATTTGTTAATTACCAAGGGAAACCTCATGCAAACATTCCTCTGAAGGCATCTCAGGCAAACTTACTCCATCATTTATACAGCACTAATGTTTTGTAAATGCTGAGGAAAGCCATTTTCTCAAAGTTGCATTATAGACATATTAGGAGAGTTTGGACCTGCGCATCCTGTCTGTTAGCAGTTGAGGAACTTCTATTTGGAATTGCTTGCTTTAGTAATCCTATATTTAGAAAGAGAATGAATTCCCTGAAGGGGAATTTAAAAAAAAGATCTCCAGCTTCTAGCACTGCTTAGCAAATCCTGAAAATTCTATGTTTGTGAAACAAAAGGAGACAGGAACCTTTCTAAATATCTATAGTCTCTAAGCCTGGTGAATTATGCAGAAAATGCTGAAACACACAGGGAAAACCTTAAGAAGAGCTCTGAAAACTCAGTTTCCACGGTAGGTGGGCTTGCCCCATAGCTGATAAGGTGGGAAATCTAAGCCACCATCATTTCTCAGGCTGATTGCTAAATCAGATCCCAAGTGGTCTCCTTTGCTTTCTGCCCTTCCATGTCTGTAAGTTCACTCTCCACAAAGTAGCTACAGTGACCTTTTACAACACATAAATCAGATGATGTCACTCTCGTTTAAAATCCTGTAATAATTTCCCATTACACTTAGAATAAAATCTAAATATCTCCCAGAGTTCCAGAGAGCCCTGATAAACAGTGAGCTTGATGGGGTAGGGAACCCCAGTGGTCTGATTCACTGCTGTATTCTCAGTCAGCATAGCAGCTAGCATACAGTTGATGTTCATTAAATATTTATTGAATGGGTGAATGAAGGCGGGAATAAGAGAAAACTACCAAAACACTGGCAGAGTTTGGGCTTTGGATATTATAAAAGATACACACATAGGTAGGTACAGATGTAGGTACAGATGTATTATATTAACAGATATATAGGTTTTTAACAGAAATAGACTATGCAATTAAAATGATATATTCATAAAGATGTGATTGCTAAGTGACACTGTATAATATACTTTCATGTTTCACATACCTCTTTTTTTTTTTTTTTTTTTTTTTTTGAGACAGTCTCGGTCTGTTGCCCAGGCTGGAGCACAGCGGCGTGATCTTGGCTCACTGCAGCCTCCACCTCTGAGGTTCAGGCAATTCTCCTGCTTCAGCTTGAGTAGCTGGTACTACAGGCACATGCCACCATGCCCAGCTAATTTTTGTATTTTTGGTAGAGACAGGGTTTCGCCATGTTGGCCAGTCTGGTCTTGAATTCCTGACTTCAAGTGATCCACCAGCCTCAGCCTCCCAAAGTGCTGGGATTACAGGCGTGAGGCCACCATGCCTGGCCTATTTTTGCATTTTTTATAGTTGTGTAAGTCACTTCCAAAAAAAAAAAAAAAAAAAAAAGCAGCTCTAACTCAGCTTTCCTATCTAGAAAACTAGGACCACTGCACCATATAGGTATTAAGTAATACATTTATTACATAGCAGTACTAGCATAGTGCCTGACCCAGTAAGAGCAAAAATGTTCACTTACAATATATCCTAAAACTCCTTAGTGAATAAGAAAAAGGACAAACATGGGCCTATTTAATTCCATGTCATAAGTGACCTGAGTACTAGTTCTTCATTCACATTCTTAGGGTTAATTGCCAATTTCATTTTCCTATAATATGTTTATTGAAAAAGATACTTGTTTCAGTCCATTTATTGTACGTAAAAAGTTAGGCTGGTTTGCTTGGGCTAAGTAAAGGCACTTTCCCATCTAGGAGAAATGCTAGGTCAGATATGAAGACAATGCCTGCATCCCGGTCCCACTAGTGAGGAAGGTCACTGCGCATCAGAATGTGGTTACCTGGGAAGACCATCTCTTGCTTCCTCGCTGGGGTTTGTATATTCTTCTCTCTTTGGTCTACTCCACCAGCTGGTGATAAAATCTGGGTATGGCCATCGATGGACAAAGGTCCCTTAAATCTCAAGCCCACATGATCTATATTTCATTTTGTCAGTTCACTGAAGTTAAGTTTCTGGCATCAGCACAAATTATAATAAAAATGTCCTATTTTCCTATATAATGATTACACATGTATATATCTTGGGGACCTCATCAGGGAGAGACGTTGTGGGCCAAGGCAAAACTTAGATATCCCTTTTTTTCCTAAAACTATCTAACGGCACCTCAATTCCATATGGCCTAAAAGTTACTTACTCTGTATGTATGTGTGAGGGAGAGAGGGCCTTAGTTTATAATGTGCTGCCTACGGTAACTCAATAACTGCTAGTTAGGGAGCCTGTGACAAGTGTTAACAGCACTTTACCACTACCTACAACATTTTTTTTGCTTATTTTCTTCCCAATTCATCTGACTCTTCTTCCTCTTTCCTGCCCATACCTTAACTCCAACAACCAAATCTGATGAAATCCTTATAACCTGTTTTTCTATACACATGGCCCACAGATTTTAGGATTTATCAGAACAGGCCTTTTATATGACTGTGCCTGTATAAGAAACTCATGAACTTTGGTTCAAACTTACTTTGAAAAGATTGCCCATTTCTCTCTCATCCTTAAAATCCGGGTGGCTGGGGCAGAACAGGTTTCTCACATCACACTTAGAACCAAAGTGTCACCAGGTCATCACCAAATATAATTATTTTAGAATAAGGGTTTAATTATTTTTAACTTTGTCATACATTTAAAAACAAAGAATATATAAATTAGGGGAAAAAAGAAGTAAAAACTTACTGTTATTGGTACATCTTTTGTTCCTGAATTTAATAAATGAAGGTTTAAAACTTTTGGTAGATCTGTTAAAATTGAGGAAAAGAAATATTTCTTAAAAAGGTGCTTTTTAGCCAAGTTAGAATCTTTACCTTATAAGATATCAAATTGAAGCTATCAATTTGTGAAATACAATGACAATAAGATTAATAAAAAGAAACATTAGGTGGTAATTGCTTTACTCATAAGGACATTGTGTATTATAAGAACTGTTCCCTCTTAAACCAGATTTTTGAAAACCCCAAAATATATACTTTTTTTTTTTTTTTTTAAATGAGACAGAATCTTGCTCTGTCACCCAGGCTGGAGTACAGTGGGGCATTCTTGGCTCACTGCAACCTCAGCCTCCTGGGTTCAAGTGATCCTCCTACCTCAGCCTCCTGACTAGCTGGGATTACAGGCATGTACCACCATGCCCAGCAGACTTTTGTATTATTTTTTTAGTAGAGATGGGGTCTCGTCATGTTGGCCAGGCTAGTCTTGAACTCCTGGCCTCAAGTGCCCTGCCTGCCTCCACCTCCCAAAATGCTGGGATTATAGGCATGAGCCATCATGCCCAGCCCCCCAAATATTATTTTTTTGTGAAGTCAGACATTACTAATCTTTTAGCTTTCCAGCAAAACATAATGAAGCAAATTAATAATTTACAATGTAAAAATATACTAACAGCAAATCTAATTTTTAAACATATGGTCTTCAATCTTAACTACATATTATTATATATAGTCCATATACATCCCAAATTACAAGTGCTCTTAGTTTTTCCTTAGCAAAAATCTTTACTTAGTTGTTTTTAATTTCAGAATTTGAGTTTTCTGAACAGCTGCAACAAACTTTCAACATTTTGTCAAAATGTAATTTAATAACTCATATCTAAACAAAATCCAGAAGTAAAAATCAAGATTCAGCGTAACTGAACTGATGAGCAACTGGATTAAGAAACTAGAAAACTATTTTCTGCCTCAATCTTCCATTTAGATGACTTAAATTATCCCATGGCCTTGTTTTCCAACCTGTTAAGCAATGCCACCCACCCCTCAGCGGAATGGGGTATAAACCTGTAAAGGCGCTGAGTCTGAAAAGGAGATTTGTACAAGATCATGCAACCAACTGAGAAATAATGTTTAAAGCTGAATTACATAGTAGAGCCATTCAGCACTGAATACAGGGGTTAAAAAAAAAAAAAACTCCATAAAGACTCTTTTAAAAGATTTTTTTACCTTGTGTTCTTAGTGTACCAAAATCTAACATTTCAGTTGAGGAATAAATTCCAGGAGCTTGGAAAAAAGAAAAGTCAACAATTATTTTTCACTTTGCCAGAGTAAGCTATACTGAAAACAAAACAACTTTCGATTTCATCAGTTTTCCACTAACCTGTTGTAACTTCAACCTCAACAGGAAGAATGATAAACTCTGTGCTGTCTGAAGCATTAGTCTTTATTCTTATGAAGGCTGTGTGATTATCTGCTTCTCTAGATGAAAAACTGGCTCTCATCACTCCCTTGGTTTCATAAGGAGGAATTTCCTGACAAGTTAACAGACCATAATGTAGCACAGCTTTTGTAATGTAGCAAAACCACCATTTTTTATTGAACTGGATGACACTGACTGAAAGATGAGTATTCTATATACCTATTAATAAAAAAAATGCATTGCTAATTAAACCAATATGTAACACACACTCCATTTCTGGAGAACTTTAAAATGTGAAAAATGTGCTGTTTAGAATTGATGAAATACGATATGTAAGGTAGGCAAAGCAAAAGAAGTCAAATGATCTGAAAACAAATTGTCAGTTACAAAATCACCATTAAAAGGTAAAACTAATCTACAAAATCAGTTATTTTTTAATATGCTAGTTAGTGGTGTTTGGGTATATAACTCAGTCTTGAAATTTAACCAACAGAAATGTCACCATCAGAGGTAAATACTTTTCTAGAAGTCCACAAGAACCTTCATAAATGATAACCAGCAGGGCTTACACTGCTCTTTCATGGAAAACTTAACAATGCAAAGCTTCTCAAGTAAATCCACAGTTTACCAACTGCATTCATGTAAGACAGCATACATTTTCAGTCCCGTAATGAGAGAACATTTATATACTAAAAGGAAGACTTACTGGAAAAAAAATTTTGAGGAGTAATCTCTTTCCTGGTTTCAGAACAATATGGCTCCCTGGGACTGCCTGAATTTCTTCTCTGCACAAACCTTTCAGCATATTTTAGGAGATTCTTGTGTTCTACAGCTTAGTGGCCTTCACTTATCCCTACTCTCTTTTTTAGTCCCAAAGTAGAAAACAGGTGATTGGGACCCTCCTAAGATTGGAGGGATGGACCATCCACTCCCCAGCTCTAGGGAGTTGACTTGGTCTCTGGGGTTTTCACCTATACACCGAAATAGGCTGGAGGTGAGGTCACAGCCCATTGGCTTTTTTCTCAGTCTAGGTTTGTAGGAATAAGAACTACCATATCTTTTTTTGCAGCCACTAGGACTATAAAAACATGCTATTCTCTGTTATCATTATCACTCTTGACTATTTAAAAATCTGAATTCTCTTAGGTTTATTTATTAGATACCAATTATGTTTCACAGGAAGTTCTTAGTTCTGTCTAGAATAATATATACAGATATAATAGTCTGAATTTAATCCTCTGAAGGATTGTTTTATAGATGATTTTTCCCTCAAACACCACAATTTCAAGGTGAAACATTTTTGTGAAAGGATATAAATGAACTGTCCATTGCATATTTCTTTTTGCTGGTTGTGTTTCTATATTCTGGGAATTAACCAAATAACTGGCTGATAAATTTGTTTCTAGATGTTCATATTAACATTCTAAAAACATAATCTCCACATCTCTTCTGTGGTCAAGACTGGTCAGAAGACAGAATCAAGAGGCTGTGTGTGTGTAACAGCAGTTAATAAAGAAACTCTGATCCTCAAACCTTACTCCTGGTTGTAAAATTTGTGTTCCTCCATTACAGATGAGCAGTGATCTGAGTGAGCTGGATATGGAACTGAATTGACCACAATTGCCTTCTCCCTCTTGAATTAAAGCATGGTAAACATTTTTAAAACTCACAAATGGCAAGAATCTTTATAAATAAGGTTCTCTTACATATTCTTTAATTTGGTTAATATTGTTAAATATTCAACAATATTGAAGGTGAACACAGATCACCTTCAAGAATTAAAATTTTTCTAAGTTATCGCAGGCACTTGACTAGGTTCTCTCTGCAAATGCCATCTCCTTTACCAATGGTGAATCTGAACATTCAATTACTTACCTTCAAAAACAAAACAAAAACATAATGAATGCTTCCTACATTTTTTTAATCATTTACATTTTTTTATGTGTAAAGCACATCATAAATTATCAGACTCAGAGACAACTTTACCCATATAATTCGGAGGAAGAATAGCTGAAGTTACTTTCTTTCCATGTAGTGGGGTAGAACTCCCACCAATTTTACTCACTGCCCTTTCCAAAAATTACTACTTATATTCTTTCCTCCTCCAATTTTCATATATACTTGACATAAATTAACATTAAGACAACGATTAAAGAGAAGTCATCCATATTTGTTAAGCCTATTAAGGAGTTAAATATTTTCTAATTTAAGAATAATCGGTTTCATGGGAGCACACACAAGAGAAAACTAGGTTACAACTCACCCACAGTTTTCTGGTACCTCCTTGTTGACCCGTTGGGAGTTCTAGGTGAAGGTCTCCTCCACTAGAGTACATTTCTACAACCTGGGGCAAAAGAGCACATGATGGCTACGTTCAAAGTCATATTCTCAAAGCAGGTGACTTGCTATTACACAGAAATAATTCTGACATCCTAACTGTTTATCACAAAACATTTAAAGATATAAACGTAGGATATGTATAATATCACTAAATTCAGTGCTCTGTATGTGTAAGCAATAGTTGTATTTTTAATTAAAATAAGGTAACTTTGAAAATTTAACTTAGAAACAGTGTAAGTACCATAGTTGTTCCAGAGACCAGATTTTAGAAAGTAACAGGATACTTATTTTTCTTTTTTCCAAAGGGAATCACTTACAAAAATTACCAAGTTTTGGAAACATAAATTTTGTATTTCTTACAGTAACACAAAGTGCTTCTTTATCCATACATTTATAACAAGAGCCAGCAGTGGATCAAATAACTACCATAATTGTGAGATGGGGAAGAGTAAAAATATTTGAGATATATACAAAATAACTCTAATGGAACATGAAAATATGTGGTTTCTACTGGTAGCAAAAATATTTCTGTGGCTTATGCCTAAGCTTACTTTTTTTAAACAGCTTTATTGAGTTATTTATGTAAAATAAATAATACATATTTAAAGTATACAACCTGATGAATCCTGACCTATGTGTTTGGGCATAAAACCATCACTGTAATTAAGATATTAAATATATCCATTATCCCCAAAAGCTTCCTCATGCCTTGTGCAATCCATCCATCCTTCTCTGTCCCTTCCTATTTCTAGGCAACCACTGATCTGCTCTCTATCACCTCAGACTAGCTCATATTTTCTAGAGTTTTATCTAAATGGAATAATACAACATATACTCTTGTGTCTGGCTTCTTTTGCTCAATGCAATTATTTTGAGGTCTACCACTTTGTTTATGCATTAATAGTTCACTTCTATTTGATGACTATACCGCAGTTTTTCAATCCACACATTAATGGGACATTTGAGTTGTTTCCAATGTCTGGCCATTAAAGAGAAAGCTGCTGTGGATACTGAGTACAAGTCTTGGTGTGGTCATCTGCTTTCCTTTCTTTTGGGTAAATATATATACACAAAATGGGTCACAAGGCAGGAGACCTTCCTTTAAAGGTAAGCTAACCCTAATTCTTAAAAAGAAAAAATATATTTAATTCAATTAAATTTGGGGTGAAGTATGAGAATGGGTGGAAACGTTCACTTGTTTCATCACAAGAAGTCCTCCAGGAGTGAATAAAAAAGGATAAAGCAAGAAAAATGGCAATTCTTAAGCTTAAACTTTTTTTTTTTTTTTTTTTTTTTTTTTTTTTTTTTTGAGACGGAGTCTCGCCCTGTCGCTCAGGCTGGAGTGCAATGGTGTGATCTCGGCTCACTGCAACCTCTGCCTCCTGGGTTCAAGTGATTCTCCTGCCTCAGCCTCCTGAGTAGCTGGGATTACAGGCACATGCCTCCACGCCCAGCTAATTTTTGTATTTTTCGCAGAGATGGGGTTTCACCATGTTGGTCAGGCTGGTCTTGAACTCCTGACCTCGTCATCCACCCATCTCGGCCTCCCAAAGTGCTGGGATTACAGGCATGAGCCACTGCGCCTGGACCCTTAAAGGTTTTTTTTGTTTGTTTGTTTTTTTGGCAGGGGCCGGGGAGTTGCTGCTGTAAAAGTAATGCATTTACCAAAGACTGATAAGCTATAGATTTTCTTTGTATATTATTACTTGCCTGCTGATTTGTTACAGTGCTCATCTATAGTGCTTATTGTGTTAATAATAATAGCACCTTAAATGATAGGATGACTATAGAACTTTTTCTGGAAAACCAGAAAACATCACACATTATTTCATCAATCCTTCCAAGTATCAAGCAAACAAGCATAACAATGCTTGAAAACAGAAGATTAGACCAGACTCAGTGGCTCATGCCTGTAATCCCGGCACTTTGGGAGGCCAAGGTAGCGGGGATCACTTGAGCCCAGGAGTTGTAGGCCAGCCTAGGCAACATAGTGAGAGTCTGTCTCTACAAAAAAATAAAAAACATTAGCCAGGTGTGGTGGCGTGCACCTGTAGTCCCAACTACTCAGGAGACTGAGGTAAAAGGATTGGTTGAGCCTGGGAGGTCAAGACTGCAGTAAGCCAAGATGGCACCACTGCACTCCAGCCTGGTGTCTGGAAAACCAACCAACCAACCAACCAACCAACCAACCAACCAACCAACCAACCAAAAAAACCCCCAGAAGATTAAAAAGTCGCCTACTGATAACAGAGAAAATGAATAAAGAAATAGAGACAGAAAAAGTCTAAATTACAAAGTCAAACAAATAATTACACTAAAACTAGGAACCTGACACATTCTTTATTTTTAGTCCAGTGCTATTTGTTCTAATTTAGTATAGTTTAGGAAAAAAAGGAAGCCAAACATTATGTACAGAATATATTATGTGTAAACAAATTCCCACAATAAATGTTTCTGTGCCCACATACACGCATGCACAAGAGAAAGGTCTAGAATGATACATACAAGGTGGCAAAAGTGGTGTCCACGAGGAAGGGCTTGGACTGCAACTATGCTGTCTATGCAATAGCTATCAGCTACATGTGGTTATTTACATTTAAATTAGTTGAAATAACATTTTGGCCACCCTAGCTGAATTAAAGAGCTCAACAGTCACACGTAGCTAGCGGCTACTGTTTTGGACAAAGCAGGAAAGGAACTATTCCATCATCACAGAAAGTTCTGCTGGACAGCTGGACTGGGAAGTAGGAAGTTCAAAGGGACGTTTTTGCTTCATTCATGTTTGAATTGTTAACATTTTTTTCCTGAGGAGAACATACTCATGTGTTTATGTTGTATAATCAACAAACGATATACATTTTCTCGCTTTACAATCTTTTCTTACTGTAATATTGACAAGACTAGTGACACACAGTAACACTGGACTACAAGGGTAAGAGTGTCTTCCCAGGTAAACAATCTATATTTGGTTCTAAGAGAGTAACTTTGGTGTTCCATTTGCTCTCTTGTGTAAATCTTGAATTAAAATGTTTTAACTGGAAAAAGACTAGATGAATTGAATTCGAAGTGATCACTGTGCTGGGCTTGGTAACTCCAAAGGCTGAAGAGAAAAGGTACAGACTGTAAGGCAACTCTGGCAATTGTAGACTGACCAACATCTGCTGAGTCCTGCAAGCTCCATCCTTGTGGTCTGGCCACCACAATGAGGCAGCACCCTTGGGGCACCCTGTTAACAGCCCTTCTACGGCACAGTGGGGCAACTCATGCAGTCGGGTCTAACGGAGTAAGAGGCCAGGCACAGTGGCACATGCCTGTCATCTCGGCACTTTGGGAAGCTAAGGCAGGAGGATTGCTTGAGGCCAGGAGTTCAAGGCTGCAGTGAACCATGACCGTGCCACTGCACTCCAGTTTGAGTGACAGAGTGAGACCCTGTCTTTTGTAAAAACAGGAAAGAAAGCAGCAAGAATTTCTGAAGTTTCTACATAGATTTGTAATAACAGCCAGAACAGGGAAACTACACCATTACCTAAAGTATCAAAAGGACGTAAACAACAGAAGGATGGTGAGGATAAGAGGGAATACTTCCCACCTGAAAAGCAGGACATAAGAACAGGTTCTTCTGTGATGCAGACATCCAGCTACAAAAATTAAAACTGGGGCTATCTTCACCCAGTTGTTGCCAAGTGTTGGGGAGAGATTTCTTTCGTGCTGCTTTCACTTATCATTTCTAAGCATTTCACTATTCAGGCTCTGAACATTTCCCTGGTTCATCCTCATTTCCTCTTCCATTGTTTATGAACAGTTATACCAGGGTGGTCTGGGACAACAGCCATTTTAGTTGCCAAAGCCCTATACTTACCACAAAATATAGTATTTTTCCTCCACCTGTCATTTTCAAGCTGCTTTTAAGTCCTGCAGTGTTGGTCCGAAAGAACTCTGGCACCCTGGACTATTCTAGAAAGCATTCACATCTACTTTTAACACAGACAACACAACTAGAAGCCACAGAGGCTGCACATGTCACACAGCTAAGTCCCTAGGATGTAAGGTAGAGATTTCAGAAAATCTCTGAAGGAATGACACTAGCCACTTCCACTGTGAAAGAGACAAGGAGCTAGTGAGGAGGAATCTCACACTTGAAAACAATTACTGCTAGAAGATTAGGTAAGATAAGTTGAATTTTTTAAATAAAAAAACAAGCTTGCTTTTAAGCATAATTCTATATTACCCTTTCCCTGAATTTTAATTTCTAGGTTGCCATCACCAAAAATTTATTATTTCCAGAAATAAACTTGAACTGTTTTAAAAAACATGGATATTGGGCCAGAAAGTGTTTACAGGCAAGAAAAAAAGCAGCCTTGTGTAGCTAAAAACTCTTCTTTAAATGCAGAGCTGCCTAAACTATAACACCAGAGAAGACACAGTCGTTTTAAAAATGATTCAAAAAATTCAAAATCCAGACTGCTGTATTCCAAAATTCAGACTGCTGTATTCCAAAATTCAGACTGCAGCAAGCTGTACTAAAAGTAATACCCCTCTCAATACACTATAAAACCCTATTATTTTAAATAGTCTTGGAAACTGTAACAAACTGAGATTTCATGCTAAGCATTAATTCCCACCAAAATGAAGCTTATTCAAAATTACCATCATAAACTCACCTGTAAAGGCTCACTGTGAGGATTGTGGATGTTTATTATAGGTGAGAAACTGCTATTCACAGGGACTCTGGCCCCAAGGAACGGCCTCAATCGATATGGATTTGGAACTCCAACACCAAATACCTGTTTCAGTGGAGGAAAAAAATGCAATTTTAGTTGCTTTTATAATTAATATTTTTAGTTATAACTGACTGATCTAGGGAGACTGGCAAATCTAATTTATGTATAAAAAATTAACAATCCCTTTATTTAAAAAAAACCCCCACAAATGTTGTTTCTGTACATGATTTGGCTACATATTTGATTGACTATGTATGTGAATTTAGAATGATTTCTTTAATATATTAGAAATTGAATAACAGTCCTTCAAGAAGCCATGCAATAGACAAAAGAAGAAAATAGGGAGTCAAAAGATTTCCTGACCCCAACCATCAGAAGATGGATCTACGGCCCAGACAACCTCTCAAATACCAAGCCCAGCCCCAGGTCATTCCCACATGGGATGGCCCTAGGTTGACTAAGCAGGGTAAACCAGTAATTCAAATGATATTATTAATATATTGCTATTTATTAAGTGTCTATGAGGTGCTAGGCACATATACAATAGTGAACAATTCAACAGTAAAAAAACAGATAATGTGCTGGGTCTCATGAAACTTACATCGTAGTATTGGAGACAGACTGGATACCAATAAAAAGATTTAAAAAAAAAATCCCTCTGCCAGAGAGTGAGTAACAGACAGTGTTGGGGGAGAGTGGAGGGCATTCAGACAGCTAATGTGTAATCCAGTGAGAGTGGCCTGGAAGACAGCAGTGGTAGTGAGGAGGAGGGAAGTAAACAGACTGGAGATATATTTGGTGAAAGACTAGATGTGAAGAGGTAAAGAAAGAAGACAGCTGGCCATTGGGGTCACCTTGAGAACAACCTGATCATGACCCTCAATAGTCCAGATTGGCTGCCATCACCTAGGTCTGTTGTGGGATGCCATCGTGGGGCAATGACCTTCATTTTTATGATAGTCTTTTCATTTACTCAACACGTACATGCTAAATGGGTAAGATCTGTCTAGCACTTCAAAATTACTGAACCAACCATCAACAGCGTACTGAATGCCTACTAAGCAACCGCTAAAGATTTACTCACCATACATAAGCAGAAGACACAGTCCTTACTGAAAGGGAACACTGACTCTGACTGACCCTTATTTTATATGATATGTCAGAGTTAATGGGTACTGGGGAGGAAATGTTTAAAAAAAAAAAAAAAAGCACAGGAACTGTAAAGTAATGTGTCAGAGCTAACACTCAAGTTCCACTGGCAGCACAGCACAGTGGTAAAGATTATGGTCTTTATACTTACAAAGACATGAGTTTGAGTCCCCCTCAACAACTTACTAATAGCATGACTTGGGCAAATGATTTAACCTTTTAAAACTTCAAGAATAACTGTACCTATAACATAGGTAGAAGGGCATGTATAGTACACTGCTGGACAAATATGAGCAATTATTGTTAAGAATCTTTGTTTTTCTTCATTTAGAGATGTGGTCTTGATCTGTCACCCAAGGTGGAGTACAGTGGTGTAATCATAGTTCACTGTGGCCTTGAACTCTTGGGCTCAAGCGATCCTCCCACTTCAGCCTCCCGAGTAGCTGAGACTACAAGTGCTCACCACTGTGCCCAGTTAATTTATAAAAATGTTTTTTGTAGAGATGAGGTCTTGCTTTGTTGCCCAGGCTGGTCTCGAACTCCTGGCTTCAAGTGATCCTCCCACCTTGGCCTCCCAAAGTGCTGGGATTACAGGTGTGAGCTACCATACCCAGCCTTAGTCCTGACATATAAAAATCTTGATTCACAAACAGAATAATGGCTGATATACAAAAAGATTTACTATATGACTCCTATATACATTAACTTTCTTTAATGACCTAAACCAAAATTCTATGTAAAAATAAGTTTATCAAAAAATACCTACTAAAGGAAAGTAGACATGAATGTTTTAATCTTGACACTATTATCAAGTATGCTTCATAAGTGTGTAAAAGTAAAAATTAAACAAAATTTTATAAGTCAGCATGAAAATATTTTTTCACTATTCTTTTGTCAATCTTAAATTAACACTTTAGCTGTTGCTTTAAAATCACCTGTTCAGTCTGATTTGAATAGAGATATTGAATAGAGATATTCACTGTAAGTATAAAAATGCTCTAAGTCTAAACTCCTACATTTTCTATTATCCTTTGAGTTCCTGAGTTCTTAAAAGGCTGTCATATGATAAGGCAGAGGTAATGATTATATTGTATAAAATAAGTTTTAATTCTGGTTCTTACCTGGTAAGTAAATACCCCATGATTAGATGTATTAATAAATAAAGTATTTTCTACATTTCCTACTACTCTTGCAAGAAAAACTACATCAAATGATGTATTTCCTCCTGGAAGAATTTTCTGAAACAGAAAATAAAGTTAAATTTGTAACAAGAAAAAAAATTATACAGCTCAAGTTCCTTAAACAAGTTTCTTAGAATCACTTCCATAAACTAGTTTTTCCTTTAAAAGTTTAAGCTTTAAGTTAGCAGTGGAAAATAATTAAAAAGATGTCTTCCATATTGAATGTCTACAGTCACATATCTTTGTCAATTACCAGCCACAGCCTTGTACAACAGATGGTTTCCTGGATTCTGTTCATTTAACAATCACTAGGCTGGCATGAAGTACCTAATTACAGGCTGTTCCACGATGAGACAATCAGATAGGAGTTGCGTTGAGGCTGAGTTTTCATATAGATATACTGCTGTACTACTAAGCAGTGACTTGTTTTAGTCCAAAGAATAAGCCCAGGCCTCAACCTTATGAAATCTGCCTTCCATCCACACAAGGAACAAAATGTCCCAGCAACTTAAATAGGAAAGAAGGCAGGGGTGAATGTATGTGCAGGAACTCACTCCTGTTACTTTCTGCAGATTAAGAATGTCACTATAGTTAGTAAAATAAAATGTTATTACCACAAAACAATAGGGCTACTCCCATGTTCAAGAGACTGAAATTGCGGTTCTGCCCTGAAACAAAGCCTTAAAGTGCATTTTAATATGTAAAGCCATCAACCTCTCTCATTCTGCCTCTATGGCTAGAACTCTAAAATGCTACCTAAATGATAGCTCAAAATACATGGTAGTAAGACTCTGGCTTCACCTTAGTCTGAAGAAAGCGAGAGTATGTCTCCTACATTACCACCAACAAAAGAGTAACTTACAAGTTGTGAATTATTGTAATTATTCTTTTGTTGCATTATATTACGGTAATGTAGTGCAACAAAAGAATAATTACAATAATTCACAACTTTTCTTGAACCCATCACAGAGTGAGATTATCAACTAGCCTGAAATCGTAGAAAAGACAAGCACCTCCAAGGACAGATAGAATGGGAATACTGGCTCACCCATGGCAGAGAAGGGAAGAAGATGAGGCTATCATACAGGAGTGTCAGCTAGAAATGCAGCTAACATGTTTACACATTGCTAGAGGTTGACTGTGTGAACTTGCACGGGAGCACAAAAGCCCTGGAAGCTGTAGACACTGGTGCTATTCACACCTGAGCCAGAAATTAGCAACAGAAAGATACCCGGCAAACCCTCAAAAAGTCTGAAATTCAACAACATACTTCTAAAATAAGCCACGGGTGAAATGAGTAGTAACAAGAGAAATTATAAAATATTTTGAATTGATTGGAAATGAAAGCACAATATTAAAATCTGTAGGCTGCAGGTAAAGCAATACTTGGAAGAAAATTTATAGCATTACATGCTTATTTTGAACAGAAATGTTTCACATCAATAATCTACATTTCTGTTTTGAGACACTAGAAAAAGAATAAATTAAACCCAGAGTAAGCAAAAGGAAGGAAAATAAAGAGTAAAAATTAATGAAATAGAAAACAGAAAGTAGCAAAAAAAAAAAAAAATCAATAAAACCGAAGCTGGTGCCTCAAAAAGTCCATAAAATGGATAAAACTCTACAGAGAGTGACTGTGATAAAAAGGGAGAAGTCAAAAATATAAGGAACTAAAATGTGGACATCATTGCATACACTTTACACACAAAAAGAATGATAAAGGAGTATTACAAGCAACTCCATGCCCACAAATTTAACAGCTAGGAGAAATGGACACATTCTTTGACAGTCGGCTAGATCTGACACAATCTGCCAAAGCTCACTCAAACTGAAATAGTCGTGCACACAGTTAAAATTTAATTTGTGGTTTAAAATCTTCCCACAAAGAAAAGCCCGAGCTTAAATGATTTCACTCGTGGAAAAGAATTCTCTACCAACCATTTAAGAAAGAAATAATACCTACGTTACATAAACTTTCCGACATACAGGAGAGAACATTCCTAATTCAGCATTACCCTGAATCAGGACCACATAAAGACTTGAAAAGTATAAGCCAATATCCTTCGTAAACATAGAAACACAACTTTCCACAAAGTACGGCAAACTGAATCGAGGCAAGATATAAAACGGGCAACACATCATGAGCAAGTAGTTTTTAACCTAGAAATGCAATTCTAGTTCAACATTCAAAAATCAAATCAATGTAATTTACTTAACAGACTAAAGAAAAAGCACAAGATCATCTCAACAGCAGCATATAATTTGACAAAATTGAATATCAAGTCATGATTTAAAATCTCAGTAAACTAAGTCAATAGAAGAGAACTCCCTCAATATTATAAAGAACACCTACAAAAACCCTAAAGAAGCTTGTCCATCCTGCAGCCCATGGGCTGCATGCAGCCCAGGATAGCTTGAATTGGGCCCAACACAAATTTGTAAACTTTCTTAAAACATTAAGTTTTTTGGTGCCTTTTTATTTTAAAGCTATCATTAGTGTATTTTATGTGTGGCCCAAGACAATTCTTCTTCTTCCAATGTGCCCCAGGGAAGCAAAGATTGGACACTCCTGCCCTAGGAGCTACCACAGCATTTAATGGTGAATGATTGAATGCTTTTCCTCCAAAATTTAAAACAAGGCAAGGATGCCCTCTCTTATGACAGCTATCTAACACTGTATTGGACGTGCAAAGAGGGCCGGCGCGGTGGCTCACGCCTGTAATCCCAGCAATTTGGGAGGCCGAGGTGGGCGGATCACAAGGTCAACAGATTGAGACCATCCTGGCCAACATGGTGAAACCCCACCTCTACTAAAAACACAAAAATTAGTTGGGTGTGATGGCGCGTGCCTGTAGTCCCAGCTACTGGGGGGGGGGGGGGGGGCCGAGGCAGGAGAGTCGCTTGAACCCGGGAGACAGAGGTTGCAGTGAGCAGAGATTGCGCCACTGCACTCCAGCCTGGTGACAGAGTGAGATTCGGTCTCAAAAATAAAGTGCAAAGAAGTGCGAAAAAGAGATAAAAGGCACTACACATTAGTACAGAAGAAAAATCTGTTTTTATTCAGATAACATGGCTTTCTACACAGAAAAATCCCTAAAAATATCTATAAAAATCCTCCTAAAAGAGTTTAACAAAGTCATGGGAATCAAGGTCAACATATAATGATCAATTGTATCTCCATATACTAGCAATGAACAAGTGGAATTCTAATTTTTAAAAACGTACTATTTAGGATAACACACACACAAAGAAATACTGAGGTATAAATCTAATAACATACAAGTTCTGTAAGCTGAAAACTATAAAACACTACTGAAAGTAACTGAAGAAGACAAATTAATGAAAATATTGTGTTCATGGGTTAGAAGACTCAATATTAGATGTTAGTTCTCCTGAAATGGATTTATATATCTAATGCAAGTGGAACCAAAATTCAGTCTAAGGAGAAGTAACAACTAAATGCAATAGGAAATAGGATCCTAAAACAGAAAAAGCAGTACACTGATAGAAAAACTGATGAAATTCATATAAGTTCTTTAGTTAATGGTATCGTACTAATGCTAGTTTCCTGGTTTGAAAATTGTACTATGATTATATAAGATGTTAACATCAGAAGAATGTTAGAGTGAGGAATATATGGAGAGTATTACTTTTCTGTACATCTTTAAAGTTAATTCAAAAGAACATTATAAAAAAAACTCAGCAGTATTTTTTTTTAAAGAAACTGACACGCTGATTCTAAAATTTAGATGATAAAGAAAGGAAATAAGGAAAGCCAAAGCAATTCTGAAAGAGAAAATCAAAATTGGAGGATTCATAGTATCTAATTCTAAGAATTAATATAAAGCCACAGTTATCAAAACAGTATGGGCTGGTGAAAGGACAGGTATTTCAGAGTCTATTAGATACGTATTAGAACATAGTGAAGAGTCCAAAACCAGACTCACACATACAAGGTCAACTGACTTTCAACAAAAGTACAGTGGGATTTCAATGAAAAAGAATAGTTGTTTTCAACCAACAGTCCAGGAACCAATGAATATCCACACACAAAACAAAACAATCCTCAATCCATATCTTATACCATAAACAAACAGTAGCTAAAAATGGACTGTAGATCTAAATATAAAATCTAAAACTATTATGGTTGTCCCTCAGTATCTGTGGGATTGGCTCCAGGACTTCATGCAGATACCAACATCTGTGGTTGCTGAAGTCTCTGCTAAAAAACAATGTAGCATTTGCATATAACCTATGCCTATCCTCCTGGCTATGCACGTATCTCCTGGGGATACTTTAAATAATCTCTACATTACTTGTAATACTTAATACAATGTAAATGCTATGTAAGTAGTTTATACTGTATTATTTGTTTGAACATGTACAGACAAGAAAAGTCTTGTTCAGTACAGAAGCACTATTTTTTTTTTCTCAAATAGTTTTGACCTGCAGTTGACTGAATCCATGGATGAGAAGCTCATGGATACACAGGGCCAGCTGTACTTCTAGGAAAAAAAAAGGAGAAAATCTTTGTGACTTTGGATTAGGCAAAGATTTCCTAGCTACAACTCCCAAAGCATGACCCATAAAAGAACAATTTGATAAACTGGACACCATGAAAATTATAAACTTCTGCTCTTTCAAATATTATATAAAAAGAATGAAAAGGTATGACACAAACTGGAAGAAAAGACTTGCAAATCACATATCTCAAGAAAGACTTGTATCCTGAACACATAAGGAACTCTCACGAACTCAATGAGAAAACAAACAACTCAACTTAAAAAACAGGCAAAGAACTGAACAGACACTTCACCAAAGAAAACATATGGATGGCAAATAAAAAGATGCTCAAAATCAATTTTCACTGGAGAATGCAAATTAAGATAAAAATGGCCTAACACTGTACACCTAGCTGAGTGACTCGCATCACAAAAAACCCAAACCTCACAATACAGAGTGCTAATAAGGATGTGGAGCAACCAAAACTCTCATGTTTCTCATGGGAATACAAACTGGAACAGTTGTTATAAAAAACTGTTAAAATCTGTAGGTAAATATTTACAGTGAGTTTATTTATAATAACTCCAAACTGGAAACACCCCAAAAGTCTTCAACTAGTGAATGAATAAACCACACAGTGACACCGCCAGCCAATGAAATACTATTCCATAATAATAAAGTGGTACAAAGAACTGATACAGCCTACTACACCAACCAATATGAAATGCATTATGCTAAAAGAAAGAAGCCAGACTAAAAATGCTATATGCTACATGGTTCCATTAATACAGTCTTCTGGAATAGGCTACACTCAGTGGTTTGAGTTGACCAAATTGTTGATTATATGACCTTATGGGTTTGTCAAAACTCAGAACTATACACTAAAAGGGTGAATTTCACTGCAAGTATACTATAATTTAAAAACAAATACATATAAAATATATATTAAATACATCAGTGTGTCTATGTATATATATGTGTGTGTCTGTGTGTGTATATCTCTCTCTCTCTTTTTTTTTTTTTTTTTTTTTTTACTGTTTTGGGTGAATCCACGAGGGTTGCGGATTCACTCAAGCATATTTTAGCCTGGACCTTTTTTCATAAGGGTCTCAGTGTTCATGTTCCCCTGGGGCAAGAACAAATAATTGAATGTTCAGGTTTAACTCTTGGTGGGCAAGATTAAAGCCAAATTAACTTTAAAACAACAAAATCTTGAAATGAAGTAGATAATATCACTGAGTTCAGGCAGTCCACCCACACTTTTTATTGTTGTGAATTTAATTCTACAGAATCATATGACTGGTCACCCTTTTATCACCTTCCTAACTCCCTCTGACAATATAAGGATTCACAGAACTGACACTGAGAGACATAGAGAGGACTCTCCGGCAGTATGAAAAAAACAAAACAAAACAAAACATGACAATATCATTTTCCCATCTAAGATGCCAGTGCTTGTAATACAGATGTTTTATACCATACCAAGAATGAGAAAAAGAAAAAAAAGAGAATGTTCAAAAATGCAGACCTAACAGATCTTCAGATAAAACAAGGAGTGAGGATGACAAGTACAAACCTGACCCACAGAAAGGGGCAGTGAAGAAAACTTATGTGAGTCATTCTGGGCACCGCAGGAAGGGAGAAAAACTAACTTATTCTTAGAATTTGCGCTATATATCAGTACTCATAGAGGTGTGTGGTCTGAATACATACCAGTGGTCTAAAAAAACCTCAAGCAGACAATTTAATGTTTCCTTGGTAGTGTTGAGACCACCAGTGCCATCCTCTCTGGAAAAACACACCCTTAATCCAGGCTGACCATGACTGTAAGGTGCCCTTGACTGTAACATGGGTCTCAATTTCTGATATAAAAGATGTGAAAAAAACATTTACCTATGTAACGAACCTGCACATCCTGCACATGTATCCCTGAACTTAAAATAAAAGTTGAAAGAAAAAAAACAGTAGCAAAATTAGTACAATAAATGCTGTGTATCCACCTAAAAAAAATCTAAAATGTTCTCTAAAAAAAGGTGAAAGTTTTAGAATTATGGTATTCCTACCCAAGAACAGTTCTAGTGTCAATGAAGAGATTCATAAGGCCTATGTTTATTACTGAAAATGTATCCAGAGGAAAACTGGTTTCCTTTAAGGTTTTTATGAGAACTTAATTTGATTTAAAAATGTCTATATTCAAACAATACCCTTTTAAGGCCCATCTAAACTCCAAAGAGTTAGAAAAATCACCATGGAATGTTTAATTTTTAGTGCAGTTTTCTGCCACTATCGGAACTGGACATCTAGTATGTAGATGATGGATAGGAGATCTGAGTTTCTAGTAATACCACTAAGAAACCGTAATTTTCCCAAGTCAGCACTGTACCATAGCTCAGTCCCTGGGCTTTTTCCTTCCTTGGTGATCTCATCCAGATCCATGGCTTCAGATATACACTAGTGACTCCTAAATTTCTATTTCTAGTCGAGTTCTCATATACCAAACTCGAATACTATCTGCCTATTTGCCACCTCCTCTTGGATATCTAGGAGATACCTGAAATCTAACATGTCCAAATTGAACTACTGATTGTACCTCTGAAACCCGTTCTACCCTCTGCCTTCTTCAATTCAGCTGACTCAACTCTGTCCTTCTAGTTGCTCAGGACAAAATTCTAGAGTCAATTTTGACTCTTCTCTTTCTCTCAAATCCCACATCAGGAAATCCTGTTGGGTGTATCTTCAAAACATACAGCATATCTCATTTTATTGTGCTTTGCTTTACTGCACTTCGCAGGTACTGCAGTTTTTTGTTTGACAAATTAAAGGTTTGTAGCAACCACGCATCAAGCAAGTCTATCAGTGTCATTTTTCCAACACCATGTACTCACTTTCTATCTCTGTGTCACATTTTGGCAATCTTGCAATATTTCCAAATTTTTCATTATTATTATATCTGCATGGTGATCTGTGATCTTTGATGTTGCTACTGAAATTGTTTTAGGGCACCACAAATTATGCCCACATAAGATGGCAAGCTTAAATCGAAAAATGTTATGTGTGTTCTCATTGCTCCACCAACTGCTGTTCTCCCAACTCCCTTCCTCTCCTCAAGCTTCCCTATTCCTAAGATACAATAATATTACAATTAGGCCAATTAGTAGCCCTACAATGGCCTGTAAGTGTTGGAGTAAAAGGAAGGGTTGCACATCTCTCACTTTAACCCAAAATCTGGAAATAAGGTTAGTGAGGAAGACATGCTCAAAGCCAAGAGAGGCTCAAAGCTAGGCCTTTAGTGCCAAACAGCCAAGCTGTGAATGCAAAGGAAAAGTTGTTGAAGGAAGTTAAAAATGCTATTCCAGTGAACACACATGTGGTAAAGAAGGAAAACAGCCTTATTGCTGATAGGGATAAAGCTTTAGTGGTCTGGATGGAAGAGCTAAGCAGCCACGGCATTCTCTTTTTTTTTTTTTTTTTTTGAGATGGAGTTTCGCTTGATGCCCAGGCTGGAGTGCAATGGCGTGGTCTTGGCTCACTGCAATCTCTGCCTTCCAGGTTCAAGCGATTCTTGTGCCTCAGCCTCCTGAGTAACTGAGATTATAGGTGCACACCACCACACCCAATTTTTGTATTTTTAGTAGAGATGGGGTTTCACCACGTTGGCCAGGTTGGTTTCGAACTCCTGACCTTAGGTGATCCACCTGCCTCAGCCTCCCAAAGTGCTGGGACTACAGGCGTGAGCCACCACGCCTGGCCTTGCCATACCATTCTCTTAAGCCAAAGTCTAATCCAGAGCAAGGCCCTGACTCTCTTTAATTCTGTGAAGGCTGAGAGAGGGGAGGAAGCTGCAGAATAGCTGAAAGCTAAAAGGGATCGATTCATGAGGTTTAAGAAAAGAAGCCAGCTCCATCACATAAAAGTGCAAGGTGAAGCATTAAATGCTGATGTACAAGTTGCAGCAAGTTATCCAGAAGATCTAGCTAAGATCATTGATGAACGTGGCCACACTAAACAACAAATTTTCCATGTAGATCAAGCAGCCTTCTGTTGGAAGATACCATCTAAAGAGAAGTCAGTGCCTGGCTTCAAAGCTTCAAAGGACAGGCTGACTCTCTCTTATTAGGGACTAACACAGCTGGTGGCTTTAAGTTGAAGCCAGTGCTCATCTGCCATTCTGAAAATTCTAGAGACCTTAAGAACTGTGCTAAATCTATTCTACCTGTGCTCTATAAATGGACAAGGCCTAGATAACAGCACATCTATTTATAACATGGTTTACTGAATATTTAAAATCCACTGTTGAGACCTAATGCTCAGAAAAAAGATTTCTTTCCAAATATTACTGCTCAGTGACAAGGCAACTGGTCACCCAGGAGCTCTGATGAAAATGTACAAGAAGATGCACGTTGTTTTCATGACTGCTAACACAACATCCATTCTTCAGCCAAGGATCAAGGAGTAATTTCAAGTTGCAAGTCTTCTTATTGAAGAAATACACTGCTTAAGGCTATAGCTGCCACAAAGGGTGATTCCTCTGATGGATCTGGGCAAAGTCCATTGAAAACCTCCTGGAAATGAGTCACCATTCTAAATGCCATTAAGAACATTTGCAGCTGGGCACAGTGGCTCAAGTCTGTAATCCCAGCACTTTGGGAGGCTGAGGCGGGTGGATCACCTGAAGTCAGGAGTTCGAGACCAGCCTCGCCAACATGGTGAAATCCCATCTCTACTAAAAAAAAAAAAAAAAAAAAAAATGTAGCTGGCAGTGGTGGGACGGGCCTATAATCCCAGCTATTCAGAAGGCTGAGGCAGGAGAATTGCTTGAACCTGGGAGGCGGAGGTTGCAGTGAGCCAAGATTGTGCCAGTGCACTCCAGCCTGGGCGACAGAGTGAGACCCCGTCTTGGAAAAAAAAAAAAAAAAAAGAACATTTGTGATTCATGGGAGAAGGTTAAAATGTCAACAATAGGAGGCTGGAAGAAGTTAATCCCAACCCTTATGGATGACTTTGAAGGAAGGGTTCAAGACTTCAGTGGAGAAGTCACTGTAGATGTGGTAGAAACAGCAAGAGAAAAGAATTAGAAGTGGCATCTGCAGATGTGAATGAATTTGTGCAATCCCATGATAAAACTTGAACGGAAGAGGAGTTGTTTCTTAGGGATGAGCAAAAAAAGTGGTTTCGTGAGATGAAATCTACTCCTAGTGAAGATGCTGTGAATATGCTGACAATGACAGCAAAGAACTTAGAATACTACATAAACTTAGAGGCAGGGTTTGAAAGGATTGACTCCAATTTTGAAAGAATTTCTGCTGTGGGTAAAGTGCTATTAAACAGCATTGCACGCTACAGAGAAATCTTTTGTGAAAAGAAGAATCAATGAATGTGGCAAACTTTACTGCTGTCTTATTTTAAGCAACTGTCACGGCCATCCCAACCTTCAGCAACCACTACCCTGATCAGTCAGTGGCTGTCAACATTGAGGGAAGGCCCTCCACCAGCAAAAAGATGACGACTTGCAGAAGGCTGACATGATCATCAGCAGTTTTTAGCAATAAAGTATTTTTGAAATTAAGGTATGTACATTTTTTAGACACAATGCTACTGCACTTAATAGGCCACAGTATAGTATAAACATAACTTTTATATATATGGGGAAACAAAAAAATTCTGTGACTGGCTTACTGCAGTGGTCTGGAACGGAACCCATAATATCTCCAAGGTATCCCTGTATCCCAAGTCCAACTCCTTTCTTCACCTCTTCCACGTACCACTCTGGTCAGAGTAATCATCTAATCATCTTCTTACCCTGGAGTATGACAACAGCCAATGTGACTGGTGTCCCTTGTCCTATTTTTGATGAACAATGATCCTATTAAAACCTAAAGCTACAATTTCATTCCTCTGTTCAAAACCCTTTGATGGCTTTCCACATCATTCAGGAAAAAGAGTCAAGTCAAACCATAGTTTGTAAGACCCTTCATAGTCTGCCCCCTTACTTCTCCTCTCACCCATGCTCACTCTGGTCTGGCTGTCTTTGCACAACAGGCCTGCTTTCAACAATGGAGACTTTATACTGCTTGGTCCTTCCGGCTAGAATGCTCTTCTTCCATATATTTCACTTTCCTCCAAACAGTCCTACCTCACGCCCTTCGAGTCTTTGTTCAAATGTCACCTTCTGAATAAAGCCTACCCTGACCACCCTATTTAAAATGGTACCGCCTTCCCTGTGCACACCTAAGTCTCTGATCTTATACTTTTCTTCTGACCTTGTAACATCTTCTAAGATCTTATAAAATTTACTTATTTATCATGCTTGCCTTCCCTCTGCTGCTGACTTCACCCAAACTCCCCAGAGTATGTATGATAAGCATCTCTGTTTTCACTGGTAAAAACAAAAGTGCCTGGCACTTTAAGTAGACACTTCATAAATATTTGTTAAATTAATTCCTTCTTTCCACATAGGTGGGGTGGCAAAACTATTTTTAATTTACATTTTCTTGTATGTTTTAAACTGCAAAAGTAACAAGTGCTTATTTTACTTAGTGATACAGTGCAAAGATGACTGAATAAAAAGCTAATACACTCAAACTTCCTCCATTCTCACCATTATTAGGTTATCCAGTCAACCTGGCAAATCTGTGCTTTATTCCGGCTCTTATTAATATACCCAAATAAATATACACAGATTTTTTGCTTTTAATAAAAATGGCATTATAGGCAAGGCACGGTGGCTCACGCCTGTCATCCCGGCACTTTGGGAGGCTGAGGCAGGCAGATTGCTTGAGGCTAGGAGTTTGAGACCAGCCTGGCCAACATGGCAAAACTCCATCTCTACCAAAAAATACAAAAATTAGCTGGGTGTGGTAGCAGGTGCTTGTAGTCCCAGCTACTGGGGAAGCTGAGGCACAAGAATTGCTTGAACCAGGAGGCAGAGGTTGCAGTGAGCTGAGATCATGCCACTGCACTCCAGCCTGGGTGACAGAGAGAGACCCTGTCTCAAAAAAAAAAAAAAAGGCATTATATTCTACTCTACAATATGCTTTTCTTACATATTAGCATGTCATGTATATTATTCCAGATCAATAGACAGAGACCTATTTCATTCTCTTTATTATCTGCATAAAATTCCATACTATTGCTACATCGCATTTTGTTAAATTCCCAAAAACATGCATGGAATCAATAGAATAATGTCCTTCTATATCTAATTAAAATAATCATTAATATTTATTAACACCCTTCAACCCATGAGAAGAGATTGATCATTAAGTATACTGAAATAAGTGAACTATAACATTTTAATTTTAGTCACAGACTGAAACAAAGTTTGTCCTAATCTTCAGTTTGTCTGAAAATTTAATTAATCAAAAGCTTCTAGTCAATAAAGAAAACATTTTTGTTTCCTACTGTGTGTAAGGCACCCCATTTCCACAATTGGACTTGTATAGAATATTATTATAAAATTCTGTATTTTCTGATGCAAAACATATATTGCATATTTTATGGCCTATATATAATATGGCCATGAAAGATGAATGGCCTAAATGCAGTCTATTACATAATTTTGAATTATAATTAGATAATTATATTCAATTAACAGATAATTATAGATAATTACAAAAACTTATATACAGAGAAATAAATTGTCATACAACCATACCCCGTACCTCTCTTAGTATTTCTATTCTTTTTGATTTTCAGGTGGTCTTAAAATCAAAACCTTAACAAGATTACTTGCATGTGCGTGTTAAAATATAATTATGTAAAACTTAGTTTGAACAATAATTAAAAAATAGTCTTTTCTGTATTTCCTACTTTTTGGTTAACGTACAGATAACAGTTAATAACTAAAAACTCTGAGTTATAGACAATGTTTTATTGTCAAAGAAATAAGACCTGACCAGGAATTCCGAGCATGACAAAGGCAATTAGAGTAAACATACAGAAAGATTTTGCTCTCCTCGACATAAGAAACTCTATTCATCTTTCCCCAAGGCTCTTATTGTTGGCATAAAGCTGAAGTGGAGAGGAAATAGGTTATTTCTTCCCCCAAGAGTTCATTCTATCTCTCCCCTCTACGTCTCGAGCTTAAGTCAGTGTCTTATTGTAGGGAAAAAAAGATGCAAAGCAAGAAGAAGAAAAAAGGATAAGAGGAGAGAGTAAAGATTTTGGCTATCTCCTTTGAGCTAAATCTTGACTATTTAAATGTGGATTTTGATAGGTGTAATTATTTTTATTGTTTAATTCCATCATCTGACAGCACAAAACAGATTGGTTAACTTGTTCCTTGATTACCTACACATTTAGTTTATCTTTTAAAAAATTTCCAGAGAAACTATTCTCTTTGCCTAACATTCATATATAGAAATAGTCCCTGGGAGAGTCTAGTTCAGAAACGTCAAGTTAGTAGCCTTTAGCCTATGTTGTTTGGCCCATACTGTCTTTCTAAAATTGAACTGATTTTCAATGTGTAAAGACTGGCAGATACATGAAACTTCTTATTTCTGACTCTTCTTGGGAATCAGCAGAACTGCACATGGGCTTAGACTCCCAACATGGTAACCACTGGGCTGGAGCCCGGTGGGGGCTGATCTCTTCGAATGGGTCACATGTTCTCTAGGACACCCCCACATCCCACTTGGCTTGCTTCCCTCATTTATATTGTTTACCTAGCCCAGTTTAAGAATCTGTTTGCAACTCTTGTTCTAGTCTCTGTATTACGGTAGCAATGAAAAAAATAAAAACCCTGGCCTTTAACACAGGTGAAGCTTGAAGTGTTCAGAAACAACAAAATATTGCTTGACTTAGCAAAAAGTTAACAAGTTAGAAATAAAATGTATAGTGCAATTGTGAACTATTTTTTAACTGATTCCATTTTTACTTCACAATTTTGCCCTTTAACCTAACCTGTCTCTGCATACTGACAATGCCTGAAAGCTGGATGGTTTCATTACACATAAATACATCTCTCTATAGAAGCTATTAGGTACAGGCCACTCACTGAAGTGTAATATGATATAAATCACTGGGGATGATAATAGAACACCGACACCTTCACCTTGGCACCTGTCACTCACTGCATGACTGGAACAGGCCTCTCTGGAGCTCGGCCTGTGTATACACAGGTCTCTCACAGCATTAGAATTATATTGTTGGAGGCTATTATTAATAGCACATTTATAAAAAGTGTGGAAATATCTTTTAGATAACAAAGAATAACTCAAGGGAAAGCTATTTTAAGAAATAATTTAGAAAAGGGATATTTCCACAAAGATCCCCCCAAAATTAAACTTTTTATTACCAGAAGTAATATGCTGATTTATCAGTCCCTTGTTTATAAAATACCTTTAAATGAAAAAGTTATGCTTTTTAATTTTACTCTAAAGTAAACAACATATGATGAAACAGGATTTTAGAGAGGAGAAATGTAAACATCAAATAAATGATATAAAAATGTAGCAACCAATATCTTACATGGCTAAAAAGGTTTCTTCTTTGTTACTCAATCACATCCCTTCAAAGGAGTCAGTGAAAATTCTGGGAAGATGAAATTCGGTCCTATTCATTTACTTCCCTCTGATCTTTGTTATTTTGTTAATTATTTTGGAAACCTATATATTAAAGTTTTAGGTATTCTCTCAAATTTAAAATGTACTTAAGATACCATTTTTATTTATTTGGTCAGAGAAAGTTTTTAATAATGAGTTTACATACTTCCTATGAAAATTACAAATAAAATTTTAGAGGATATTTGTGGTAAGGAGAACCTTAAATTGGAGCCCAAGACTTTATACCCTAATCTCTGAGGCTGTGACTAAGATGTAATTAAGGCTCCCAACCAGTTGCCTTTCAGTTAATCAAAAGGGAGACTATCCAGAGAGTCCTGACCCACTGACAGGAGCCCTTTAAAGCAGAGTTTTCTCACTGGAGGCAGAAGAGGACACCAGAGAGGTACAAAGTGCCAGGGGAAAGATGCGCTGTTGCTGGCTTGAAGATGGATGGCCCGTGAGAAGGAACCTGGAGGCCCTGAGGAGCTGAGAGGGGTCACTGACCAAGAGCCAGCAGCGAAACAAGGGTTTCAGTTCTACAACCACAAGGAACCTAATTCTCTCAACAACTTTAATGAGTTTGGAAGTGATTTCCCCTCAGAGCCTCTGGACAAGGACTCAGCCCGGAAGACATCTTAATTCAGCCTGATACACTGAACAAACAACCCAGTGTGCTTACAGTTTACAGAACTGTGTGCTAAGTGGCTGTTGCCACAAGTCTCAAGTTTGTGGTAATTTATTATGTAGCAAGAAACAACTAACACAATGCGAAGGAATTACCTATTATTAGGAAGGAAAATAAAATGTACTGAATGTAAGAATGCTACCTTTTTCAGAGTATTTAAGGTTCACTGCTGATTTGTTAAGCTGTTGCATGTTGAGAAAAACAATATGGTTAAGGGTAGAAGTAATCATTCTTAGGAAGTGAAACAAATCTAGGAACAGATTTGAAATATTCAAACCCAATTCTAATCACAGCAAGTTATTAATCAATAAAAATCTAGACATTTCAACTTCAAACTCAGGAAAGATCATGTATAGCAGAGAAACTTACCCTATTTTGAAAAAATGATGCATGAAAATGTGATGTTGTAGCAGATATTGATACTAAAGTAATCGTTTCTTCAGAACTAGGATTATGTAAGTAGACTTTTTCCATTTTTGGCATTCCAACTGGTCTGTAAAACAAAAAGAAAATTATCACAAATATTTCACAGATAATTCTGATTATTTCTAGTTGTTAAAAAATTAATCAAAATTGTTAGACAAATACATAGCTAAATATATTAAAATGCTTTCTGAATTTATATTTAAAATTACACATAAAAATGCATTTAGTCTTTCAATAAATATTTCCTGAGTGCCAATTATGTCACGTACAGTGCCAGGTGCTGGGATACAGTGAAGCAAGTTTCATCCCTGAGGCTCAGAACCCAGTGAGGCGGCGGACGGGGCACAAAATGGTCAGTTCCTTTTCTTTCTTTCTGTACCACCACCCGGCCTCCTACCAATTGTGTCCTCTTCTCAAATTCCACAGATACGTGCTCTTCATTTTAGGAGCAGAAACTGAGTAGCAAAGTTGTGTGAGGAAATCTTGTGAGTTAGGGGCTTTTACTATACTCATTTCATAGATGAGAATACTGGGGCACAGAAAAGTTAATTAACTTGTCAAAGGCACACTTGGAACCTGGATGTGAATCTAAGTCTTCTGGGTCTAGTCTGCGCTTTAACCGCCAGTACTGAACTGCCTCTTGTCAAACCTAAACACACTCAATGGTCTGAAATCCACAAATCCATTTTAATGACTCCCTTGGCATCCATGCCATGGTTTGCCTTAGAAGTGAAACTTTATTCTATAGTCCACTTACTACTTCTGTAGCTAATCTTATTGGTACAGGCCTCCTAACTTCTATAGCTTCCTTGCTTTTTCTAACTACCTATACACACCCACTAGTTACTAGGTTCCTTCCTAATCTCACATGACCCAACCTAAACAAGTAACCCTGTTTTCAATCCAGACCTTCCACCTGAGCCAGGCTAGTTCCATGGGCAAGTCCCCCACGGCTCTGCTAATCTGCCTGCCCTGTGTTTTTTTTCCCTATCCTCCTATACCAATCCAAACCCTCATTTCTAATTCAAATATACACCCTTCTTTCACAAGGTCCTCTCCTCATGCAATCATTTTGGTCCATGGTTTTCGAAATTTTACATTTTGTAATTCACATTTAAAGTATGCATATAAACCTCAAATCCCAAGCAGTTGAAAACGCAGAGCCAGAACTTCATTTTATATTTCGTTCAACTGTCCACCATGCTTTTGTTCTTCAAGAAGTTCTGTCTCTACCTTTTCTTCAATTTAGTTGCTCACCTCTAATTCAAGACTTGGGAAAGTTGATAAACAGTGAACAGCTGATAATTTTCAATAGTTTAAGAAAATGGAATGCAGGTGGAAGGGCAGGGCATGATGGCCAAATAGAAGGCTCCACCTTCATTGTCCCTTCTCCCCACAGAAATACTAAATTTAACAACTCTCTATGCCAAAAAAATCACCTTCATAAGAACCAAAAATCAGGTGAGCACTCACAGTACTTGGTTTGGTTTTAACTTCATATCACTGAAAGAGGCAATGAAGAGGGTAGGGAAGAAAATCTTGAATCGCTGATGCCACCCTTTCCCACCTACCCCACTCCACCCGGCAGCAGCCAAGTGGCACAGAGAGAGAGTCTGTGCACTTGGGAGAGGGACAGTGCAGCGACTGTGAGACTTTGCCATGAACTCAGTGCTGCCCTGTCACAGCAGAAAGCAAAATCTGGCTGAACTCAGCGGTCGCCTGCCCAAGGAGACAGCATTTAGATGAACTCTAGCAGTCCTAACTTGAGTTCCCATTAGCCTTGCCACCTCAGGCTAAAGTGTTCTGGGGCCCTAAATAAATTTGAAAGGCAGTCTAGGCCACAAGCACCGCAATTCCTAAGAGAGTCCTAGTGCCGTGCTGGGCTTGGAGCCAGTAGACTTGGGGGGCATGCAACCTACTGAGACATGAGCTGGGGTGCCCAAGGGAGTGCTTGCACCACTCCTCCTCCAACCCCAGGCAGCACAGCTCACAGCTCTGAAAGAGATCCCTTTCTTCTGCTTGACAGAGGAGAGGAGGGGGAAGAGAAACAAGGACTTTGTCTTGCATCTTGGATACCAGCTCAGCCACAGCAGGATAGGGCTGCTGTGGATTGGGGAGGGAGCCCAATTCCCTGAAGGGTGAGTCCCAGACCTGGCAGCATTTACCACAAGCTGACTGAAGAGCCCTTGGGCTTTAAGTGAATACTGGTGGTAGCCTGGCGGTATTCTCCGTGGGCTTGTGGTGGTGGTGGCCATGGGGTAGGGATCTTCTGCCTGTGGAAAGGGGAGGGAAGAGTGGGTAGGACTGCATCAAATGGGTTGAAGGCCAGCTCAGCTGCAGGACAACAGAACACTAGGTAGATTTCTAAGGTGTTTGACTCCAGTCCCTGGTCTGGACTGGTCTGGACACACCTACAGACCCACCTGGGACCTGGGGGAACTCACTGTCCTGAAGAGAAGGACACAAACCTGGCTGGCTTCACTATCTGCTGATTTTAGAGTCCTAGGGCCTTGAAGAAACACACCTGGAAGCCAGGGAGTGGTTACAGTGGGCCTTGGGCGAGACTCAGTGCTGTGTTGGCTTCAGGTCTGACCCAGTGCAGTTCCAGTGGTGGTGGCCACAGGGATGCTTTGTCATTCCACTCCCAGATCCAGGTGGCTCAGCACAGAGAGAGAGAGACTGTTTGTTTGGGAGACAGTAAGGAAAGAGAACAGGAATCTTTGCCAGGTAATCCAGAGAATGCTTCCTGATCTTATCCAAGACCACCAAGATGGTACTTCTACAAGTCTGCAAGAACCACAGTGTTGCTGGGCTTGGGGTGCCCCCTAATGCAGATATGGCTTAGATCACTACACTCAAGTCCTTCTGAATATCTGGAAAGCCTACCCAAGAAGAAGGGGTACAAACAAGCCCAGACTGTGAAGATTAAAATAAATACCTAACTCTTCAATGCCCAGACACTGATGAACATCTGCAAGCATTAAGACCAGCCAGGAAAACATGACTTCCTTAAATGAATTAAATAAGGCACCAGGGACCAATCCGAGAGAAACAGAGATATGTGACCTTCCAGACGGACAATTCAAAATGGCTGTTTTGAGGAAATTCAAAGAAATTCAAGATAACATAGAGAAGGAATTAAGAATTCTATCAGACAAATTTAATACAGACGCTGAAATAATTAAAAACAATCAAGCAGAAATTCTAGAGTTGAAAAATGCAACTGACATACTGAAGACTGCATCAGAGTTTCTTAATAGCAGAATTGATCAAGCAGAAGAAAGAATTAGTGAGCTTGAAGACAGGCTATTTGAAAATACAGTCAGAGGAGAGAAAACAAAAAAGAATTAAAAAGGAGGCATACCTACGGGACCTAGAAAATAGCCTCAAAAGGGGAAATCTAAGAGTTAATGGCCTTAAAGAGGAGGTAGAGAAGGAAATAGGGGTAGAAAGTTTATTTAAAGTGATAATAACAGAACACTTCCCAAATCTGGAGAAAGATATTAATATTGAACTACAAGATGGTCATAGAACACCAAGCAGATTTAACTCAAAGACTACCTCAAGGCATTTAATAATCAAACTTTAAAAAATCAAGGATAAAGAAAGGATCCTAAAATTAACAAGAGAAAAGAAACAGAATTAGGTACAATGGAGCTCCAATACCTGGCAGCAAACTTTTCAGTAGAAATCTTACAGGCCAGGAGAGACTGGCATGACATACTTAAAGTGCTGAAGGCAACAACAACAAAAAAAACCCCCACACTTTTACCCTAGAATAGTATATCTGGCAAAAATATCCTTTCCAGCGAAAATATCCTTCAAATATGAAAGAGGAATAAAGACGTTCCCAGACAAACAAAAGCTGAGGGATTTCACTAACATCAGATATATCTTACAAGAAATGCTAATGGGAGTTCTTTCAAACTGAAAGAAAGGGACATTAGTTAGCATCTCTCCAGGACGTTGGAGTGGGCACAGATTTCTTGAGTAATACTCCGCAAGCACCAGTAACCAAAGCAAAAATGGACAAATGGGATCATATCAACTTAAAAAGCTTCTGCACAGCAAAGGAAACAATCAACAAAGTTAAGAGACAGCTCACAGAATGGGAGGAAATATTTGCAAACTACCTATTTGACAAGGGATTAATAATAACTAGAATATATGAGGAACTCAAATGACTCTAAAGGAAAAAATCTAATAACCTGGTTAAAACATGGGCAAAGTATCTGAATAGGTATTTCTCAAAAGAAGACATACAAATGACAAAGAGGTATATAAAAAATGCTCAATATGACTATCAGGGAAGTGCAAATCAAAACCACAATGAGATATCTGATTCCAATTAAAATGGCTTTATCCAAAAGGCAACAACAAATACTGGCAAGGATATGGAGAAAAGGGAATGTTGGTGGGAATGTATTAGTACAAACACTAGGAACAACAGTTTGGAGGTTCCTCAAAAAACTAGAAGTAGAGCTACCATACAATCCAGCAATCCCAGTCATGAGTATACACCCAAAATAAAGGAAATCAGTATATTGTAGCGTTTTATGTACTCCCATGTTTATTACAGCACTATTCACAATAGCCGAGATTTGGAAGCCACCTAAGTGTTTATTACCAGATGAATGGATAAAAAAAATGTGGTACATATACACGATGGAGTACTATTCAACCATGAAAAATAATGAGATCCTGTCATTTGCAACAACCTGGATGGAGCTAGAGAACATTATGTTAAGTAAAATAAGCCAGACCCAGAAAGACAAACTTTCCATGTTCTCACTATTTGTGGGAGCTAAAAATCAAAACAATTGAACTCATGGAGATAGAGAGTAGGAGGATGGTTACCAGAGGCTGGGAAGGATAGCAGCGGGGATGGGTAGAAATGGGGATGATTAATACGTATAAAGAAACTGAAAGTATGGATAAGACCTAGCATTTCCTAGCACAACACGGTGACTACAGTTAAAAAAAAAATTAACTGTACCTTTTAAATAACTACAATAATATAAATGGATTGTTGGTAACACAAAAGATAAATGACTGAGGTGATGACTATCCCATTTACCTTGATGTGATTTTTATGCATTGCATACCTGTATCAAAATATCTTAGGTAATCCATAAATATATATATCTACTATGTACCCACAAAAATTTAAAATAATTTTAAAAAAAAGCAACAAATTAATCAGGGGCTAATTTAGGTTCCTTAAAGATAGTGATTTAGTACATGCTGGCTCTTCCTGCCATCTTCCTTCCCCACAACAATAATGCTGAAAAAATTTAGAAGTTAGAGGGAGGTACTGACTCCAAGAAATAACCAAAAAACAGTGAGAAGCCCTTGGGAGAACTGAAGGCTGCCTTAAAGTGGCAGGCAAAGGAAAGTGAGTGTCAATGGGCAGCCTGAGCTGACAACGAGAGGCTAGGCTATGAGAAGGCTTCCGAACTTTATTATTCTCCACTTTCTTCCCTGTCTGCCTTGAGATAGAGCCAGATCCTTCAACCTAGAATAGAAAAGCTTGCCAGGGTAAGGAGTTGATGAGCAGCTGCCCTTGAAATGCTCTCCTCTAACATCTCTCTCTGGTCCTCCACAGTCCTAGGGCTACTGAACTATGATTTAGGAAGACACCTTTGTCCCACGATGCTTCTGCCTAAGCATTGTCAGTTAAGAGTGGTGACAAATATGGGGCAATCAATAGTTTTTATGTGTATGTATGGAACTGGGGCTCTCCATTTTGGGGATTATCTCTCCTTTTAAATTCACAAGAAGAGACAAAGACCAGGGCTTGGCCTTCTGCCCTTCTCAATACGCATTACCAGACAGTAGCTCATAAGTTCACACACCCAAGTAACATGATATGTTTGGAGTAAATTAATTGGATAACACACACAATGTTGTGATAGATTGTAATGTGGTCTATTGCCATGGTCAAACTTGGAACAGAATGTTGAAGAGAAGTGACAGGAATAGATCTCCTTGTGTTGTTCTTGATGTAGGGGGAATTTTTTCATTCTTTCACCATTAAGTACGATGTCAGCCTTCAGGTTATCATAGATGCTCTTTATTAGGTTGAAGAAAATCCCGTCTATCCTAGTTTGTTAGGCATTATTATCATGAAAGGATGTTATTATCTCAAATGTTTTTTCTGTGTTTATTGACTTGATTATTGGTTTTCCCTGTATTGATTTTTTCAATGTTAAACCAACCCTGCATTCTTGAGATAAATGTCACTTGGTCATGGTGTACACTAGATTCTTTTTATAATCTATTAGCATTTTGTGGAGGATTTTTGCGTCTATATTCAGCAGAAGTATTTGTCTATATTTTCTTGTAGTGTCTTTGTCTGGTTTTGGTATTAGGGTAATACAGATCTAACAGACTAAGCTGGGAATTGTTTCCCTTTCTATTGTTTGGAAGAGTTTGGGAATAATTGGTATTAATTCTTCTTTGATTGTTTCATAGAATCCTTAAGTAAAGCTATGTGGAGCAGGGCTTGCTTTCTGGCAAGTTTTTGTTTTGTTTTGTTTTGAGATGGAGTCTCGCTCTGTCACCCAGGCTGGAATGAAGTGGCACGATCTCGGCTCACTGCAAGCTCCGCCTCCTGGGTTCACGCCATTCTCCTGCCTCAGCCTCCCGAGTAGCTGGGACTACAGGTGCCCACTAACACGCCTGGCTAATTTTTGTTGTATCTTTAGTAGACGTGGGGTTTCACCGTTAGCCAGGATGGTCTCGATCTCCTGACCTCGTGATCCGCCTGCCTCGCCTCCCAAAGTGCAGGGATTACAGGCGTGAGCCGCCGTGCCCAGCCACTTTCTGGCAAGTTTTTAAATGACTAATGCAAACATTTCACTTGTTATAAGTCTATTCAGATTTTCTATTTCTCCGTGAGTCAGTTTGTGTATTTTGGGTCTTTCCGGAAATCTGTCCATTTCAACTAAGTTAATGAATTAGCATACAGTTGTTCATAAAATTGCCCTGTAATCTTCTTTCTATAAAGTTGACAGTAATGTCACCTCCTACATTCCTGATTTTAGTAATTTGAGTCTTTTCTGTTTATTCCCTGGTCAGTATAGCTAAAGGTTTGACAATTCGATCTTTTCAAAGAACCAACTTTTGGTTTTGTTGATTTTGTTATGTTTTTCTATTCTGTATTTTATTTATTTCCTCTAGTTTTTATTATTTCTGTTTGCTTTAGTTGGCTCTTTTGCTAGTTTTTTTAGGGAGAAGGTTAAGTTTCTGATTTGAGATATTTTGGTGTGTATATGTTTCCTTCCCAGCAATGTTTTTGCTGCATCCCGTAAGTTTTGATATGTTTTGTTTTTGTTCATCTCGAAGTATTTTCTAATTTCCCTTTTGATTTATTCGATTCACTGATTATTAAGGAGTATGTTTATTATCCCAAGACTTTTTTGATTTCCAATTTATTTCAGTAGAAAATTAAGACAGAGAACATACTTTGTACAGGACGAGTATCCCTCTTACCTGAAATGCTTGGAACCATGAGTGTTTTGAATTTCAGATTTTTTCAGATTTTGAAATATCTGCATTACACTTATCAGTTAAGCAACCCTAATCTGAGAATCTGCAATTCTTCAATAAGCATTTCCTTTGAGCATCATGTTGGCACACAAAAAAATTCAGATTTTGGAGCATTTTGGATTTTCAGATTAGGAATGTTCAGCCTGTATTGTTTAAATCCATTTAAAATTACTAGTGTTTGTATTATGGATTAGCATATGGTCTATCTTGGAGAACATTCTACATATGCCTGAGCTGAATAAGTATTCTGTTGTTGAGCATGGTGTTCTACAGATGTCTACAAGTCAAGTTGGTTTATACTTTTTCCAAGTCTTCTATATCTTTATCTTCTGCCTAGATGGTATAGCCATTATTGAAAATGGGGATACTGAAGACTGTCATTATTACTGTCGCATTGTGTATTTCTCCCTTCAGTTCTGGCAGTTTTGCTTCATATATTTTGGGTGAGTCTCTGTTATTAGTTATATATATATATGTTTATAATTGTTATATCTCCCTGGATTGACCCTTTTGTAATCATAAAATGTCCATCTTTATTTGTAGTAACTTTTTGGTTTTAAAGTCTGTGTTGTCTGATATGCTTTTCCCCTAGTGATGCCCTGCTGTACAAGTAGTGGTCACTGGGGAAGGGGTGGTAGACCCTGGTCTTCTCAGCTTGCTCTTCCTAGTGTGGAACTTATCCTACTAGTGAGGTGAGCAAGATTGGGTTCCCCAGGTTTCAGGCCTGCTGCATCTGGGATACAGCATCTGTCCTAGAGTGGGGTGGGTGAAGAGAGACCCAGTCCTTTCTGAAATGTGCCTGAAATAGAACTTCTGCAACATAAAGTTGGAGATGATGAGAAATGCTAGCAGCCCTCCCTTCTCAGGGTGAAACTGCAGTCCCAGAGTATAAACTGGGGTTAGAGGGAGCTTCTATAACAAGGAGCTGGGGCTTGAGGGGTATGTGGTGGGGAGCATAATAGAATAGGTTGTAGCCCAAATGCCAGAGACTGCCACTGTTCTTATGAAGATTTACAACATTTTTTTGAATGAATAATTTCCTGCAACTTTAATAACTTTTTAAAAAATAATTCTCATTAGTTAAAGTACTGTCTGTTGAGGTGGTCCATTGAGCTCCTTACTCCATTCTTAAAATCCCATGCCCTAAGGGTATATTTGCTTCAAGTATTCGGAAGCTCCATTGTTAGATGCATGCATATTTCGAGTTGTTATTTTTGTGTATCTAAATTAACCCCTCTATATTTATGTAATATCCCCCTTTATTCCCAGTAATAGTGCTTGTTCTGAAGTTTACTTTGTCCAAATTAACACAGCCCTTTCACGGTTCTTTTGGTTAGTGTTTACATGGTAATATCTTTTCCATCCTTTTATTTTTAACTTGTCTATGTCTATCTATCTATCTATCTATATATAAAATATTGTCTATGTCTTTATATATATACACACACACACATATATGTAGGTTTTCTGCTAGTTGTGTCTCGCTTTTTTATTCAATGTGACAATCTTGGTCTCTTAATTGATGTGTTTAGATTATGTATATTTAATGCAATTATTGATAGAGTTAAAGTCTATCATCATGCTAGTTACTTTATTTTTTTTACTAACTAGGAAAGCCGTGCCCACAGACTGCACTGGAGAGGTAGGATCCCACAGGAGAGTTTCTCTGCTTTACCCAGGGAAGCAAAATCCTGGCCAAAAATCATTCTGTGGCTGACGTTCTGTAGATTGCACATTATGAGGTCCACAATCATTCTGTGGCCTAACAGTTCAGAACAACAACAACAACAAAAAGTGGGAACAGGGTTTGGGTCCTGAGGCAGTGATAGATAGGTATCCAGAAAAGGTCTGTAAGAACATATTTGGAGTTAGACAGTAGAACTCCTCAAACCAAGAAGCACTCAAATTGTTGAATTCCTCTTGCCTCCGTGGAGACTCAGATCCTTTAAATGACAGGCTCATCAATCCCAGGTGGGGTTACGACACCATGAAACAATTAGGGAAATGGGTACAAACCACAAGGGGCCTCAAACTACAGCCACGATACTGCAGGAAGCTCAATCGATACAATATAGAAGATAAAAGTCTTCTTCCTCAAGCTTCATATAGACATTTACGTAGAAAACAACAGCGCACAGAAATAAAAACATCCTCCTTGCATCCTGAAAGTTCACCAACTGTATGCTTTCTTAAGAAAAAAAATGCTTTTACAATTCAAATAGACTTCAGGCTAACTGGCAACCATTCATGCACATCCCTGTGAATTCCTTCTCAATGTTTTTCCTTGTGTAACTTTAGTACAATCAATCTCAGCTAAGATAAAGAAGACAGGATACATAATGGACAGGTAATTTGGGGTATCCTTCAAGAAGACAGGATTGGAGGTGGCCTCCTGCAGGAGAGGGCTGTGGGGAAAAGAGACAAGTGTGGAAGTGCTAGGAGCCTGGAAGCAGGAGTGGATCAGAATGCTTGATCTGCAATGCTTCTGAGGCTGGCCCTGCCCTTTCTTCCAGGGATCAAAGAGGAAAGGCATGGGCCACATCCCATAGAAATGAATGAACCCTTGCTCAGAGGAGATGAGTCATCTACTTATGTTGTTCAAAGTAGCTTGGAGTAACAAGAACAGAGGGAAGCTGTCAGGAAGGACATCAGCAGGCTATTTTAGTCGTTGCGTGCTCAAACAGGGCAGGCTGCCTCTAGCTCTGGGCAGTCCACACCACAGGAAGCAAAGGGAGCGGGCACTCCTTGGACAGACTTGCTCACAGACCTCATAGGTCTGTGAACAGCTTGCCTTCCTCCTCACCATCCTCCGTTCCTTTGGTGACATGAGCAGAATCTAGACCATGGAAAGTACATGACCATTTGTAAACTCACAATGTGTTGCTTTTCTATACTATGTAACAAATTACCACAAACTTTGAGGCTTAAAGCAATGCCCGTTCATTATCTTACAATTCTGTAAGAATGCCTGGTTTATCTGCTCGAGGTCTCACAAGGAAATGCAGGTGTCAGCAAGATGTGTCCTCATCTGAAGCTCAAAGTTCTTTTAAGTTCATTCTGGTTGTTGATAAAATTCGGGTTGCTTTCAGTCTTTTGCCATATGACCCTACCATTTTCAAAAGCAGCACGAAGAAACTCTCTTGCATCCAATATCTCCCTTACCTCAAATACCTGACATTTCTGTTTCTGATTGCTAAAGCCAGATTTTAAAGGTTCGTGGATTAGGTCAGGCTCACCCAAAAAAAATCTATCTCAAAGGTCAATTGATTTGGGGCCTTAGTTACAGTTTCAAAATCCTCTATAGCAACACCTAGATTGGTGTTTGATTGAATAATTGGGAGAATGTATGTACAGGTACATTAGAGGCCAGAAATTTTTAGAATTCTGGTCTATCTTAGAATTCTGCCTATCATAAGCAGGATATATGACTACTTGGCTGAACAGGTAAAATTTAAAAATAAAACAAAGATTTCCAAATGCCTGCCAGTGCTGGTCCTGTTTGTTTCCATTACTGGCTGTCCAAAGACAGAAGTAGGGCCAAAAGGGACAGTGTGAGGTATTTATAAACCAAGCTGAAGCAGGCATACAGCTGTTCTCTGTGCTGCTGCAGCAGAACTACGAACTGTCCATATTTTCGAATAGTCTGAGGCTCAAAAGAATTAGAAAGCAGCAGCTATGAATTAGAGACTAGCTTGGAAAGTAAACTGCAATTTTGTGGTCAAGGGCAAGTTTCCTACACCACAGAAAGATGACACTGCAGTGCCAGGAAACAGCTGAAGAAATGGCTTAGCAACTGCCCTGAGGCAGACCTTATGAATGACAGTGACACAGCACTCTGTTAAGCATAGTTTTGGGCAGGAAGTCGGGTCAAATCAATATGCAGTACTTTGTACCACTCAATTACCGCAAAATACTACTATCCTCCTTTCAAAAACATTTTAGATTGAAGGCTGAGCTGGGGAGTTGATGTAAAATCTTTTATGGAAAGATTGGGTAGGTAGGAATTGAAAAGCTAAGAGGCACCAAGTATCCCTTTAGGGGGCCTATTTGATTTTCTTGGAATACCAAAAAGTCATCAGAGAAAAATGCCTTTCATAAACTAAATTTATCTTGACAATAAAGACATCTATTTTTAGCAATAGTCTATTCAACGTCCATTTTTTTTATAGCCATGAAGTACCTACTTTAACCTTCAGATCTGAAATCAAGATTTTCTGAATGTAATAATTATATAAGCCAAAGATTTTAGTAAACCAAGTTTCTACCCAAAGCATCTTTTACAGCCTGCAATGAATGTCTGGAGTGAAACTGCCTTTGCAAAATTAGAACAGTAAGAGAAATCTGACATAGTTGACGCCATCTTGCTTCTGACCTCCAAGCTGTCCTTTGTCATTTCTGGGAACAGGCAAAGCTAACTTTGGGAGGAATTTAGTTTATAGTTTAACATTAAAGCAAGGATGATAATAACCTTTCCCAAAACGAAACTGCTTCTGAAAACTAATGAAAAGCCATGAGGTTAGGGTTATCAGAGGGGCCTGAGATAACCGGACATTGTCTGGGAGATCATAAGGTTTCTAAATTTCCCAATCACTCCTGTAGGAAGCATTACTACTACAGAACCTAAGGTTGGTCTTTTGAGAGATCCTTTCAGATGTTTGCATTTCTGACAACTGGCTGACTCAACCGGTCCTGTGGCCCCCACCCAAAGGCTGACTCAGAGCAGGAGGACCATATTCCACATCCCTATGATTCCATCCTCAACCAATCAACATTCCTCATTCCCTAGCCCCCTGCCCACAAAACTATCCTTGTAAAACCCTAATCTCCAAGCCTTCAGGGAGACTGATTTGAGTAATAACTCTATCTCCTGTGTGGCTGGCCTCATGTTAGTAAAACTCTTTATTGCAATACCATGGTCTCAGTGAACTGGTTTTGTCTGTATAGCAGGCAGGAAGAATCCATCAGGTAATTATAGGAGTTGCTATGGAAACAGAAAAACATTTAACAGCACTGGCATAAAAATGGGGTCGGGGGGGGAGTGGAGAATGGGAGGGGAGCCAGTGGTGTCTAGATTGCCCCATGGGATTGTTACAAGGAGAGAAGAGGAGAGAAAGGGGGAAAAGAAAAGAGGGGGAGGGAAAGGGAGGAAGGGCAGAGAGAATACAGGTAGGCTTAAAGAATAAATTTAAACAAAAAGTCTGAAAACAAAGAAAGCTAATTTGATCTGTTTATTGTGAAACAAATTCTACAGGAGAGTAGGAATGATCAGGGTAATGACAGGAGTCAGCACTGGGGTCAAGAAAGAAGCAAGGGAAATTCTAGATGCACCCTTCCTGAAGGGCCTGATACTTTTTAGAAGATGCCATGAGTTAGAAAGACTCTAACTCCATTTTTGATATTCAACTGTTGATAGTTTTCAAGCCCCAATGATGCCCCTTTACCTTTAGCCCCAAACCTGGGCAAGCCAATCAAAAAGCCCTTCTCTCTCGGAGCTAGTGAGAAGTTCCAATCATGCAAACCCACTCCAGCCTTGCTCCCCAACCGCAATAAAAACCAATTGCTGGCAAGATGGCCGAACAGGAACAGCTCCAGTCTGCGGCTCCCAGCGAGATGGATGCAGAAGGCGGGTGACTTCTACATTTCCAACTGGGACTGGTTAGACAGTGGGTACAGCCCACGGAGGGCGAGCCGAAGCAGGGTGGGGCATCACCTCATCTGTGAAGCACAAGGGGTCAGGGAATTTTCTCTTCTACCCAAAGGAAGCTGTCAGGGACTGAACCTGAGGAACTCTGGCACAGATACTGCGCTTGTCCCATGGTCTCTGCAAGCTGCAAACCAGGAGATTCCCTCCGGTGCCTACCCCACCAGGGCCCTGGGTTTCAAGCACAAAACTGGGCGGCCGTTTGGGCAGTCACCGAACTAACTTCATGAGTTCTTTTTTTTCCATACCCCATTGGCACCTGGAACACCAGCAAGACAGAACCATTCACTCCCCTGGAAAGGGGTGCTGAAGCCAGGGACCCAAGTGGCCTGGCTCAGTGGGTCCCACCCCCATGGAGCCCAGCAAACTAAGATTCACTGGCTTGAAGTTCTCGCTGCCAGCACAGAAGCAGTCTGAGGTCAACCTGTGACAATGGAGCTTGGTGGGGGGAGGGGCGTCCGCCATTGCTAAGGCTTGAGTAGGTGGTTTTACAATCACAGTGTAAACAAAGTCACAAGTCACGGGGAAGTTCGAACTGGGCAGAGCCCACTGCAGCTCAGCACGGCCGCTGTGGCCAGACTGCCAGATTTCTCTTCTCTGGGCAGGGCATCTCTGAAAAAAAGGCAGCAGCCCCAGTCAGGGACTTATAGATAAATCCCCAGCTCCCTGGGACAGAGCACCTGGGGAAAGGGGCAGCTGTGGCCGAAGCTTCAGCAGACTTAAACATCCCTGCCTGGCAGCTCTGAAGAGAGCAGTGGACCTCCCAGCACAGCGTTCGAGCTCTGCTGAAGGTCAGACTGCCTCCTCAAGTGGGTCCCTGACCGCCGTGTATCCTCACTGGGAGAAAACTCCCAGTAGGGGCCAACAGACACCTCATACAGGAGAGCTCTAGCTGGCATTTGGCAGGTGCCCCTCTGGGAAGAAGCTTCCAGAGGAATGATCAGGCAGCAATCTTTGCTGTTCTGCAGCCTCCGCTGCTGATACCAAGGCAAACAGCGTCGGGAGTGGACCTCCAGCAAACTCCAGCAGACCAGCAGCAGAGGAGCCTGTCAGAAGGAAAACTAACAGAAAGGAATAGCACGTCCACTCAAAGATGCCATCCAAAGGTCACCAACATCAAAGACCAAAGGTAGATAAATCCAAAGATGGGGATAAACCAGCACAAAAAGGCTGAAAATTCCAAAAATCAGAAGGTCTCTTCTCCTCCAAAGATCACAACTCCTCGCCAGCAAGGGAACAAAACTGGATGGAGAATGAGTTTGACGAACTGACAGAAGTAGGTTTCAGAAGGTGGGTAATAACAAACTCCTCCAAGCTAAAGAAGTATGTTCTAATCCAATGCAAGGAAGCCAAGAACTTTGAAAAAAAGGTTAGACAAATTGTTAACTAGAATAACCAGTGTAGAGAAGAACATAAATGACCCGATGGAGCTGAAAAATACAGCACGAGAACTTTGTGAAGCATACACAAGTTTCAACAGCCGAATTGGTCAAGTGGAAGAAAGGATATCAGTGATTGAAGATCAACTTAATGAAATAAAGAGCAAAGACAAGATTAGAGAAAAAGGAATAAAAAGGAATGAACAAAGCCTCCAAGAAATATGGGACTATGTGAAAAGACCAAATCTACGTTTGATTGGTGTACCTGAAAGTGACAAGGAGAATGGAACCAAGCTAGAAAACACTCTTCAGGATATTATCCAGGAGAACTTCTCCAATCTAGCAAGACAGGCCAACATTCAAATTCAGGAAATACAGAGAACAGCACAACAACACTCCTCGAGAAGAGCAACCCTAAGACACATAATCGTCAGATTCACCAAGGTTGAAATGAAGGAAAAAATGTTAAGCGCAGCCAGAGAGAAAGGTTGGGTTACCCACAAAGGGAAGCCCATCAGACTAACAGCGGATCTCTCTGCAGAAACTCTACTAGCCAGAAGAGAGTGAGGCCCAATATTCAACATCCTTAAAGAAAAGAATTTTCAACCCAGAATTTCATATCCAGCCAAACTAAGCTTCATAAGTGAAGGAGAAATAAAATCCTTTACAGACAAGCAAATGCTGAGATATTCTGTCACCACCAGGCCTGCCTTACAAGAGCTCCTGAAGGAAGCACTAAATATGGACAGGAACAACCAGTAGCATCCACTGTAAAAATATACTAAATTGTAAAGAACATCAACACTATGAAGAAACTGCAACTAACAGGCAAACAACCAGCTAGCATCATAATAACAGGATCAAATTTACACATAACAATATTAAACTTAAATGTAAATGGGCTAAATGCCCCAATTAAAGACACAGACTGGCAAACTGAAAAAAGAGTCAAGACCCATCAGTGTGCTGTACTCAGGAGACTCATCTCACATGCAAGGCACACAGGCTCAAAATAAATGGATGGAGGAATATTTACCAAGCAAATGGAAATGAAAAAAAGCAGGAGTTGCAATCCTAATCTCTGATAAAACAGACTTTAAACCAACAAAGATCAAAAGAGACAAAGAAGGGCATTATATAATGGTAAAGGGATCAATGCAACAAGAAGAGCTAACTATCCTAAATATATATGCACCCAATACAGAAGCACCCAGATTCATAAAGCAAGTTCTTAGAGACCTACAAAGAGACTTAAACTCCCACACAATCTAATAGTGGGAGATTTTAACACCCTATTGTCCGTATTAGACAGATCAACAAGACAGAAAATTAACAAGGATATTCAGGACCTGAACTCAGCTCTGGACCAAGCAAACCTAATAGACATCTACAGAACTCTCCACCCCTAATCAACAGAATATATATTCTTCTCAGCACCACATCACACTTATTCTAAAATTGACCACATAATTGGAAGGAAAACACTCCTCAACATATGCAAGATAACAGAAATCATAACAAACAGTTTCTCAGATCACAGTGCAATCAAATTCGAACTCAGGATTAAGAAACTCACTTAAAACTGCACAACTACATGGAAGTTGAACAACCTGCTCCTGAATGGCTACTGGGTAAATAATGAAATGAAGGCAGAAAAAAGATGTTCTTTGAAACCAATGAGAATGAAGACACAATGTACCAGAATCTCTGGGACACATTCAAAGCACTGTGTAGAGGGAAGTTTACACCACTAAATGCTCATCAGAGAAAGCAGGAAAGATCTAAAATCGAAAACATAACTTCAAAATTAGAAGAACTAGAGAAGCAACAGCAAAAAAATTCAAAATCTAGCAGAAGACAAGAAATAACTAAGATCAGGGCAGAACTGAAGGAGATAGAGACACAAAAAACCCTTCAAAAAAATCAATGAATCCAGGAGCTGTGTTTTTGAAAAGGTCAACAAAATAGATAGACCACTAGCCAGACTAATAGAGAAGAATCAAATAGATGCAATAAAAAATGATATAGGGGATATCACCACTTATCCAACAGAAATACAAGCTACCATCAGAGAATACTATAAACACCTCTATGCAAATAAACTACAAAATCTAGAAGAAATGGATAAATTCCTGGACACATACACCCTCTCAAGACTAAACCAGGAAAAAGTCGAATCCCTGAATAGACCAATAACAAGTTCTGAAATTGAGGCAGTAATTAATAGCCTACCAACCGAAAAAGTCCAGGACCAGACAGATTCACAGCCAAATTCTATCAGAGGTACAAAGAGGAGCTGGTACCATTCCTTCTGAAACTATTCCAAACAACAGAAAAAGAGGGAATCCTCCCTAACTCATTTTATAAGGCCAGCATCATCCTGATCCAAAACCTGGCAGAGACATAACAAAAAAAGAAAATTTCAGGCCAATATCCCTGATGAACACTGGTGCAAAAATCCTCAATAAAATACCGGCAAACTGAATAGCACATCAAAAAGCTTATCCACCACGATCAAGTTGTCTTTATCCCTGGGGTGGAAAGGCTGGTTCAACATAAGCAAACCAATAAAGGTAATCCATCACATAAACAGAACCAATGACAAAAGCCACAGGATTATCTCAATAGATGCAGAAAAGGCCTTCAACAAAATTCAACACTCCTTCATGCTAAAAACTGTCAATAAACTAGGTATTGATGGAACATATCTCAAAATAATAAAAGCTATTTATGACAAACCCATAGCCAATACCATACTGAGTGGGCAAAAACTGGAAGCATTCCCTTTGAAAACTGGCACCAGACAAGGATGCCCTGTCTCATCACCCCTATTCAACATAGTATTGGAAGTTCTGGCCAGGGCAATCAGGCAAGAGAAAGAAATAACGGGTATTCAAATAGAAAAGGAGGAAGTCAAATTGTATCTGTTTGCAGATGAAATGATGATACGTTTAGAAAACCCCATCGACTCAGCCCAAAATCTCCTTAAGCTGCTGATAAGCAACTTCAGCAAAGTCTCAGGATACAAAATCAATGTGCAAAACTCAGAAGCATTCCTATACACCACTAACAGACAAACAGAGAGCCAAATCATGAGTAACTCCCATTCACAATTGCTACGAAGAGAACAAAATACCTAGGAATCCAACTAACAAGGGATGTGAAGGACCTCTTCAAGGAGAACTACAAACCACTGCTCAAGGAAATTAAGAGAGGACACAAACAAATGGAAAAACATTCCATGCTCATGGATAGGAAGAATCAATATCATGAAAATGGCCATACTGCCCAAAGTAATTTATAGATTCACTGCTATCCCCAACAAGCTACCACTAACTTTCTTCATAGAATTGGAAAAAACTACTTTAAACTTCATATGGAACCAAAAAAGAACCCGTATTGCCAAGACAATCCTGGGCAAGAAGAACAAAGCTAAAGGCATCACACTATGTGACTTCAAACTATGCTACAAGGCTACAGTAACGAAAACAGTATGGTACTGGTACCAAAACAGATATATAGACCAACGGAACAGAAGAAAGGCCTCAGAAACAACACCACACATCTACAACCATCTGATGTTTGACAAACCTGACACAAACAAGCAATGCAGAAAAGATTCCCTATTTAATAAATGGTGTTGGGAAAACTGGCTAGCCATATGCAGAAAACTGAAACTGGACCGCTTCCTTGTACCTTATACAAAAATAAACTCAAGATGGATCAAAGACTTAAACATATGACCTAGGACCATAAAAATCCTAGAAGAAAACCTGGGGAATACCAATCAGGACATAGGCATGGGCAAAGACTTCATGACTAAAACACCAAAAGCAATGGCAACAAAAGCCAAAATTGACACATGGGATCTAATTAAACCAAAGAGCTTCTGCACAGCAAAAGAAACTATCATCAGAGTGAACAGGCAGCCTACAGAATGGGAGAAAAGTTTTGCAATCTATCCATCTGACAAAGGGCTAACATCCAGAATCTACAAGGAACTTAAACAAATTTACAAGAAAATAAGATCCCATTAAAAAGTGGGCAAAGGATAGGAACAGACACTTCAAGAGAAGACATTTATGCAGCCAACAAACATATGAAAAAATGCTCATCATCACTGGTCATTAGAGAAATGCAAATCAAAACCACAATGAGATACCATCTCACACCAGTTAGAATGGCGATCATTAAAAAGTCAGGAAACAACAGATGCTGGACAGGATGTGGAGAAACAGGAACGCTTTTACACTGTTGGTGGGCAGGTAAATTAGTTCAACCATTGTAGAATACAGTGTGGTGATTCCTCAAGGATCTAGAACTAGAAATACCATTTGACCCAGCAATCTCATTACTGGGTATATACCCAAAGGACTATAAATCATTCTACTATAAAGACACATGCACACGTATGTTTACTGTGGCACTATTCACAATAGCAAAGACTTGGAAGCAACTCATATGTCCATCAATAGGCTGGATAAAGAAAATGTGGCACACATACAACATGGAATACTATGCAGCCATAAAAAAGGATGAGTTCATGCCCTTTGCAGGGACATGGATGAAGCTGGAAATCATCATTCTCAGCAAACTACCACAAGAGCAGAAAACCAAACACTGCATGTTCTTACTCGTAAGTGGGAGTTGAACAATGAGAACACATGGACATAGAGGGGGGAACATCATACACCAGGGCCTGTCAGGGGCTGGGGGGCTAGAGGAGGGATAACATTAGGAGAAGTACCTAACGTAGGTGATGGGTTGATGCATGCAGCAAACTACCATGGCACATGTGTACCTATGTAACAAAACTGCACGTTCTGCACATATACCCCAGAACTTAAAGTATAATAATTAAAAAATAATAATAATGAGCAAACAAACAAAAAAACCAATCTAGTCCTTCTCTGCTCTCTCCAGCCCTTTCTCACATCTGCCTACCATGGTCATCCCCTAGAATCTTCATTCGGTGAGTACAATAAACTTTTTCATTCTGCTGGTGTCTGTGCATATGTGACATCAACAGTCTTGATATCTGAACCAAATTTTGGGTGGGGCTCCATCTCATCTCAGCAGGATTAACACCACCCTGGAAGCAGAGAGAAGGCAGTTTCCACCCCTGCTAGTTAGACTGGGGAAAGGCTTGCTTTACAACAGAGCTTCCCAGTGGAGTGAAGACACAGAATGCAAGGCTGAAGAGCAGTCAGCGAATTTCTTCCCACTGCTGTAGGGAAAGGATACCGGCAGTGAGAGAGAATAAGCCAATACATAGACAGGCAGAAATAAGAGACAGAAGACTCCTGGTGGTGTTAGAGCAAGTGAATGCTGTTGTTCCCAGGTGCCAGCTGCATCTCTGACTTTCCTGCAGATATATTATGGTCCTCAGTATTCCAATATATTATCATTTTTGCCTCAGTTAATTTCAGGTTTCTGTCACTTACAACCAAATAACTACAGCCTTGACCAAAACAGAGGGAGATTAAAAGCACTCCATAATTACTATTAATTTTCTCACAATGTCAATAATGGTACTGTAGTTATGCAGAATGTCCTTATACAGTTGACTCTTGAACAATATGGGTTTGAACTATGAGGGTCCACACGGATTTTCTTCCGCCTCTGCCACCTGTGACAGCAAGACTATCACTTCCTCCTCAGCCTACTCAATGTGAAGATGAGGTGAAGACCTTTACGATGATCCACCTCCACTTAATGAATGAGAATTTCCTTACTGTCTTCTTAACATTTTTTTTTAGCTTCCTTTATGGTAAAAATACAGTACATATAATGCCTATTACATACAAAATACATGTTAACTGACTGCTTATATTATCAGTAAGGCTTCTGGTCAAAAGTAGGCTATTAGTAGTTAAGTTTTTGGGGAGTCAAAAGTTACATGTGAATTTTCAACTACGCAGTGTGGTGGGGAGTCCGTGCCCCTAACCTGCCATGTTGTTAAAGGATCAACTGTATGGCAGTGTGTGCTCAAGAATTAGGAATGAAAGGTCATGAGGTCTGCTGCTTTCAAATGATTCAAAAACAGAAGTATAAATATGCAAAAATGGCAATAATCCCTGAGTTTATGTTAAAAGTACATTCATTATTTGTTCTTTCTACTTTCCTATATGTATGAAAACTTCCATAAAAAACTATCTTTAGAGGGGAGACTCAAGGTATGAATAACACGCCCAGCCCTTATGAAGATCAGTGCTTTCAGGAAATGACATGTAGTTCTCCCCAGGTGTGGAGGACATATAAGGAAGGTAAAAAGGCAGGTTTTATAATGAATTTAGCATTTATCCTGAAGGCAAATAGGAAACCATTAAAGGAATTTTGGGGGAGGGGAAGTGGGAAAAACGACATGATCAGATTTTGATGTGAAAAACATTTCCCTGTTGACAGCATGAATCCTGACTAGAAAGTGGCAGGCATATGGTAACAGTCCAGATGAGAAATGATGTGGACCTGAGTTAAGAGGAGAGGGGTAAGTAGTGAGGATTAGAGCAGAACAGACATGAAAAATTCATAGGATTCCTTCCTGGAATGGATTTGACAGGAAGGGGATGGAGTGCTGTGAGGGAAAGGGAGGAATCCAGGAAGCCTGAATATTCTGGCTTTGGTGACTGTGGTACCGTTCATGGACTGGAGATACAGAAGAGCAAGACATGGTGAGTTTAGTGTGGTGTTGGAGACACATGGTAAGTGAGGGGGGATGACAGAGATTGGGAGATTACAGGCATATGTCAAAGGCATGGAAGAGCCCACCCAGTAAGAAAGCGCAGAGTTGGTTGAAATGAGGTGAAGAAAGAAATGCAGCCGCACACAACCACAATTTGGGGATACACAGAGGAACATAAACCCTTGAAAGATAATTTTAAAAATAGCCTCAGGCACAGGAGGAAAACATGGACAATGGTTCACAAGGGTATAGGCAGGGAAAGATCTGAGAGGGAGGAAGAAGTCAGTGGTGCCAGGTGCCATGCACTCTCCAACAGATCAAAGTGTCACCAAACAAAAAGACCTAAAGTAGGGCAGTTCCAGGGTTAATTTAGCAGTTCGACAACATTATGAAAGACGCAGGTTCTTTCCATCTTTCCACTCTGTTAGACCAGTTGCCTTTCATGACTGCATGGCATCAGTCCTCCGGCTAGAACCCCTCACTGATTGCAAGATGATTGCCGCAGTATCCTAGGCACTGCATGCAGACAGTATCTGGCATAGAAGATGGGCGTTTCTTTCTTGCGACTCTTTTTTTTTTTTTTGAGACAGGGTCTGGCTCTGTTGCCCAGGCTGGAGTGCACTGTTGTGATCTCAGCTCACTGCAACCTCTGCCTCCTGAATAGCTGGGACTACAGGTGCACACCACCATGCCCAGCTACTTTTTAAAATTTTTTGTAGGGATTGGGTTTCACTATGTTGCCCAGGCTGGTCTCAAACTCTTGAGCTCAAGCAATCCTCCCACCTCGGCCTCCCATAGGGTTGCGATTACAGGCGTGAGCCACAGCATCTGGCTGTGACTCTTTTTAGAGTAAAAAAAACAATCCTTCCCCAGAAACACCTCAGTTGACCTGCCCTCCTGTTACAGAGTAAAACTGGGTCACACTCACCCTTGAACAGACCACAAGCAATAATAATGGAATTATTACAACTGACTTATCAAGATTTACCCCTGAGCTAGGGACAGGGTGCCAGGCCTAAAGGCTGGATAACTGCAAAAAAAAAAAAAAAAGGGGGGGGGGCGGGGGAGGTAGATGTTGAATAGGTAGCTAACAGGTATTAAGAGGGGCCATTCTGTATTACAGTATTCTAATCTTTTTTCACTTAATAACATTCATGTTAAAAAGAGCAGTGATTTGTGGGGGCAAAAATAAATGCAGTTAATGCAGGAAAAAACTTGAATCAACAAGTTGTATGCTTCTGAGAGTGGAAAAAACATACAATAACTTTAAAAGAGGATCTATTCTAAAATATCTGTTTTCCTTTAGCAGTCACTTTCTGAAGACATTGATAATTTACTTTCTGCAGTGAAAATGTACAAATTTCATTTTCTTTGTCCCAAGACTACTTTCAAGTTTCACAAAAAGAACCTTACCTTAAAATTACTAAGCAAATTCTTTCAACCATATCTCTCTTCATTTTCTAGAGTCAGAAGTTCAAAATTTAGGAACCTCTTTGTTTGTATCTATGGGGTAGCTTTGTGATATCAACTTGACTTGAACTAAAGTCCCCAGAACTCCCTTTCTAGTATGTTTCTGGTTAGGGTGAGTTAAAAGTAATATTATCTCCTTAGAGACAGAAGAGAAAAGTGAGACAGCAGCTATTTTGTAGCATAATATACCTTTTCCCAGTTATTCAAACACTAACCTAAGTGCTGCTGGGAGAGATTTTGCCAACATAATTAAAGTCCCTAATAGGCTGATTTCAAGTTAATAAAAACGATTATTCTAGGTGAGTCTGTGACTTTGTCACTGGGAAGCACTTTCAAAGAAAGCTTAGGCCCTGTCTGAGCCAAGAGGCTTCAAACAGCAGCTAGACCTGCAATTTCTCTCCTCTCCTCAGGATCTTCCCTGGATACTTATCTGTGGACAAGAAACTTCAGTCTGTGCCCTTGGGGTTCCAGCCCGCTATCCTCCCTTACTGACTCCCTGGCCCTGTGGGCTTTGAGCTTGCTTAACCAGCTCTCTCAAATGCATAAGCCAATTCCTTATTATAAACCCATGTGCGTGTATATATACATATACATTCATTTAAAATCTGACTGGTTCTGCCTCTGATTGAACCCTTACACATGTTGGTTCACACCTGCCTGCAACCCCTACTTCTACAGATCCACTTCTACACTTGCGAGATATAACAAACTCCGCTCAGTGTTCTCTGACTTGATCCAGAAAGTTTTAAATAATAGTAGAATGGTGGCTCAGTCCTTTTGGACTGCTATAGCACAATAAATGACAAATTTATTTTTCATAGATCTAGAGGCTGGGAAATCTGAGATCGGGGTGTCGGCATGGTTGGGTTCTGGTGTGGAGCCTTCTTTCTGGGTCACAGGTGACACCTTCTAGCTGGGTCCTCACATGGCAGAAAGGGGACAGTAGCTCTATGGGGCCTCTCTTGTAAGGTCACTAATCCCATTTGTGAGATTAGGTCTGCGCTCCTGACCTAAACACCTCCTAAAGCTCCACCTCTGAACACAATCACATCAGAGATTAGGTTTCAATGTATGAATTTTGGGAGGACACATTCAGACTATAGCGAAGTTTGTTTGTCTGTTTCCACTATTTTGGAGCAGCATGTAAATCCGCTGCTTTGGGGAACAGTCTTATATAACTATACTCCTTTGCTATGCTTCAAATAAATTTTCTTTACTGTGTCAACTGACCCTTGCTTGTACTGGAGTTCATCTACCCATTCACACTTCTTCCACAAATCTTCCACAATTTCTCTCAGCTCATGAGATTTCAGGTTCTCTATGACTAGTAACAGTCTCTATGAGAAATCCCATTTATTTCCTCACTTGTCATAGACTGATTCTTTTATTTCTTTAAGTTGCTCCTTGTTCATGACACCGAACTGTTCTCTAGGCTAAAGGTTAATTAAAATCTTTAATATTCTGTATATCCTTCCATTAGGACTCTCTCTTGAGGAAAGGAAATAGTCATGGTTGTGTTTAAATCATCAGTTTCAGCACTGATCACAAAATAAAAAGTTTAAAACAATTAAAAATAAGTGAATTTAACAAATATAATATACCCATAAATTTTGATGTTCTTTATTATAAAATAACAGAAAATTCAATGGAATTTTTTGAAGTATGCACAATATATTGTTATAAAAATGGTATATTGAGATAATATGGTTAGATTTTTGTAACTCAACAAATAAATACAGATGTTCCCCACTTTTTGTAGGTATTTTTAGTCTCAATTTCATTCATTTTGATTTTGATCTTACTTATTTCCTTCCACTAATTTTGAGGCTTTGATTTGTTCTTTTCTAGTTCTTTAAGATGCATCATTAGGTTGTTTATTTGAAATCTTTCTAGTTTTTTGATGTAGGATTTATTGTTATATAAATTTGCCTCTTAATATTGCTTTTGCTGTGCCCCATAGGTTTTGGTATATTGTATTTCTATTTTCATTTGTCTCAAGAAATATTTTAGTTTACCATTTAATTTCTTCCTTCACCCATTGGTCATTCAGGAACATGTTGTTTGATTTTCACGTATTTGTAGTTTTGAATGTTCCTCTTGTTATCGATTTCTAGTTTTAAATTCCATTGTGGTCAGATAAGATAGTTGATAAAATTAATTTAAAAAAATTTTTTTGAGATTCATTTTGTGTCCTAACATACGATCAATCCTGAAGAATGCTTCATGTGTTGACGAAAGAAATGGTATTCTGCAGCTTTTTGGTGAAATGTTCTGTAAATGTCTGTTAGGTCCATTTAGTTGATGGTGTAGTTTAAATCCAATGCTTCTTTGTTGATTTTCTGTCTAGATGACCTGTCCAATGCTGAGAGTGGACTGCTGAAATCCCCAACTCTATTATTGTACTGGGGTCTATCTCTCCCTTTAGATCTAATAGTTGCTTTTTATATCTGGGTGCTCTAGTGCTAGGTGCATATATATTTCCAACTGTTATATTTTCTTGCTTAACTGATCCCTTTATCTCATAATGTCCTTCTTTGTTGCTTTTTATAGCTTTTTACTTGATGTCTGTTTGGCCTTATGTAAGTAATGCTACTCCTGCTGGCTTTTGGTTTCCATTTGGATGAAGTATCTTTTTCTTTCCCTTCACTCTCAGTCTGTATGACTTTACAGATGAGGTGAGTTTCTTACAGGCAGTATATAGTTGGGGTTTATCCATTCAGCCAGTTTATATCTTTTAGATGGGGGAACTGAACCCATTTACATTCAAGGTTATTGATAGGTAAAGACTTGTTCCTGTCATATTGTTCTCTGGATGTTTTATCTTTTGTTCTGTACTTCTTTTCTTATGGTTTTTCTGTGCTTGGGTGGTTTTCCACATTGATACGGTTTGATTCTTTTTCCTTTCTTTGTATTTGGGCTCTACCAGTGAATTTTATAGTTTCACATGTTTTCATAATGGTGGTTATGTTTTCATTTCCAGATATAAGAGTCCCTTAAGCATTTCTTGTAAGGCCAGTCTAGCAGTGATGAATTCCCTTCATTTCTCCTTGTTTGTGAAAGATTTTTTTTTTTGAGACGGAGTCTCGCTCTGTCACCCAGCCTGGAGGGCAGTGGCGCGATCTCCGCTCACTGCAAGCTCCGCTTCCCGGTCCATTCTCCTGCCTCAGCCTCCCGAGTAGCTGGGACTACAGGCGCCCGCCACCACGCCCAGCTAATTTTTTTTTGTATTTTTAGTAGAGACGGGGTTTCACCATGTTAGCCAGGATGGTCTTGATCTCCTGACCTTGTGATCCGCCCGCCTCCCAAAGTGCTGGGATTACAGGCGTGAGCCACCGCGCCCGGCCGTTTGTGAAAGATTTTAATTCTTTTTTATTTCTGAAATGTAGCTTTGCAGGGTATATAGTGTTCTTGGCTCACAGGTCCCCCACCCCCACTTTGAGTATTTTTAATATATCATTTCATTCTTTCCTGGCCTGTAAGTTTTCTGCTGAGAAATCTGCTGTTAGTTTAATGGGAATTCCCTTATATGTGACTTGACACTTTTCTCTTGCTACTTTTAGAATTCTTTGCCTTTAACATCTGATAATTTGACTATAATGTGCCTCAGAGATAACCTGTTTGGGCTGACTCTAATTGGAATTCTTTGAGTTTACTGGACCTGGATGTCCATCTCAAATTTCAAGACTTGGGAAGTTTTCAGCTACTATTTCATTAAGTATGTTTTCTAAGCCTTTCTCCTTTCTCTTCTCCTTCTGGAATGACCATAATATATTTGTTCACTTCATGGTATACAATACATCCTGTAGGCTTTCTTCACCCTTTTTTCTTTTTTTGTCTGCCTGTGTCATTTCAAAAGATCTGTCTTCAAGTTCAGAAATTCTTTCTTCTGCTTGGTTTAGTCTATTGTTGAAGCTCTTGACTGTATTTTTTATTTCACTCATTGAATTCTTCAGCTCTAGGATTTCTGTTTGGTTCTTTGTTATGTTACCTGTCTCTTTGTTGAATTTCTTATTCAAATCATGAATTGTTTTCTTGATTTTGCTGAACTGTAAGTTTTCCTGTATCTCACTGAGATTCTTTAAGATTATTTTGAATTCTTTCTCTAGCATTTAGTATATTTTCTTATGATTGGGGTCTGTTACTGAAGAATTATTGTTTTCCTTTGGAGGCGTCATGTTTCCTTGCTTTTTTGTGTTTGATGTGTCCCCATGTTGATTTCTATACATCTGGTAGAAAAGTCATTTCTTCCAATTTTATGGAGTACATTTCACAGGGAAAGACTTATTCTTATAAATGGGTCTTGGAGTGTCAGATTGGTGGGGTGCATTGGCTTTGGTGCATCTGTGTCTAGGTGGGCACTGTAGTGTAGTCTCTGGGTACTTTCCTCAGCTGTCAGTCACACTTGACGTCTGCAAGTATCTCAGTAGCCTAGGCTGAGAGAGTCTGTGGTGGTAGTGGTGCAGCTTTGTTGAGGGTGGGCTCACAAGGCTGTTTCTCAGGTCAGGGATGTGTGCATCCACACAGTGGGTCAGGCAGCTTGGAATCTGGCCAACTTAGGGTCTGGCTCTAAAACGCAGGGCTGTTACTCTGGACAGCAGCACAAGCACGTGTTTAGTTGGATGGTGTGGGTGTATGCCTGCCAGGAGTAGCCCAAAGGGCTGTTTCTCAGGCCTAGCTATCTGTGAAACTGCTTTGTGACGTGTGGATTTATGTCACAGAGTTAAAACTTTCTTTTGACTCAGCAAGATGAAAAAACTCTTTTTGGAGAATCTGAGAAGGGACATATAGGAGCCCGCTGAGGCTGCTCAGCTGAACTGGGAGTTATGTTTGCCAGGGATGGCCCGCAGGGCTGTTTTTCAGGCGTGGGATGCAGTCTCATGGCTTCTCAGATGGCTTGGGTGTCTGTTGGCTTGGGGTGACCCATGGGGCTGTTTCTCAGGGTGGGGGTGCAGACACATGGGTGTTTAGTTGGCCTTGAAGTGTGTCTGCCCTATGGGGCTGTTTCTCAGGTCCAAGACACAGTTGCAAGTCTGCTCAGCTGGCCCGAGGATGTGTCTGCCAGGGGCAGCCTATACAGCTGCTTCTCAGGTCCATGATGTGAGCACAAAGCTGCTTGGCTAGCCTGGGGACATGTTTGCTAGTGGCGACCCACAGGGCTATTTCTTAGGCCTGACACAGGCACAGAGATGCTCAGCTGGTCTGGAGGTGTGTCTGCCGGTGGTTGCCCACAGGGCTGTTTTTCAGGCCCTGATTTCAGGTGCAGGGCCATTGGGCAGGCCAAGGAAATATCTTGGGGGTGCACTGTGGGGCTCTTTCTTAGGTGCTGAGTGCAGGTATGTAGCTGCTTTGCTGGCCCTTGGGTATATTAGCTGCTTAGAGGCCCGGGGGTCTCTCCTGCTTGGGGGAGGGTGTGCAGTGGTTTGCTTAGCTCATCAAGGCAGAGTTCTGTGAATGAACCATGTCTGTCTGTGCGTTTGCTTTTACCTGCCATTATGGGTTGGTGATAATACTATTTGGTGATATATAAGAGCTTGTCTATTAAAAGCACATATATTAAACAAATAGAATATATTTTATTCATAAGAAGATTTTTAAATAGTAAAAATAAAAATGAAGTGCTAATCAAAACAGCTAACTATAAGTTCTTTGCTGTTTCCAAAGAGTCTCTGAACCAGAGACTACAACAAGCGAGTATTTTTCAAGCTTTAAAAGTTAATATTACATGTTAGACTCCTAATAGATACTTACTTCCCATTTTCAAACTGCATTCAGTATCATTTGTTTTCCTGATGACTAGAACATGTAACTTTCCCACATAGATGTAACACAGGCAAAAGACAAGACAAATGCATGTAAAATACATTTAATAGTTTAATGGGAAAGTACAGTCCAAAAATTTTAAACTTACTGTTCATGGAAATCCAGCATTGGTGGCTCAAATCGTATGGGCCTGCAATTCCCCCGGTAGAGAGATATACTGTAAATAAAAAGAAAACAACATAAGAAGCAATTCTTCAAAATATATGTTTCCCCAAACTCTATTCAGACAGCTGACTTTTGTCATAACAATGCCATTTTAAGAAAAATTGGGTCTAACAATCTATCAGAAATGTGCGTCACTTTTTAAATTAGCAGAAACCAATAAAGATTGCGTTTTAGAAAATGAAAAAGTGGGATTATTTTTCTTCTTCAAAGGTATATGCAAATAGAAAATGCTCAGGCAGACTGAATGTTGAAATTTATTTGGTTGGTATAATTGGTAACGATATACTTTAATAGGTCGCTTGGATTTTCTGATACATGTATGATGAATAAAGAGTTAATACAACTTACATACATTTAGCAGACAATATATGAAGACAAAAATCACAATCAGATTGTAACTAGAGTGGCAAAGGACTAAACAAAAATGAATTTGGGATACAAACTTCCAAGAATTGAAATATCTATTTCATCTGAGAGTTTGGAATACACTAGAACTGATCTCTGATGTCCTGGCCTCCATATTACAGTAGCATCTTCTAACTAACCCACCTGATACCAGAACTTCTCAATAGAACAGATTTCTGAATAGCAAACCTCAGACAACATCAGGGCCTAACGCTGATATAAAACATAAATGACTTTTGGTGGGGTAGGGGGAGTAGTGGTGGTGGTTCACATGCCTAAAGTGTCAGAAATTCAGTCAGAAAGTCAGAAATTCAGTCAGGCACTAAGTTTCAAAATAGTAGATTTTGATGTTTTTGTTCTAGGAAATGATGTCAGAGCAAAACCCATTTTGTGAGACTACTTTATTTCCATCATCACTGAAATTCATAGTAACGTAAGCTTTGAAATGATATAGTAATTTCATTCAGGATTAAGGAGTCAGAGGAAATATCCAGGATTTAGGAGATACAAGAAATAATTAGAAATAGACAAGGACATTCATAATATGGAGGAAATTTGGCTTTAATTCAATTCTATAAAGATTAAATAATCTGAGTAGTGGAATAATTTAGCTGAAGGTAATAAAATCCAAACATGTTTTTAGCCCTACCAATTTAGAACATTCTTTTGTGTAGCTTAAGAATCCCTCTGCATATGTTGAACAGAAAAGATGACAAACAAAAAAAGAAAGCAAGCACCAAAAGTAAGATTATATTTTACTAAAGCATGAAACTAAAGACACCGGGACATGAAGGCACAATTCCTTGCAACACAGTGTTGGCATCTATTCCTTCCTGCTTTCTGCCCTGTCTGTTTCTTAGATGTTATGTAACAAAAACATTCTTTGGCGCCTTTAAAACAAGAGATGCTCCTCAGCTCATTAGTTTCATTAGTATGAAACTCAAATTTACATAAATCTTAATCAAATCAAGGAAAAATAAAGTATAAGGCATAACTGTATGTCATTAATTCCTATATAATATTATATTCCTATATATAATATATATTCCTATAATGTAATATATATTCCTATATATAATATATAATTCCTATATATTAATTCCATGGACTGTTTAGATGTTGGAGAAAAAGGAAATTAAGATACAGTGTTTTTCTCTCACAGAGCCAAGAGGCTGTTCTGCAAATTACAAATGGAAATGTCTAAAGTGGCCAGGTGGGGTAAAAAAGTATATACCCCATCCATTCAATACAAATGTATGAATGTTTACTATATGCCAGTTACCGTCTATTGGCTGGGGCTACAGTGGGGAATAAAGAAAAGCACCTGCTCTCATGGCACTAACCTCCTAGTAGGGGGAACAAAAGTTGAATATGTTAGGTGAAAATGTGTGTATAAAGAAAAATCAAACACGGCGGGGCTGTGTTTAGAACCGAAAATGCCTCTCTGAGGAGGGACACTGCTGCCAAGACCTGAACGACAGAGATCTAGGGGAAGAAAGTAGTAATGTATTTGGCGAGTTGAACAAGGAGGCTGAAGTGACCACTGTGCAGTGAGGGAGGAGTAGGAGGTAGGAGCTGAGCTCAGAGGTACAAGAGCCAGGTCTCCTTGTAGGAGTATAGATTATTCAAAGTGTAACAAACTACAGTGTTTTTGAGCAAGGAGTAGCATGATCTGACACATATCATAAGGTTAATTCTGGCTACTTTGTGAAGTACCAAGGAAGTTCCTGTAGGAGCCCAACAGTGGGAAGCAGGGAAGTCCTGGAGTGCTCCAGGCAACTGGTGACGGCAGATACAATCTAGGGTGGCTGCAAGGGAGAGTAGCGAGCAGTGGCTGGTTTCTGAATATATTTGGAAGCTTGAGAAAACAGGTTGTGCTGATGGATTGATTTTGAGGGATCAAGGATAACTCATTCTAAGATTTTCACTGGATACACAGTCATGACATGGGAGGAGTGGGTTGGAAGTGGGAAGAGGTAGATTTTCAAGAGCATTGTTTTAGACATTTAAATTTAGATGTCTTATCTAGATGGAGATGTCATAAAGTAACTATACATGGATACTGTTCATATTAAAAAGTTACTAATTTTCACGTACTGATCTTATACCTAGTCACCTTGGTGAGTTTAATTCCAACAGTCTGTCTAGATTCTCTCATGATTTTCCACTGCTGCTATATGTGCTGCCAAAATGAGCACTATCTTGGATGATCACTGTAGACAAATCATCTGCAAGTAACAATTTGATTCTTCCTTTCAAATCCTTAGATAAGTTTTATTTTTTATGTCTTGTGCTAAGATCTCCTGTAAAATGCTTCAAAGATGTGATGTCCAGCAACTGTTACTGTGATATTTACAAAGTGCTCACAGAATGATATAGAAGAAACAGTACATCAAATATGATTCCCTCATAAATAAAAGCATATTTTCAAAACCATACCAGATCTATATCTAAGGAACAGTTTAATATCCGAGTGAGTACGATACAAGTTGACACAGGTACAATCCTATGTTAACCAAACCAAAAATGCAGTAACACAGCTGTCTCCACAGCTGATTCAAATGGTTCCTATCCACGTTTATTTAACATGGCACTGTTTAGTGCTTTATTAACAGAAAGCAAATGTCTGCAAATATGTAATATTGAAAAACAAACTAGGGAAGATGCAATATAAAGAGTGGTGGCCTTTGCTAATATCATTGCAGTTTTTTCCCTGATTTTTAAAATTATTATTATTACTATTTTTGAGAGACAGGGGTCTCGTTATGTTGCCCAAGCTGGTCTCAAACTCCTGTGTTAGAGCCTCCTGAGTAGCTGGGACTACAGATGCAGCATGCCAGTGTGCTGGGCTCACCCTTTGACAATTTCAAAGCAACAAAATCTGAGACATTATGATAGCATATTGCATTATTTTATGCTTTCTGCAATGATTACACATGTTCTGAAGTGTCAATACAATTGGTTTTATAAATTTTCACTAAAATCTTATTTATATGGAGATGAATGAAGACTATTTTCTGATTTCAAGCTAGGAAACAACTGAAGAGATACAAGAAATCTTGTGGGAAATGGTCATACTGCTTGTTGAACTGTCAGGTCAAAGTTGAGCAGGAAACTCCCAAATCAAACATATGGGCTTCTTGGGTCTCTGGGAGTTTAAAATGTTTTCCTAGGATCAACTACTACCTAAACAAAAGATACTCTTTGGCCCAGCATTTTTAAAACAATTGTTTGTGATGTATTTGCATCATAAACACCTACAATGTTTGTGGAAATGCAGATTCTGGGGCCCCACCTCCAGAATCTAATTCCTTGTAAGCAGAATGGACCCCAGAAACCTGCATTTTTAAGCACCCTCACATTTAGGAGCCACTATTTTGCATCTTGATCCACAAACATTACAGCCACAAATAAGAGGTGGGGAAGGAAGTGCCTTAACCAGTAAAACTATCAAAGTCACCAGCAGTTTAAATTGATTTCAAATATGATTTTTATTAAAGAGCCAGCTAAATAAACAGTGATTTAAATGAATAAGACTTCTCCTATATGATATATATTCTCCCATAAACACATTTTTAATTTGCACTTCCCTAATGATGAATAATGTTGACCATCTTTCCATTTACTTGGTGTACAATTAGGTATCTTTTGTAAACGTCTGTGGAAAGTTTTTTAACTGGAATGTCTGTCTTATTATTCAGTTGTAAGAGTTCTCTGTTACGTGCTGCAAATATTTTTACCCTGGTCCTGGTTTACCTTTTCCTTTTATTAATGGTGTCTTTTGAAGAGCCTAAGTTTTAAATTCTGATGAGGTCGAAATGATGATCATTTTTTCTTTTTTGAGATAGGGTCTCACTCTGTCGCCCATGCTGGAGTGTAGTTAGTGGTCCAATCATGGGTCACTGCAGCCTTGACCTCCTGGGCTCAAGCCACCCTCTTGCTTCATCCTCCCAAGCAGCTGGGACTACAGACACACACCACCACAACTAGCTAATTTATTATTATTTTTTGTAGATACAGGGTGTCACTATGTTCCCCAGGCTAGTTTCAAACTCCTAGTCTCAAGTGATCCTCTCACTGCAGCCTCCCAAAGTGTTAGAATTATAGGCGTGAGCCACTGTGCCTGGCCTCATTTTTTCTTTTATGGTATGTGTTTTTGGTATTTTAAAGCTTTGTCCAGTTTGCAAATATTTCTATGAAAAGCTTGGTTTTATCCTAAAAATTTTAAACCTTTAACTTTTAGACATGAGCCTATTTATTATTGTCTGTTTTAAGTTAATTGTGGCGATGGTGTGAGTTAAAGATTAAAGTTCACTTTTTCTTTCTCTGTAAATATCCAGTAGGCCTACTATCATTTGTTGAAAAAGACTTTTTTTTAATATACTTTAAATTCTGGGGTACATGTGCAGAACGTGAAGTTTTGTTACACAGGTATACATGTGCCATGGTGGTTTGCTGCACCCATCAACCCATCACCTGTATTAGGTACTTCTCCTAATGCTATCCCTCCCCTAGCCGCCCAACCCCCGACAGGCGTGTGATGTTCCCCTCCCTGCGTCCATGTGTTCTCATTGTTCAACTCCCACTTATGAGTGAGAACATGAGGTGTTTGGTTTTCTGTTCTTGTGTTAGTTTGCTGAGAATGATGGTTTCCAGCTTCATCCATGTCCCTGCAAAGGGCATGAACTCACCCTTTTTAATGGCTGCATAGTATTCCATGGTGTATATGTGCCACATTTTCTTTATCCACTCTATCTTTGATGGACATTTGGGTTGGTTCCAAGTCTTTGCTATAGTGAGTAGTGCTGTAATAAACACATGTGTGCATGTGTCTTTATAGCAGAATGATTTATAGTCCTTTGGGTATATACCCAGTAATGGGATTGCTGGGTCAAATGGTATCTCTAGTTCTAGGTCCCTGAGGAATCACCACACTGTCTTCCACAATGGTTGAACTAATTTACACTCCCACCAACAGCGTAAAAGCGTTCCTATTTCTCCACATCCTCTCCAGCATCTGTCATTTCCTGACTTTTTAATGATCGCCATTCTAACTGGCGTGAGATGGTATCTCACTGTAGTTTTGATTTGCATTTCTCTAATGACCAGTGATGATGAGCTTTTTTAAATATGTTTGTTGGCCGCATAAATGTCTTCTTTTGAGAAGTGTCTGTTCATATCCTTCACCCACTTTTTGATGGTTTTTTTTTCTTGTAAATTTAAGTTCTTTGTAGATTCTGGATATTAGCTCTTTGTCAGATAGATTGCAAGAATTTTCTCCCATTCTGTAGGCTGCCTGTTCACTCTGATGATAGTGCCTTTTGCTGTGCAGAAACTCTTTAGTTTAATTAGATCCCATGTGTCAATTTTGGCTTTTGCTGCCATTGCTTCTGGTGTTTTAGATATGAAGTCTTTGCCCATGCCTACGTCCTGAATGGTATTGCCTAGGTTTTCTTCTAGGATTTTTATGGTTTTAGGTTTTACGTTTTAAGTCTTTAATCCATCTTGAGATAATTTTTGTATAAGGTATAACGAAAGGGTCCAGTTTCAGTTTTCTGCATATGGCTAGCCAGTTTTCCCAACATCATTTATTAAATAGGGAATCCTTTCTGCATTGCTTGTTTTTGTCAGGTTTGTCAAAAGATCAGATGGCTGTAGATGTGTGGTGTTATTTCTGAGGCCTCACTTCTGTTCTATTGGTTTATGTATCTGTTTTGGTACCAGTACCATGCTGTTGTGGTTACTGCAGCCTTGCAGAATAATTTGAAGTCAGGTAGCATGATGCCTCTAGCCTTGTTCTTTTTGCTTAGAGTTGTCTTGGCTACGTGGGTTCTTTTTTCGTTCCATATGAAGTTTAAAGTAGTTTTTTTCAATTCTGTGAAGAAAAGTCAATAGTAGCTTGATGGGGACAGCATTGAATCTATAAATTACTTTGGGCAGTATGGCCATTTTCACGATATTGATTCTTCCTATCCATAAGCATGGAAAGTTTTTCCATTTGTTTGTGTCCTCTCTTAATTTCCTTGAGCAGTGGTTTGTAGTTCTTCTTGAAGACGTCCTTCATATCCCTTGTAAGTTGGATTCCTAGGTATTTTGTTCTCTTTGTAGCAATTGTGAATGGGAGTTACTCATGATTTGGCTGTCTGTTATTAGCGTATAGGAACGCTTGTGATTTTTGCACAGTGAAGTATCCTGAGACTTTGCTGAAGTTGCTTATCAGCTTAAGGATATTTTGAGCTGAGATGATGGGGTTTTGTAAATATACCATCATTTCATCTGCGAACAGAGACAACTTGACTTCCTCCTTTCCTATTTGAATACTCTTTATTTCTTTCTCTTGCCTGACTGCCCTGGCCAGAACTTCCAATACTGTGTTGAATAGGGGTGGTGAGACAAGGCATCCTTGTCTTGTGCCAGTTTTCAAAGGGAATGCTTCCAGTTTTTGCCCATTCAGCTTGATAGTCGCTGTTGGTTTGTCATAAATAGCTCTTATTAGTTTGAGATATGTTCCATCAATACCTAATTTATTGACAGTTTTTAGCATGAAGGGGTGTTGAATTTTGTCGAAGGCCTTTTCTGCATCTATTGAGATAGTCATGTGGTTTTTGTCGTTGGTTCTGTTTATGTGATGGATTACGTTTATTGATTTGCATACGTTGAACCAGCCTTACATCCTAGGGATGAAGCCAACTTGATCGTGGTAGATAAGCCTTTTGGTGTGGTGCTGGATTTGGTTTGCCAGATTTTATTGAGGCTTCTCGCATCGATGTTCATTAGGGATATTTGCCTGAAATTTTCTTTTTTTGATGTGTCTCTGCCAGGTTTTGGATCAGACGATGTTGGCCTCATAAAATGAGTTAAGGAGGATTCTCTCTTTTTCTATTGATTGGAATAGTTTCAGAAGGAATGGTACCAGCTCCTCTTTGTACCTCTGGTTGAATTTGGTTGTGAATCTGTCTGGTCTTGGACTTTTTTTGGTTGGTAGGCTATTAATCACTGCCTCAATTTCAGAACTTGTTATTGGTCTATTCAGGGATTCGACTCCTTCCTGATTTAGACTTAGGAGGGTGTATGTGTCCAAGAATTTATCCATTTCTTCTAGGTTTTCTAGTTTATTTGCGTAGAGGTGTTTATAGTATTCTCTGATGGTAGTTTTTTATTTCTGTCAGATAAATGGTGATATCCCCTTTATCATTTTTTATTGCATCGATTTGATTCTTCTCTCTTTTCTTCTTTATTAGTCTGGCTAGTGATTTATTTTGTTGGTCTTTTCAAAAACACAGCTCCTGGATTCATTGATTTTTTGAAGGGTTTTTTGTGTCTCTATCTCCTTCAGTTCTGCTCTGATCTTAGTTATTTCTTATCTTCTGCTAGATTTTGAATTTGTTTGCTTTTGCTTCTCTAGTTCTTTTAATTTTGATGTTATGGTGTCGATTCTAGATCTTTCCTGCTTTCTCTTGTGAGCATTTAGTGCTATAAATTTCCCTCTGCACATTGCTTTAAATGTGTCCCGGAGATTCTGGTACATTGTGTCTTCGTTCTCATTGGTTTCAAAGAACATCTTTTTTCTGCCTTCATTTCATTATTTACCCAGTAGTCATTCAGGAGCAGGTTGTTCAACTTCCCTGTAGTTGTGCAGTTTTAAGTGAGTTTCTTAATCCTGAGTTCGAATTTGATTGCACTGTGATCTGAGAAACTGTTATGATTTCTGTTATTTTGCATATGTTGAGGAGTGTTTTCCTTCCAATTATGTGGTCAATTTTAGAATAAGTGTGATCTGGTGCTGAGAAGAATGTATATTCTGTTGATTAGGGGTGGAGAGTTCTGCAGATGTCTATTAGGTTTGCTTGGTCCAGAGCTGAGTTCAGGTCCTGAATATCCTTGTTAATTTTCTGTCTCGTTGATCTGTCGAATATTGGCAGTGGATGTTAAAGTCTCCCACTATTATTGTGTGGGAGTTTAAGTCTCTTTGTAGGTCTCTAAGAACTTGCTTTATGAATCTGGGTGCTCCTGTATTGGGTGCATATATATTTAGGATAGTTAGCTCTTCTTGTTGCATTGATCCCTTTACCATTATGTAATGCCCTTCTTTGTCTCTTTTGATCTTTGTTGGTTTCAAGTCTGTTTCATCAGAGACTAGGATTGTAACCCCTGCTGAAAAGGAGTATTCTTGTGCCATTGAATTACCTTGACACATCTGGACAAGAAGTTTTAAACTTGATCTTCAAAACATGTAGTTTAAATCTTCTGATGTTTTTCTTTTTAAAACTTGTTTGGTCTATTCTAGATGCTTAACGTTTTCCATCTAATCTTGAAAAGCAGCTTATCAATTTCTAAAAAAAAAAATTGTCTGTTGAAATTTCTATTGGAATTGCTTAATCTAAAACTGATCTGGGGAGAATTATCATCTTCACAGTCTTCTAATCCATGAACGCGGAATCTTTCTCAATATATCTAGGAGTTCTTTAATTACTCTATATTACAGTTTTCAGTGTACAGGTCTCAACATTTTTTTTGTTAAATTTATCCCAAAGTATGCAGTGATTTATGCCATTGTAAATCACATTTTTCTACAACATTTTATTTTTGTATTTGTTATGAAGAAATCAGTTACTTCTGATTACTGACTGTATTACTTTTTGGTATATTCCTTAGGACTTTCTATGCACACAATCACATGGTTTGTAGACAAAATCCTTTTTGTTTTTCCTTTCCAATCTGATGGCTCTTATTTCTGTTTCTTGTCTTAATGTAATGACTACCACATCCAGTACAATGTTTAATGTAAGTGATGAAAGTGGACATCCTTGCCACTTTCCCAATCTTAGAAAGAAAGCATTCAATCTTTTACCATTAATACCATGTTAACTGTTACTTTTCCATAGATACTCTTTATCAGGTTAAAGACATTCTTCTCTATTCTTAATGTGCTGAACAGATGCTGAATGTTGTCACAGGCTTTTTCTACATCTATTCAAATAATTACAAAGGCGTTTAAAATTTTGTTAACAAGAAAAATTATATTGTTTTCAAATAATAATCTTGCATTCCTAGGATAAAACCCTGTTGGCCATGATGCATTACCCTGTTATCACGTTTCTGGATTTGATTTGCTAATATTCTGTTAGAGATTTCTGAATATATGTTTGAAGAGATGTCGCTTCTAGCTTTCTTTAATGCCTGCAATAATCACCTCATAAAACGTGTAAGGAAGGACATTCTATTCCTCTTTTCTAAAAGCGTTTATGTAAGACTAGTAATTTTTCACTAGGTGTCTGATCGAATTTACCAGTTTAGTCATATGAGCCTGCAGTTTTCTTTGTGGAAAGGTTTAAAACTGTAAATTCTATGTCTTTAACAGATATTTAAAAACTAATTTTCTAATTCTCTCTTGGTTAGTTTTAATAATTTGTATCTTTCAAGTATTTGACCACTTCATCTAAATTGCTGAATTTGAGAATGAAGGGATTCATAATTTCTCTTATTCTTTGAATGTTTATAAGATCTGTAGTGATATCCCCTATTTCATTACTGATTTTTTTTGTCTGCCTTTCTTAACCAATCTAGCTACATTCAAAGAATCAGTTTTAGTTTACATTGATTTTTTTTCACTTTCTATTTAATTGATTTCTAGTATATCCTTTATTTTCTTCTATTTAAAGCTGATGCTCTATGTCTTAAACTGGAAATGTAAATTGTTCATTATAAAATTTTTCTTCTATCTGATATAAACTTTTAAAGCTATAAATGTCTATTTAAATACTGCTTTGGCTAAATTCCAGAAAACTTGGTATGTTGTTCTATGAATTGAATTCTCCCCCACCCCACCCGCTACCTCCAAAATTCACATATTGAAGCCCTAATCCCCACTATGACTATTATGTGGAGACAGGGTCTATAAGCAGGCAATTAAGGTTAAATGAGGTTATAATGGTGGGGGCCCTAATATAATGGGATTAGTATCCTTACAAAAAGAGACACCAGAAAGCCCCCATGCACACATGTGCACAAAGAGGGCATGTGAGTTACACAGTGGAATGGCTGCCACCTACAAGCTAGGAAAACAGGTCTCAGTGTAAAGTGACTACGCTGACACCTGATTTCAGACTTCCAGATTCCAAACTGTGAGAAAATAAATGTCTATTGTTTAAGCCACCCAGTTTATGGTATTTTGTTATGGCAGTCTAGCCCAAGCAGACTAAGATATGTTGTACTTTTGTTTTCAAAGCATTTTCTAATATCCCTTATGATTTCTTTCTTAACCCATGAGTATTGAAAAGCTTCTGGTTTAATTTCTAATTATAAAATATCTGGATTTTCATTGTTACTGATTTCTAATTTAATTTTGCTATAATCAGAGAGTATAATCTATATAATCTGCTCTTGGTGGATGTAGTGTTTAATAAATACCTATTAGGTCAAGTTACTTAATAGTGTTCTTCAAATCTACACCCTTGCTGATTTTCCATCTATTTTATCAGTTACTAACAGATGAATGTTGAAATCTTCCCTTAGTTTTATTCATTTTTTTCCTTCACGTACTTTAAAGCTCCAATATTAGAATCTGGGATTGTTGTATCTACCTGGGGAACTGTCTCCTTCATAATTGTAAAATGTCCTTCTTTATCTCTGATAATATTCCCTGTCCTAAAGTCTACTTTGTCTGAGAGTAACATAACCATCCCAGCATTTTAAAGATTAGTGTTTACTTGTTTTCCTAGGTCTTTTTACATTTAACCTACTTGCATACTTACGAAGAAGTGTATTTCTTCAAAATCAAGACTACTGATGAACAGGAGAAGACACTTGCAAAATAGGACTAATATCTCCAATATATAAAGAACTCTTAACTGAATCAGAAAAAATTAAAAGCACTATAGAAAAATGGGTAGAACAGTTATGAAGAGACAACATCAAGAGACAAATATAAGCATGGCTCTTAAATACCAGGAGATGGTTAACCTCACACATAATTAAAGACAAACTAAAACTACACTGTGATAAAATTTCTGACCTATCAGATCAGCAAAAATAAAAAATGTAACACATTCTGTTGGAAAGGATGTGGGAAACAGGCACTTTTTTTCACCAATGAGGGAATGCAAGGTGGCACAGACCTTGAAGGAGAATCTGTCAATGCTTAATGAAACAATGTCAGCATTTACTTTTGACTCACCAACCCCACTTCCAGGAATTTATCCTACACATAAACTTTATATCTATCCCTTTCCCTATTTGACAAGTGAAAACTGTATATATTTATGATGTACAACATATTTTAAAATATGTACACATTGTAGAATGGCTACATTGAGCTAATGCATGCATTACCTCACATAGTTGTCTTTTATGGTAAGAACACAAAATCTACTCTCTCAGCAATTTTCAAGTACACAATACGGATGCTTCTTGACTTATGATGAGGTGACATACCAATAAATCCATCATAAGTTGAAAATCACAAGTCAAAAATGTATTTAATACACCAACTTACTTTTAAGGTAGCCTAGTCTCCCCTTAAACATGCTCAGAACACTTACATTAGACTACTGTTGGGCAAAGTCATCTGGTAACATGGTACAGGTAGAGTATCAGTCGTTTACTCTCTGAATTGTGTGGCTGACTGAAAGCTGCAAGAGTATTGTACAGCTAGCCCAGGAAAGATCAAAATTCAAAATGTGAAATACTGTTTCTACTGAACATATACTGTGCTTTGGCACCATCATAAAGTCCAAAAACTGCTAAGCTGAACTTACACCTTCTAACTGAAATTTTGTGTCTTTTGACTAACATCTCTCAAATCTCCCTGGTCCCCACCCTCAAGCTCTGGTAACCACCATTCTACTCTCTGCTTCTATATTCTCCATTTAAGTGAGATCATGCATTATTCATCTTTCTGTACTTGGCTTATCACATTTAACATAATGTCCTCCAAGTTCATCCATGTTGTCATAAATGACAGGATTTCCTTATTTTTTAAGGCTTAACAGTATTCCACTATATATGTGTGGAATACTATTAAGAATCCACACAGACACACACACATACACCCCCACATTTTCATTATCCACGTGTCCACTGATGAACACTTAGGTTGATTCCTCCCTGTCTTGGCTATTGTGAATAATGCTTCAATGAACATGAGAATGCAGCTATCTCTTTGACATAATTATTTCATTTCTCTTGTATATATACCTAGTTATGAATTTGCTGGATCACATAGCAGTTCTATTTTTAATTTTTTTTAGCAACTGCCACACTGTTTTCCATAATACCTATACTAATTTACATTCCCACCAACAGTGAACCAGGGTTCCCTTTTCTACACATTCTTGGTCAATATTTGTTATCTTTTGTCTTTTTGATGACAGCCTTTCTAACAGGTGTGAGATGATAATGCATCTTTGTTTTGATTAGCATTCCTGATGACTGGCCATGCAGAGCATTTCTTCATATAACCGTTAGTCATTTCTAAACATATACATTCAACAATACAAATTACAGCTACACTTATCTTTTGATTGAGCAATTCAAGTTGTAGGAATTTACCCTGAATATAACCTTCAAAAATATGAAAATACATACACAAGAGATTATTCTTTGAAGCACTGTTTGCAATTGCAAAATACGGGAAACAAATGAAATGCTCATATATAGGACAGTGGGTAAAAAAATAATGGCACAAAAGTAAATTTTTTAAATGGGGATATTTTTGTTGCTTATGCTTTTGAGATCTTAGCCCTAAAATCTTAGCCTACATCAATGTCTTGGAACATTTCCTCTACGTTTTCTTCAAGTAGTTTTATAGTTTCGGGTCTTAGATATAAGTCTTTAATCCATTTTGAGTTGATTTTTGTATATGGTGAGAGATAAGAGTTGACCCAGCAATTCCACTACTGGCTATTTATCCAAAGGGAAAGAAATCAGTATTTCAAAGATACACCTGCAACCCCAGGTTTACCGTAGCACTATTCACAGTAGCAAAGATATGAAATCAACCTAAGTGTCCATCAATGGATGAACAAAGAAAATAGGTATATATTAAACACAATGGAATATTATTCAGCCATAAAAAACAATAAAATCCTGTTATTTTCAGCAACATAGATGGAACTGGAGTTTATGTTAAGTGAAACAGGCAAGGCACTGAAAAGCAAATATTGCATGTTCTGACTTATAGAAGGGAGCTAAAAAAGTTTATCTTGTGAAGGTAAAGAGTAGAATGACAGTCACCAGAGGCTGGGAAGCATTTGCTTTTTGGTGTGAGAGGGAGGATGAAGAGAGGTAGGCTACTGGGCTCAAGTATACAGTTATTAACAGACAGAAGGAATAAGCCCTAGTTTTTAACAGCAGGGCAGAGTGACTATAGTTAGCAACCATATATTGCATATTTCAAAGTCACTAGAAGAGAAGATTGGAAATGTTCCTAACACAAAGAAATGATAAATGTTCAAGGTGATGCATATCCTAAACACCCTGATTTGATCATTACACAGTCTATGCATGTATCAAACTATCACATGTACCCCATCAATATGTATTATGCAATAATAAAAAAAAATTTTAAAGTAGAGTAAAAATCCTAAATGGGATACAGAGAGAAACAAATAAACTAAACTTCATTTAAAATGTACAACACAGATGGGTGTGGGGGTGGGAGAAGGATGAAGAGAAAGATGAAGAACATTATAACCCATGTAAATTTAGAATACAGTATTTTGACAATATACACTCAGACTAAAGAAAAAACATGAACTCTAAACACCGTACTCTTTTTTTATGGCTGTAACAGTTAACAATTTTGAAACTAATTTATCTGTATTCTAGGATTGAACAAATCAATACACTTACTGTAGACAGATAACTGGAGCCAGATTTCTCATTGTTGGAGAATGGACAGAAACAGAATAGACAGAACACTGGTTTTGTATCAAAATTGGAGGCATCAGTAACTCACGGTTTTTAATATACACAGATACAAGAATAGGAATATGTTTGTGTATACTGTACATATTTATACACATAAACATAAACATTTTCTTCCTTTTACTAAGAGTCTAGAGATAATGACACCTCACTAATAATGACACCACTTGTGATGGTTAATACTGAGTGTTAACTTGATTAGATTGAAGGATATGATACAAAGTATTAATCCTGGGTGTGTCTGTGTGGGTGTTGCCAAAAAGAGATTAACATCTGAGTCAGTGGGCTGGGGAAGGCAGATCCACCCTTAATCTGGTGGGCACAATCTAATCAGCTTCCAGCAAATATAAAGCAGGCAGGAAAACATGAAAAGAGAGATGGGCCTAGCCTCCAAGCCTACATCTTTCTCCTGTGCTGGATGGTTCTCGCCCTTGAACGCTGGACTCCCAAGTTCTTCAGTTTGGGACTCAGACTGGCTCTCCTTGCTCCTCAGCTTGCAGACGGCCTATTGTGGGACCTTGTGATCGTGTAAATTAATACTTAATAAATTCCCCTTTATATATTTATCCTAACAGTTCTGTCCCTCTAAGAGAATCCTAATACATTACAGTAGCAATGAGTACACATGGCACATAAAGATTAATTTTTCAATATTATCTTCCACTAAAATGAAGCAGGAGTCTTTCAAGAAATAGGTTGTTCCAGGGCTGTGGCAAGGAAATTACAAAACAAGCCTGGAACATCCTAACATACCAGAAAGTAAGAAGTGCTCAATGATTGCTGGGGACACGTAAATGACACAGAATAGACCTAACTAAGCACGTGCGATTTTTTTATGACAGCGCAAATGATGGTGAAATACCTGGATAAAAATGAACTGTGACCTCAATCTTAACTTCAATCAGAATGTCAACTAAGAAACATAGATTAAGTGTGATAGAATTTTTAGAAAACCCAGCCAGCGCAATAACTGTTCCAGGCAAGAATCATCAGTAGATTCTAAAACTAGTCAGAGTTTCATGTAAAACACAGTACTTGCATAGTCTCAAAGTACTTCTCTGCAAGACACTTATGAATTATAAGAGAAAAATGGAACAAAGAGACGCCAAGTGCTTCCTGATAGGATGCATTGGGAGAGACACAAACTTCAGTAATATTCCACCAAAAATGCAAATTCTGAATCAAATAATGAGTAAATATCAGAAAACTCTAGCTGGGTTTGTTTGTTTATTTATTTATTTATTTATTTTGAGAGGGAGTCTTGCCCAGGCTGGAGTGCAATGGCGCAATCTCGGCTCAATGCAACTTCCGCCTCCCGGGTTCAAGCAATTCTCCTGTCACAGCCTCCTGAGTAGCTGGGATTACAGGCGCATTTTGTATTTTAGTAGAGATGGGGTTTCACCGTGTTGCCCAAGCTGGTCTCGAACTCCTAAACTCAGGCAATCCACCGCCTCAGCTTCTCAAAGTGCTAGGATTACAGGCTGTGAGCCACCGTGCCCAGGCCCATCTGGGTTATTCTATAAAATAAACAGCATCTACTCTTCAAAAATGTCAAAGTTCTAAGAGAGTAAGAAAGACAAATCAATAGTTCTACATTAGAGACTAAAGAGAAGTGAAAATTAAATATGAGGGTCTGAACCCTGGACCCCAAATTTTTTAAAATAAAAGACGTTAATGGGACAATTTACAAAATTCCAATGAGGCCTCTAGATTAAACAGCAGTATGAGACAGTCTTAATTTCCTGAATTTGATGAGTATATGATGATCTCTAAAACAATGTTCATGTTTATAAGAAATATACACTGAAATATTTAGGGGTAAAATAGCATCATGTCTACAAATGATTTTCAAATGCTTCAGAAAAATTATAAATACATGTACATGTATGTATAAAAAGGTAGCTATGGGGAGGGAAGGAAAAGGAGAGAGTTAAAAAAGAGAGATTAGGAGTGATAAAGCAAATATGAAAAAACATTAACAAATGAGGAATTTGGGTCAAGAAGATATAAGAATTATTTGTACTATTTTTCCATCTTTTCTCTAAAATTATTTCAAAACAAAAGGTAAAATATTAAATACAAAATTAAAATAAAGTTCTTGTAGACAAAATATGCTTGGGTCTTGCTTTTTAAATATAATCTGACAATTGGTGTTGAAATTATTCATTTACTACGGTTTCTGATATGTTTGGGTTTAAGTCTGCCATATTGCCATTTGTTTTCTATTTTTCCCATCTGCTTTTTATTCCTCTTGTTCTGTTTATGCCTTCTTTTAGATCAACTGAGTATTCATTTAGTATTTCATTCTATCTTCGTGACTAGTTTATTGGCTATAGTTCTTTTTTTTTTTTTGATTTTAATGTTTCGTGTGGGGCTTATTTCATATTACCACAGTTTAACTTCAAATAATATTGTACTACTTTACATAACATCTAAGAACCTTACAACTCAATTCTTCCATGCAACCCTCCTGTCCTTTGTGCTGTTATCACATATGCAATGTATACATGTTATAAACAATCATTTTTGTTTTTAAAATGTTAGAAATTAACATTTTGTTAACCAGAAAACATTTTTTATATTTTTCCACATATTTTTGCCTTTTTGGTGGTCTTTGTTCTTCGTAGGATCCGTGTTTTCACCTCAAATGGTTAACTACCTTTAGCCTGTAACATTTCTTAAAAGTGCCAGTCTACTGCAAATTTTCTCAGTTTTGTCTGAAAATGTCTTCATTTTTTTTGAAGGATATTCCTGCTGGAAGCAGTGTTTTAGATTAGCGATTTTTTCTTTTGGTACTTTAAAAATGTCATTTCATTGGTTTTGGGGTGGCATTTGTCCTTGATGAACAACCAGCAGTCATTCCTATCTTTTGAACTACTATATTTAGTTTTCTTCCCTGGCTGTTTCTCTATTTATGACTGATTTTCGACAACTTGAATATTATCTGGCTTGGTGTGACTTTCTGTGTTACTCTTGCTTCAGGTTTATTAAAGTTCTTTGACAGCTCCTCCCTCTCCCAATTCCTAGGAACTCACTTAGACATGTGTTAGACTGCTTGCTACTACTGTACCAGAGGTCACCAAGGGTTTATTTGTTTTTTAGTCATTTTTCTCCCTGTGCTTCAGTTTAAATTACTGCTGTCACTGTCTTCAAACTCACTAAGCTTTTCTTTTGCAATGTCTAGGTTGTTCTTAATCCTATCCAGTGAAATACTCATTTCAGAAACAACATTTTTCAACTCTAGAGGCTTCATTTGTTTCTTTTTCATACTGTCCATTTTCCCTCATTATGTTCATGTCTTCCTTTAAATTGCTGAACACATAAAATTGATGTATTAAATTCTCTGTAGAGGAACAGGCATCACCTGGATGCCACCGGCCCTCCTCAAGATAAGCCTCTGTAGCACAAAGCCTGTAGAAAATGAGATCTGCCAATATCCTCTGGCCGTTAAACACACCCAAATACCTCTGGAGGATATTGGAGACACCACTTCTGATGAGGTTATAAAGCATATGTGTTGATGAAATGACAAAATGCAATCTACTCTAAAAGAAAGCTGTGCTTTTGAAGAGGGTCTTATAAACGGATGCTGTAAGCCTCTCAGGGTTTAGTTGTAAGGGGTATCAAGACACCTAAGGTATATGTTAGTGGTCCATATGGTTATCAGTCTTTCATCAGCATCAAAACAGTCTGCCAGGCCCAAGTCTGCAAGCCCTTGATCCTAGACTTCTGAGCCTCTAGAACTGTGAGAAATAAATGTCTGTTGTTTAAGCCACTCAGTCTATGGTATTTTGTTATAGCATCCTGGACTCACTAAGACATGTTTTAGGGCTTAACCCAGTCCCATACCCAATCTGCATACTAATTTGAATTAAATATTTACCCAACTCATGATCCTGGTCACACACACACAAAATGTAAAATGTGACAGTTGTAAATTCTGTCTACAAACCTAATATTCCTGTCATCAGTAGGTACGGAGCTCTTTCTCCCCACCCTTATCTTGAATCTAGGCCAATCTAAGTGACTTGCTGACTAATAGCATATGGCAGCAGAAGTAATATTATGACTTCCAAGGGCAGATTAAGGTGATACAGCTTTCACTAGTTTCCTCTGGGACATTCACTCTTGGAGTCCAGCCATCATACTAGGAGGAAGCCCAAACTAGCCCATGTGAAGGCCACACAAAGAGGCCTACATATAGGCATTCTAGTTGAGAGCTCAGCTGAGGTCCCAGCTAGAAACTAGCATCAACATGTAATGAACATGCCTCCAGCTCCCAGCCATCAAGTCATTTCCAACTCTGAAATCTCCCCAGCTGAGTCCCCAGATCATGGAGAAGAGACAAGCTGTCTTTGCTGTCCCCTGCCTGAATTTCTGACAGAGTTTGAGAGCATCATAAAATGGTTATTTTATGCCACTAACTTTTAGATAGAAGTAGATAATAGATAAGTAGAGCATGAGATGAGAATATAATTATGTACTGATGTCAATTCTTCATTATACTAGGAAAATACTTAAAGCCCAAATTTTGATCACGAATGAACATCCTCATCTTCGTAAATGTAGTGCAGTCTAATTCCACAGCTAATTTCCTAATTGCTGGAATAAAGAATCAAGGAAGAATCACAAGATAACATATATGTTTTTCTCACCATTATTTTGGCTCTAGATGTGGTTAGAGAGTTCTAGGGTTCTTAGATGGTCCAGCCAAGGAGGAATCAGGCTAAACATGCAGTGGTTTGGAGACAACCCATGCCAGTGTTAAATATTTGGGCAAGATTCACAGACAGGGCAGGTCCCAACAGGGCATATAATATTAGAGAGAATGACAGAACAATGGGGGAAAAGGGCCATGTTACTGCAGAGATGAAAGAGTAAAAAGAGAAAAAATAGTGAATACTAAAGAATTTTCATTATTTATGAGGTAAGAAGTTTTAATTGTCCTCCTAATAGTCTGAATATTTTATATTTCTCTCTCAAAGCAAAATTCTTTGTTGATGCAGTCTGCATTTCGCTAGTCTGGAGACATTCATAGATGTACTTTAAACATGAAGGCCTAGGAGGAACAAATGCTTCCCTGTTCCTGCTACATCAGAATGGAAACTGCAGTGATGACAGCAAGGGTGGGGACACCTTCTGTTGCCATAGCCACTTTGGTAGCTAAGTGTCTGATTTCAGTGGATAGTAATAATTTTTAAGGATAAATTTGCCTTGCTGTCATTTAAGGAATAAATATACTGACAGAATAAAACATACTTCTAAAAACACACACTGTAAAATAACTGGGTTCTTAAATCCATGATGTGGGCTCCTTACCTGAAAGCCCTATTGACACCACTGCCAGCCGTTCAATTGTTACTAAAGGGCGCTCACTAGAACAGGTACTGGTGCCTGACTAGTTGTTTCTGGCAAACAGGAAGAGCAACTATACCATTACGCTGAATCTTCTAAGCTAACTTCCTTTACATCTATGGTCCTCCGGGGAGCAATCATTAAGGGCTGGGAGTGAACACAAAATAGCTGCTGGAGGGACTGTTTTATCCAACTCAAAGAAAGCTCTCTCTCACCTTTAGGCACCAGAACAGACTTTCACCGCATATAGAAAGAGAATCAGCACAGTATGTCTCTTTACAGATGTGAGAAGGTATCAAAAGACCAAATAATTTGGTTGTGAGGAGGCAGGAAAAGTGTCTCCAAATTCACATGCATGTACCTATTTTCCTTAACACCTGAGGTAAAACCATCCCCCTGTTATCACAGGGAAGCTGTATTTAAAAGCGGTCTCTCCAAGTCACAAGACTGGGTTTCGCAGGTCTGAGATCCTTCTCTGGGGGCCTGCGGGCAGACCCCTGGTAACTGGGGGCAGCAGTGGTCAGTACATCAAAAGCAGGGATAGCCACAAGAGAAGCCTCTAAGGAGTTACACAGCTGATCATCTCACAAAGCAAGGGGAGTTTCAGCTGAGTAACAGCCCTTCGTACACGACAGGGGAGGCATGCTACACAATTGCATGATGTGCACATTCAAACTTAAACCTGGTTTCCCACACACAACACTTAGAAATAATCATATAATGTGATTTACAATTTGCTATTCCTTCTTCACCAAAATGAGCAAGGGGAAAGAGGAGGGAGAACCACAGGAATCCCCCAGAAGGAACCGAAAGTATGTTAATTATCTTATTAAATATACTTACCTTTTCTGCTGATATGAACTGAGTCCAAGTGTTGTCTCGGTCTGTAAAAGGAATAAAATAATGATTAAAAAACTGAAGCCAAATATTTATATTACAGACATATGGAATATCCAAAATATTCTATTTTAGTTTCAACATTCATTTTATACCCATTTGGATTTTAAGGTTAAACCTGGTCTCCAAATCACATACAATGACTAGATCAAATTGTAAACACACATGAAGTAACAGAAAGTAATGCGATGGATTTTTAAAAGTGTGCCAAACCGACACATCCTGAGAACAGCCCCTTTGACAATCACTTTGTGAGGCTGCTGTGCCTCGGACTGTTCCCTGCTCACTAACTGCTTGCCAGGTGCTGGTGGTAATGATTCCCACTGTCATGGAACTCAAGGTACAGTGGGTGGTGTGTGTGAGGGAGATAGTCATTTAAAAATACATATTTATATACTGAAATAGGATTATCAAAATATTGAAAAGGTGCTGTGAACAGGAATAAATAGTTGCCATACTTAAACACATCATGAAGGAAGGCCTGTCTGAAGAGACAATATTTACATAAAAACCTGAAGGATTAAAAAAAGCAGTGTGGCAGTGGGATGGATGGTGGTAGAGAAAACAGCACATGTGAAGGCCCTCATAGAGAGCAGAGGTTGGTATGTTCAAGAAACAGATGGCAGGTCTCTCTGCTGGAGCTGGGAGAGAAGGAGAAAATGAGACTGGAGGGCTAAGCAGAGGCCAGATAATGCTCTGCCTTGTAAGGAAGTCATGGGAAGAAGTTTGGTCTACTTTAGGTTTTAAAGATAAGGAAGATGAGAAAAAGTAGGAAGTTGGAGGCAACAGCTGTAGTTCAGGTGATGAAGAAATGGAAGTTCTTATTGATGTACGAGAAAATGCCAATGCTATAAGGAATACCATCAGTGAACTTATCCCAAAAGGTTATCTGCTACATCAAAATGAGAAAAAACAGCATTATTTTTTCCCAATAATATATATTATTTTGAAATAGTATTTTGGAGACTGTTTATGCAGAAAATGTGGCAGATGTAGAAAACTGTCCTAATTTTTTCAAGATGCGTACTAGGTAAAGTGTAAGGGTGTCCTTAATTTTCTTTGAGATGTCTTGGCAAAATAATTTGTGTGTGTGGGGAGGTGTATGGATAAAGCAAACACAGCAAAATGGTAATAACCGTTGAGTCTGGGTGGTAAATGAGTTGGTATTGGTTGAGCTCTTCTATTTTCTGTAAAGAAAAATTTCTTTAACTTTTTATTATGAAAATTACATCTATTCCCCATGCAGTGGGAGAAAATATTTATAAATCAAATATCTGATGAGATTAATATCTAGAATATATCAAGAACTCCTGCAACTCAATAACAGAAGAACAACCAAACTAAAAGGTGGGCAAAGGACTCAAACATTTCTCCAAAGAAAATACACAAATGGCCAGTAGGCACTTTAAAAGATGCTCAACATCACTAACCATTAGGGAAATGCAAATCAAAACCACAATGATACCACTTCATACCTGTTTGGATGACTACTATTTAAAATTTTAAAAAGAAAATAAGGATCTTTGGCAAGGATGTGGTGAAACTGGAACCTTTGTGCACTGTTAGTGTGAATATTAAAATGGTGTAGCCACTATGGAAAACAGTATTGTGGTTCCCAAAAAAATTAAACATAGAATTACCATACGACCCGCAATCCCACTTCTGTGTATATACCCTAAAGAACTGAAAACAGGGGCTCAAAAAGATACTGCATGAACCCACATTCACAGCAGTATTATTCACAACCATTAAGGGGTAGAAGCAACCCAAATGCCCATTGACAGGTGAACAGATAAACAAAATGTGATTTATACATACAAGGGAATACGATCCAGTCTTAAAGAGGAAGAAAATTCTGACACATGCCACAACAATGTAAAAGCGTTCCTATTTCTCCACATCCTCCCCAGCATCTGTCGTTTCCTGACTTTTTAATGATTGCCATTCTAACCGGTGTGAGATGGTATCTCATTGTGGTTTTGATTTGCATTTCTCTAATGACCAGTGATGATGAGTTTTTTTTTCTTATGTTTGTTGGCTGCATAAATGTCATTATTTCTGAGGCCTTTGTTCTGTTCCATTGGTCTACATACCTGTTTTGGTACCAGTACCATGTTGTTTTGGTTACTATAGCCTTGTAGTATAGTTTGAAGCCAATTTCTTACAAAGTTAAACATACACCTACCATATGACCAAATCACTCCACTCCTAGATATATGCCCAAGAGAAACAAAAGCATTTGTCCGTACAATGAATGGCTTGTACATAAATGTTCGTAGCAGCTTTGTTACAGCTCAGTATTGGAACAGCCCAAATTTCCACCAGCCCAAACTTCCACGTATCCAGGTGAACAGACACATGAGTTGTGTTATATCCGTACAATGGAATACGACTCAGCAATAAAAAGAATAAGCTATTGATATACAAAACAACACAGATTAATCTCAAAATAATTATGCTGAGTGGAACAACCCAGACCCTCAAAAAAGTACATTCTGTATGACTCCATTTATATAAAGTGTTTTAAAATGTAAACTTCCTGACAGTGACAGAAAGCAGACTGGTGGTTGCCTAAAGATAAGGAGCGTAAAGGGATTACCAAGGGGCACAAGTAGACTTTTAAGGGTGACACGTATGTCCATTATCTTGATTGTAGTAATAATTTCACAGGTACATAATTATGCCAACTTTTTAAATTACATAATTTAAACACATGCAGTTTATTGTATGTCATTTATACATCAATAATGGTTATGACAGAATTCTAGAGCATGAGAAGCTATGGTCTCACATGAAGTCTACAGAAAAGGAACTCAGGACGTGTATCACTCATGTGCACTTTCTTGAGGAGAAAAAAATTATCATGAAGACAGAATCTGACCACTGAAATTACTCATACGAAGACTCACAAATGAGGAAGCTGTCTTGTGAAAGATAAGCAGATACTCAATGCAAAGGATCTGTGGAAATAAAGTTAGAAAATCAGAAAATAAATATTGTTTTTGAAGTATATGCCACAAAACAGAAAAATAATCATTTAACTGTAATAAACAAGAATAAAAATCTCAGAACATGCCAACACATCCTTAAGTGTTATGAGAATAAGGAAGATCACAATAGACACTATTTTGTTTCTGAAGCAATTTGAGAAATAAAGGCATAAACATATCTTAAAAGTATATCTGAAAATTGAGCCCCATTATCAAGAGATTAAAAACAAAACAAAAGCCAATATGAATGCATAAAAAGCAGATGGAAAAGATTAAACACATCTACAGTGAGACTAAATAAGATAAACTCAACTGTTTATATAAAGACAAAAGGATTGCATCAAACAACTGGAACCTAACTATAACAATTTAATACAAAATGCAGAAATGTCAAAGGTCAGAGAATGGGCAAAAATAAACACTGAATAAGGATAAAAACAGGCAAATAAGGATTACAACATTAATAACTTTACAATGTAAAGATACATAAAAACTGTTATAATTCGACAGTGAAAAGGAAAAAAGGAAATGGGAAAACCAATGTTGTGACTGAAATGTAAGCAAAGGGCAAGAAGACAATTCACTAAAGAAAAATAAATGGCCAATAACCATATGAAAAAGATGATCAACCTCAGTAGACAGTAAAGCAATCTCTAGAGGACAGGGAAATTCCATAGTTTGCCATTTGACTGGCAGGGACCTTTGAACCTCATGAATTCACATCCAGAGATAAGGGTCTATTAAGAGTACTCAGAGCCCTAGAAAATGCCCATGCCATGCATTTTTTTAATCTTCTATCAAATATAAGACACTCCTACAATGTTTCAAAGGCAATTTCACTGAATCACAGAAACTTTAGTGATTCTTAACTCACTGCAAATTCTCTTCACCACATCTCTTTAGAACAGACAAGATATAACAGGGGTGTTCTTTCACCTCAGGTGTTAAGGAAAATATGTATATGCATGTGAGTTTGGAGACACCTTTCCTACCTCCCCATCCCCAAATTCTTTGGTCTTTCGGTACCTTCCCACCCATGCTTCTGTCATACTTAAGGACTTCAGCTTCAACCTCGCTCCTCACTAGGGTGCAGATTCCAAATAATCTGAGCACAGCTTCTCTCAGAATGCACTCCCAACTCCAAAAGGGGATATGCGGGAGGAAAATGGACTCTTCTTCCAATCAAATAGACCAGCCTCGGCAAAAATATATGTGATATGCTTTAAAATATTATTAAATTCTTTTATAAAACGAACACATCTGATAATTTTATCCCTGTAACTCAGTGGTTCTCAACCGAGGGCAATTTTGTTTCCCTGGGGGAATTTGGCAACGTCCAGAAGCATTTCTCTGTGTGCGGGTTTTTATTAACACCAAAAAACATGCTGGACAAATTCTAAAAGAGTTAAAAAACTAAGAGGCATTTTTGTTTGTCGCAAATCAGGGGGCCACTAACATTAAGTGTGTAGAGTCCGGCCTGCTGCTAAACACCCGGTAATGCACAGGACGCTCTTTCTTCTACCCTACAACCAATTATCTGGTCCAAAACGTACACAGGCCAAGACTGAACATCGTACTACAACCTCAATTTTATAGAGATATCAATAATTTAGATGTTCATTTGTAATAACATCTCCTTGCCTTTTAATTCAAAGTGCGTTACTGTCTTAACTGTGTTTGTATTTCCAGTGGTCCTTGCAGTTCTTAACACACTGGAGATAAATACAGAATTCATTTTACAGATAAAGAAACTAAGCCTCTAAATGTTCTAAATTAGCAAATGGTAAGAGTTAGAATTCAAATCCTTCGATCTGGTCTAGTACTGCATTCATACAATAACCTATCCTTGACAGAACTGCATATGCCTAAAACCAACTTTTAGCTTACATGAGCTGAAGTTGGCTATATTATTGCTAACAAATTTTAAGATGGCCATACTTTTATACTGCATTATTGTTAAACAGAAGATTTAATCTTGTTAGAAAAATAAAATGAAATTCACTTCAGAATGAGGTACGTGGCAGTTGTGCACACGGCATGGATGCTTAGAAATAAGACAAGGTCTGCACACCCTAGAATTTAAGCTTCTTGATGGTACAGGCAGCACATGCACACAAACCCGTGGTACCAGGAAGCCACACCAGGCGCCATTTGAGTATTACTTACATACTGGGCAGCTTTCCCCAGGGATATACCTGGGAGCCAGTTTCCTTGCAGGCGATGAGACTATGCTTCTCTGTCACCTTTAGAGACAAAATTACATACTTCCTCCAGGACTGGGTTGGGGGAAGGTAGAGGATGAGGTCTGCTTTTGATTATGAAGATCTCAACATGTAATCCTACTTCTTATCAACCCAATCTCCCCCACAAAGTTCTCTGCAAATCATCTCATAGTGAAAATGGATGACATCTGTGAGGGAGTTTTAAGAATTTTTAACTCACAAAAGGGGTCTTTCCTGACTTTCTAATTGTTTTGCTTCCTGTGCTTCTCTGTGTGTATGTATTTTTAACATGAATTTTCACTGAGATAACTGTAGATTCACATGCAGTTGCAAGAAATAGTAAAAAGAGCTATATTTTAACTCAGTTTCCCCACTGTATCATTCTGCAAACACTATGGCATAACATCACAAGCAGCACAGCGACACTGGTACGATCCACCTGCCTTGTTCAGAAGGTCTCAGTTTTGTATGTCCTCATTTGTGTTTGTTCATGTATTTAGTTCTACACAATTTTCTCTGCTGTGTAGGTTCATGAACACCAGTCAAGACACAGAACAGTGTCAGCACCCTGAGAATCCAGTGTGTCGCTTTTATAATCACACTCATCTTCCTCCTGCCCTTCCCCCCAAGCCCTGGCAACCATTCCTCTATTATTCATGACTAAAATTTTTTCATTTTAAAAAGGTCATATAAATGAAATCATGCACATGTAACCTTTTGGAGTTGGCTTTTTTCACTCAGCCTAATTCTCTGGAGACTTACCCAGGTTGTTGTGTGTGCCAACACTTTATTCCTTTTTATTGCTGAGTTGTATTCCATGGTATGAACGTATCACTGTTTAACAGTACATCTACTGAAATACATCTGGGTTGTTTCCAGTTTGGGGCTATTATAAACAGAGCTGCTATGAACATTTATATACATGTTTTAATGCAAATATAAATTTTCATTTCTTTGGGAGAATCCCCAAGAGAGCAATTAGTAGGTCAATTATAGTAACCACATGTTTAGATTTATACGAAACTGCCAAACTGTTTTTTCCAGAGTAGCTGTATCACTCACATACCCTCTAGTAATGCATGCGTGATCCAGTTTCTCCACATCCTTGCCAGTATTTGGTGTTGTCACTGTTTTGTGTTTTGGGTTTTAATTTGCATTGCCTGGTGGCTAACAATGTTGAACAGGTTTTCATGTCGTTTTTACCATCTGTATTTCCCCTTCAGGGAAATGTGTGCTCATCTCTTTTCCCTGTTTCCTTTATTTTTATACTATTGAGTTTCGAGAGTTCTTTCTATATTCCAGAAACTAGGTCCATTGTCAGGTGTGTGACTTGCAAATATTTTCTCCTAGTCTATATTTATCTTTACATCTTCACATGGTCTTTTGCAGAGAAAGGTTTTGTTTGTTTGTTTTTGTGAGACCAGTCTGGCTCTGTTGCCCAGGCTGGAGTGCAGCAGTGTGATCATGGCTCACTGCAGGCTTGATGTCCCAGGCTCAAAAGATTCTCTGCTTCTGACTCCTGAGTAGCTGGGACTACAGGTGCACACCACCACACCTGGACAATTTTTTATTTATTTTATTTACTTACTTTTTATTTTACTAGAGACAAGGTCTCACTATGTTGCCTAAGCTGGTCTTAATTAAACTCCTGGGCTCAATGGCTCCTCTTCCCTTGGCCTCCCAAAGTGCTAGAATTACAGGCATGAGGTACTGCGTCTGGCCCAGAGCAAGTTTTAAATTCATCGATCTTTCCTTTATACATTGCACATCTGGTATTAATTCTTTGGTGTCAAGAACTCTTTGCCTAGCCCTGTAAGCTGAAGCTTTCCTCTTAGTTTTATTCTCCCTAAAGGTTTTATTATAGTTTTACATTAAGTCCATGATCCATTTTGAGTTAGTTTTTGTTTAAGGTGTGAGATCTTTCTATATTCAGACTTTGCATACCATTTTAGTATTCTGTGGTATTCTTTATTCCTAGTTTTTAAGGCTGTTTCTTATTTTATTTTAATAAAATAAAATTTTGCCTGTTGCCCAGGCTGGAATGCAGTGGAGTGATCTCAACTCACTGCAACCTCTGCCTCACGAGATCAAGCAATTCTCCTGCCTCAGCCTCCCAAGTAGCTGGGACTACAGGCATGTGCCAGCACGCCCAGCTAATTTTTTTTAATTTTTAGTAGAGATGGAGTTTCACCATGTTGGTCAGGCTGGTCTCAAACTCCTGACCTCAAATGATCCACCCGCCTCAGCCTCCCAAAGTACTGGGATTATAGGCGTGGGCCACGGCACCCAGCCTTAAGGCTGTTTCTGAACCCGCTATTTATTCTTCTTTTGTACCACTTATTGTACTACAATAGAGGGCAGGAAATAGTAGTAAAGGGAGAATCAAAATGAGGATGAAGTGGGGAGCAGGTATTTCTGAGAAGACTCAAAATTTAAAGTAGAAAATAAAAACCTGTGTGCAAACACCAGCTCTGCCCTCACTAGCCAAATACCCTTGGGGAAAGTCTGTAAAAGCAGCATTCTGCCAACTACAAGGAGCTGCAGAGCTGTTGGCCTCTGATGACGGCTTTCTAGTGTCCCACCCACTTCTCTCTTCAGCCACAGGTAATCAACTTGACATGACATGAAGTGGCTGTTTTGAGTACAAAATTAGTTGTAATATTGTAAAACTGATAATGTAGAGTGAGAAAATCTAGCTTTGTTTGCAGAGAGAAAAATAACTGAAAAAACAAAAAGCACTACCTTGTAGTACATTTAGGCAGTGGGATACAAGGGTAATGACCCCTGTTATTGCAGAGCGGTTAAAAACTTAGGCCTCAGAGTCAAATGCTTGGTTTTCAATTCTAGCTTTATCACTTAATAATCATTTATTTGGTTAGGTTAAACTCCCTGCACTTTAATATGCTCACCTGTAAAATGATCATAAAATGAATACCATCTCATGTATTTAAGAATTTAGAAGAGTACCTGACTTGTCAACACCCAATAAATATGACTTATATTTATTATTTTTTCACATTTTTCAAATTTTCTACAAGCTTATATTTCTTTTATAATAGAAGTCCTTTAATTTAAAACAAAAGATGAGTACTTCTAGGCCTCCTTACAAGTCAAAATCACAGCTCCTTCTCCATTTCCTTTTCTCCTGGGAGAACATTAAAGCCCATTTCCAAGACAATTTAGAAAAGAAGTTGGTAATCTATTAGCCCATGAGCCAAATCCAGTCTTCTGCCAGCTTTTGCAAATAAAGTTTTATGCCCATTTCTCACATACTGTTACGGCAGCTTTCACACTACGATGACCAAAGTTGAATAGTTGTGATAGAGACCATTCGGGACACAAACCCTGAAGTAGTTAATATCTGGTCCTTTACCGAAAAAGTTTGCCAACATCTGGCTTAGATCAACAGAAATAATGCCACAATATCTTATTTCCAGAATCATTAAGTCCCTACATAAGAAAATCTGTGACCTAAAAATCTAAGGCAATCTGGCATAGCATGTCCTCAAGAAAAATACAGACAATGTACAGTCCCACTAGTGAACTGCAGTACAATTCTGATGCTAACCATCTGCATTAGTCTGTTCTCACACTGCTAATAAAGACATACCCAAGACTGGGTAATTAATTCATAAAGAAAAGAGGTTTAACTGACTCACAGTTCTGCAGGGCTTGGGACGCCTCAGAAAACTAACAATCATGGCGGAAGGGGAAGCAAACATATTCTTCTTCACATGGCAGCAGCAAGAAGTGCTGAGCAAAGGGGGAAAAGCCCCTTATAAAACCACCAGATCTCATGAGAACTCACAATCACAAGAACAGCATGGGAGTAACCGCCGCCATGATTCAATTACCTCCCAGCAGGTTCTAGCAAGCTTCAGTATCCAGTTTCATCAGGTAGGTAAGGTATGGCTGATTCAATCACTGACCACCATGTGACCCAACTCACATTTCGGCTTCCCTAGAGGAGGGTGGGTTGGCTCAAAGCCCAACCCTCTAATCACATGATTGGTTTTTTTCTCTCTTTTTTTTTTTTTTCTTGAGACAGAATCTTGCTCTGTCACTGAGGCTGGAGTGCAGTGGCACGATCTCGGCTCACTACAACCTCCGCCTCCCGGGTTCAAGCAATTCTGTGTCAGCCTCCCGAGTAGCTGGGACTACAGGCGCATGCCACCATGCCTGGCTAATTTTTGTATTTTTAGTAGAGACGGGTTTTCACCATGTTGGTCACGCTGGTCTCGAACTCCTGACCACAGGCGATCCACCGGCCTCAGCCTCCCAAAGTGTTGGGATTACAGGTGTGATCCACTGCGCCCGGCCAACATGGTTGGTTTTTCTGATGACCAACCCCCATCTTGAGTATTCTCATTAGGTATAAACTCAGATGTGATCCAAGGGACTCATGAATAACAAAGACACTCTTATTATTAAGAAAATTCCAAGATTTAGAGCATCTTCAGGACCAGAGACAAAGACCAGATTACTGCACAACTAGCTATAAAATCTTCTTGCCAAGAAAAACAAATGAATTTAAACCTAATCAAGACTCTAGATTTAGCTAACAGTTTACAGAAAATTCACACCATAAGTGAATGTTAAATGACACCAAGAGGATGAAAATAACCAAACTGAGAATGTAGGAAATCCCACAGACAAATGAGCCAATTTCATTAACAACAACAACAACAAAAACAACAACAAAAAGGCGGGTGGGGGAAATAGCATAAAGGAGACTTAGGAGACATAGCAACCAAATGCAATGTGTAGACCTTGTCTCGATCCTGTTTTGGACAAACCAAATGCAAAAAGGCATTTCTGAAGCAGTGGAAGAAAACTGAACACAGACCAACCAAGTCTGATATGATATATCAAGCATTCTGGTTATCTACTGCTGCATAATAAAGCAGTCTAAGGTTTAGCGGCTTAAAACAATTTATTCTCACTTAAAGTCTCTTTTGTATTGCAGTTACATGTGATTTCAGGCAGCATTTGTCTGAAAGTTCAAATGTGTTGGTTGTCTAAGATGGCTCATTCACGTGATGGGAAAGTGATGCTGGCTGTCAGCTGGGAGCTCAGCTGGGACTGCTGACCAGAAGACTACATGTGGCCTTTCCATGTGGCTTAAGTTTCTCACATCACGGTGATTCACTTCCCAAAAGAAACGTTCCAAAACTGACAGACCCAGGTAGAAGTTGTCAAGCTTCATAAGATTTAGCCTTAGTGGTACCAAAATGTTCTGCCACAATGCATTAGTCAAAACATTATTATTATTGTTCTACAAAGTATACATTCATTTAGTTATCCACACACTTAAACATTTTTAATGTTCTTTATTCCTTTGCGTTTCTGAGCTTCTAAAATCATTTACCTTCAGCCTAAAGACTGTATTATTTCCTTTGGCACAAATTTTCTGGTGACAAATTCTCTCCATTCTTATCTATTTTAAAATGTCGATTTCACTTTCATTTGTAAAGGATATTTTCATTGGGTATAGAATTCTAGTTTGGCAAATTTTTTCAGTAAATTTTATTATATATTATTTTTGCCTCTCATTGTTTCAGTCTATAAGTCAGCTGTCAGGCTAATTCTACCTTCTTTGAAGGTCTCTCTTTTTCTCTAGTTGCTTTTAGAATGTATCTCTTTGGCTTTGACTTTTCTTTTTTTGAGATGGAGTTTCACCTTTGTTGCCCAGGCCGGAGTGCAATGGCACGATCTCAGCTCACTGCAACCTCCGTCTCCCGGGTTCAAGCGATACTCCTGCCTTAGCCTCCTGAGTAGCTGGGATTACAGGCATGTGCCACCATGCCTGGCTACTTTGGTATTTTTAGTAGAGACAGGGTTTCACCATATCGGTCAGGCTTGTCTCGAACTCCTGACCTCAAGTGATCCACCTGCCTCAGCCTCCCAAAGTACTGGGATTACAGGCATGAACTACTGCGCCCAGCCTGGCTTTGATTTCCAATATTTTTTCTATGAACAGCTCAGATCTCCCTACAAGGAAGAACTTGGCATTCAGTTGTGAAAAACACTGTTGGCTACCAGCCTCCACCTATGTACTCTGGGATCAACTGTGGCATTTGAGGTAAGGCCACGTTCTTCTTGGGCTCCTCCCAGACAATGAATGAGCACAGCAGGTATACTAGGGCCTGGCCAACTCTACCCAGTGCAGGATGCTTCCAATGGGCAATCTTTGCTCCAGAGCTCCCCACTGGGTTGGCCGAGATTCTGCATCACAGTCTGAGACTCTCCTTGCCCAATCCTGCTTTCTTTAGCTTATTTTTCACAGGCAGTAGCCCTCAATCTCTTGCACTCCTAATTCTGTCTCAGGATCTTGTTGAGAACTCAAACTGACATGTGATAAAGGCTATCTTGGGTGGGGGTGGCAAAGGGGGCAGTGAAGAAAAAATCGTATCTAACCGTGAAATATTGAATGTTGTATTTCTGAGATGAGGAAAGTGTCAAAGAGGACTACTAAATAGCACTGTATTAACATCATACTGGCTGTAGCTAGTAAAGTTAAGGTAAGAAAAAGAAAAGGTAGAATGTGTGACAGTTGATTTTGAGTGCCAAACTGAAGAAATGTCATCAAGCTCAGATGATAGTTTATGGAGGTTGTTCAAAAGCATCTACAGCTAAGTTATTAGAATCAATAAGTAATTTAGCAAGTTTTCAGGATACACAGCAAATATATTAAAAGCAACCACATTTCTACATTTTATGTTGAGTCGTATGAAATTGCCACTTTTATAGATCAATAAAGGCCGGGCATCAGCAATATGCTTCAACCTAATAATGACAAAAAGCGAACATTTTGAAAAAATGTCACTTACAGTAGTATTAAAAAATACCAAAGCCCCAGAAATAAATCTATCGAAAGATGTTCAAGATCTTTATGCAGAATATAAAATTATGAGATAAAGAAGACCTAAATAAGTTGAAAAATATACTGTCTCAGACTGTCAGACTGAATACTGAAAATTCTGAAAGATTTTTAATTCTTGCCAAATTGATCTTCAGATTCTGAGTGACGCTAATAAAAAATCCCGAGTGTGTGTGTGTGTGTGTGTGTGTGTGTGTGTGTGTAAAGCTAATTGAAAAGATACATATGGAAGGCAAAGAACTGAGAATAACCAAGACATTACTGAGAAGAATAACAAAGTGTCAGGATTTGTTCTACCAAATATCAAAACTTTAAAAACTATAGTCATTAAAACGGTGACCCTGGTATTAGGATAGACAAATAAGCCAAAGAAATCCAATACAGTGCCCAGAAACAGGCTCACACATATATGGACACTTGATTTATGAATAAGGTGTCACTGACAAATACTAGGGAAAGAAAACATTGGGAAATAGTCAATAAAGGATGCTGAGACAATCAAATACAAGAAATAAAATCTTGATCTCACATCAATAACAAAAATTTATTCCAGACAGAATTTGAGCTAACTGTGAAAGGCAAAACAGTAAAATTCTAGAATACGGGAGAATATCTTCACGACCTTGGGATAGAAAAACATTGAACAAGACACAAAATAAAAAAGTATTAACCATAATGGAAAATACTGACAGACTGAACTTCATTAAAATTAAGAATTCCTGTTCACTAAAAGTCACCATTACATAAGCCAAAAGGGCAATCCATCCAGTGAGAGAAGCTATTTTCAATATATGTAACCAATAAAGAACTCATGTAATGGAACTGATTTTTGTTACTGCTGTGAGGTTACGGCTCCAGGAAAGATCTTGTATTCAGAACTTATAAAGAACCTCTACAAAACAATGGGAAAAAAGACATGCAAACCAACAGCAAAATGGGTAAAAGACTTAACGGATGTCACAAAGGAAGATATCCAAATGGTCAAGTAAACATGAAAAGTTGCTCAGCTTTATGAGAAATCAGGGAAACGAAAATAAAATGGAAATTACAGATCATTAGCCATTCTCCAGAACAGAAGGAGGGAAGGAAGAAAACACTTTACAAAGTTGTTGCAGAGGAATTCCTGATGACAGGTTTGCAAACTAAAACAACCACTTTGGAAAACTATATGCATTATCTATTAAAATGGAAGATACACATACTCTATGACAGTGGTCCCCAACATTTCTGGCACCAGGGACTGGTTTCATGGAAGACAATTTTTCCATGGATGGGGGGTTAGCGGGATGGTTTCAGAATAATACTGTTCCACCTGAAATCATCAGGCACTAGTTAGATTCTCCTAAGGCACGCGCACAACCTAGATCTCTCATGTGCAGTTCACAATAGGGTTTGCACTCCTATGAGAATCTAATGCCACCACTGATCTGACAGGAGGCTGAGCTCAGGAGGTAATGTTCACTTCTTCACCCACCACCTGCTGTGCAGCCCTGTTCCTAACAGGCCACAGACCGGTACTGGTCCATGGCATGGGGGTTGGGGATCCCTACTCTATGACCCAACAACTGCATTCTAATCCCTCAGAAAAAAATCATTTGAACACATATATTATGTTCACCAAGAGACAGCATTATTCTTAACAGCAAAAAACAAGAAGCAACCAAAATACACATAAACAGCAGAAATAATACATAAATTGGGGCATATCCATACAATGCAACACTATTCAGCAATGAAACTGAAGTAACTACAGTTACACTCAACACATAATGCTGTGAATCTTAGAAACATAATGCTGAGAAAAAGGAGCCAGAAAAAAAAAATACAAACTGTATGAACTTCAAAAAATATGTGACCCTGTAGTATTTAGAGATATACACTCAGATGTTAAAATTACAGGGAAAGGCAATTATTATAAAATTCTGGAAAATGGCTAACTTTATGGGTAGTAACTAGGAGAGAGCTTGAGGGGAAACTTTGGAGGGTAATGGCCTGTTTTTAGTTTTTAATCTGGGTGGTGGTTACACAGGTATTTGCCTTGCATTCCCTCCCCAAATTTAAGCATCTATATGTAAATTATATCTCACAATAAACACTTTAAAGAAAAAAAATAAATGAATCAAAATCGTATACTCTTTGCAAGAAGGCTCAATATAGGTTCTCTAATTAAGTGGTTAGAATTCCATTTATAAAACATGGCTTTTGCCAGGCACAGTGGCTCACACCTGTAATCCCAGCATTTTGGGAGGCCAAAGCAGGTGGATCACTTGGGGTCAGGAGTTCGAGACCAACCTGGCCAACATGGTGAAACTCTGTCTCTACTAAAACTACAAAAGTTAGCTGGGTGTTGTGGCACACGCCTGTAATCCTGGTGGCTGAGGCAAGAGAACTGCTGGAACCCAGGAGGCAGAGGCTGCAATGAGCTGAGATTGCTCACTGCACTCCAGCCTGGGTGACAGAGCGAGACTCCATCTCAAAAAAAGTAAATAAATAAAAATAAAATAAAACAGGACTTTAAGTTTTAAAAGACAAAATTCTGCCAGGCATAGTGGCTCAGGTCTATAATCCTAGCATTTTGGGAGGCTGAGATGGGAGGACTGCTTGAGCCCAGGAGTTTGAGACCAGCCTGGGCAACATAGTGAGAACCTACCTCTATAAAAAATGAATAATTAGCCAGATGTGGTGGCATGTGCCTGTAGTCCCCGCTACTTGAGAGGCTGAGGGAGGAGGGTCACTTGAGCCTGGGAGGTTGAGACAACAGTGAGCCATGATTGTGCCACTGGCCTCCAGCATGGGTAACAGAGCAAGACACTGTCTTTTTTTTTAAAAAAAAAAAAAAAAAAAAAAAAAGACAAAATTCTGTTTGTGTTTTCAACTCACAAACATTCTAGAGCTTGCTTTCCAAAATTTTAAAATTCTATTTATTATTCTGGCAGGATAGTGAAAAAAATACAGAGCTAGCTTTTTTCCTGACCTTTATCTTCATATAAAAAAGTTAGATTAGGCCGGGCGCAGTGGCCTAATCCCCGCACTTGGGGAGGCTGAGGCGGGTGGATCACGAGGTCAGGAGATTGAGACCATCCTGGCTAACACGGTGAAACCCCGTCTCTACTAAAAATACAAAAAATTAGTCGGGCTTGGTAGCGGGTGCCTGTAGTCCCAGCTACTCAAGAGGCTGAGGCAGGAGAATGGCGTGAACCCAGGAGGCAGAGCTTGCAGTGAGCCGAGACTGCGCCACCGCGCTCCAGCCTGGGTGACAGAGCGAGACCCCATCTCAAAAAAAAAAAAGTTAGATTAGAGGCCGAGCATGGTGACTCACATCTGTAATCCCAGCACTTTGGGAGACCAAGGCGAGAAGATGGCTTGAGGCTAGGAATTCAAGGCCAGCCTGGGCAACATAGACCTCTGTCTCTATAAAAAATACAAAAAATTGGATGGGTATGGTGGCATGTGCCTGTAGTCCCAGCTACTCTGGAGTCTGAGGCGAGAGGTTCACTTGGGCCCGGGAGGTCAAGGTTGCAGTGAGCTGTCATTGCGCCACTGCAAACCAGCCTGGGCAATAGAGTGAGACCCTGTCTCTATGAACTGTGTGGTCAGTCAGCTGTGGAGCTCCGTATGCTGGCCAAGTTCTGATGTGCTCTCTGGACCTCCAAGGTCAGGACATGGGGGTCCACTGGCCCTGTGGGGACAGGCATGCATTTTTTACCCCAGCTCAGCCACCATCTCCCTGCCTGTGGTACACCTGGCCCCTGTCCCCACCACATCCCACCACCTGTACAATGGGACCCTTGGGTACCATGCCATCAGTTGCTGGTGAGGCCCAGGTGAGTTCGTTCCTGTAATGCCCTTAGGAAAGTACCTGTCACCAGAAATTTTTAAAGCTCTCAAGGTGATTCCAATGCGGAGCTGGGGCTGAGATGCTCCAGGTTTTGAGGACTTTGGCCAAGGGCGTGAACCTCTTAGAGGAGGAATGGCTGGGCAATAATGGGGGCTTTGCTCACCACTTTAGCTCAGGACTCTCAACCCCCCTTTAAAATGAGGTGCAAAATAAATTTAAGGGACTTGAACTCAGGGAACACTTTTTTGTAGTTGTTGATACAGGATCTCACTCTGCTGCCCAGGCTGGAGTACAGTGGCACAATCACAGCTCACTGAAGTCTCGACCTCCCAGGCTCAAGCGATCCTCCTGCCTCAGACACCAGAGTAGCTGGGACCACAGGTGTGTGCCAACACACCTGGCTAATTTTTTGTAGAGACAAGGTTTCCCTACATTTCCCAGGCTGGTCTTGAACTCCTGGACTCAAGCGACTGACCCGTCTCAGCCTCCCAAGGTGTTGGGATTACAGGCGTGAACCACTGTGTCCACCCCTGCCTCTATTTTTTTTAAAAAGAAAGTTAGATTAGGAAGCAGATTCAGGTTTATTAAATTATGCTTGTAAATGAAAGAATCTTTTGTTATTCCATTTTATAATCTTTCAAAGGAACAGGTTAGAAGAGCCAACCATTCTGATCAGTTAGGATGGGAATGATGGTTTGAGATACCTGACCAGGGCATCCTGTGGTTATGGCCTTAATGTGGATTTCTTCTGTTGAGATGCAGATTCCTCAGAGTCCGTGTCATCTTAGGAACGGTCTGATCTTTACGTATTCTGGATGCTAAATCTTAGTCCAGCCAAACAGGAATGACAATGGCCAAAGCATCAACTATAGAAAACATAATCTATGGGGGTTATAATTTATATTCATAACAAGTGCAAACCCATGGAATATCTGAGAGCACTGCACATGCATCGTGCCGTGGAGAGTTTTGAAATTAGACATGGTGAGTATGGTACTTACTGGACACTGAATTCCTGCTCTAGCAATTGAGTACTACAGAATAAATTATTTAACTTCCATAAACCTAATTTTCCTTATCTAAAAATAAAGAAAACAAGTCTAATCTTTTTGGCAATTTTTAAAATTTATTTTTTTACTGATTTCTTATCAGTTGATTTTTGAGGATTAAAAAAATTACTATGAGTTGGCCGGGCGCGGTGGCTCACACCTGTAATCCTAGCACTTTGGGAGGCCGAGGCGGGCGGATCATGAGGTCAGGAGATTGAGACCATCCTGGCTAACATGGTGAAACCCCGTCTGTACTAAAAATACAAAAAAAATTAGCTGGGCATGGTGGCAGGCGCCAGTAGTCCCAGCTACTTGGGAGGCCTAGGCAGGAGAATGGTGTGAACCCGGGAGGCAGAGCTTGTGGTGAGCCGAGATCGCGCCACTGCACTCCAGGCCTGGGTGACAGTGCGAGACCCTGTCTCAAAAAAAAAAAAAAAAATTACTATGGCCAAGCCACATGAATGTACATGAATTGCAGATCTAAGAAGGAATGTTCTTGGGCAAAATTCACATTTTAAATAATGTAAAACAAGGTTGTTGCTTTGACACTCTCCCTGCTTTAGCTTAAATTTAAATTAGAGAAAGGATATATATTCTGCCATAGAAATGCTACATGTACATTTTTCTGTTCTAATCATAGCATAAGAAACCAGGAGTTATTTAAAATCGTTAAACCTATTGGTAAATTACAGTCAGAAAAAGATAACATTATGTCAAAATAAAAATTGTTTCTGAGAAACACTCTTCAACATTAAAATGAACAATTTTACATCTATTCAAAAGGGTCTTCTATTCAGCTATTTAGGGGCCATATACTACATTATATAGCATCTCAATATTAGACATTCTGTAGGAGTCTTAGGTTTTTTTGTGGCTTAAGTAACCAATTGATACTACTTGCCCTCAACATTTTTCTAGACCAAAATTACCTTTGCCACAGAATTCTGAGATCTCACCCAAGCTCCTGTCCAAGCATCTGAGCAGATCCAAAGACTATTAGTGAATCACATCCCAGTTCACAAGCTTTTCCATAGCCAACTCCATCTAGATACAAATTAGCAGCCTCCCTCAGCAAAAATACAAATCATGCTCCAGAATTTTTAGAATGGATTATCAACCTGCAACCTAGATGTCCAGTTCCTAACAGACACAAATCCTTCCTCAATCAATACAGAGCAAACACACTTAGGGAATTTTCCAGAAATTCAGTCCTGATTTGTCTGCCATCCAGATCCTATAAACAACCACCTAAAGGGAGATATTTAAAACATTTGTTCCCATAGGTTCTCCAAGTTCTCACCTTGAAACAGATTAAAGAACTAGAAAAAAGAGACTTAAGATCATTTTTTAGTAGGAAGGCTTTATAAAATTAGAGCTCATTATGTTCAGTTTTTATTCAGTTTTAAAACATACAAAGCTGACTCTAGGCAAATACTATGCAACCACTCTCTATTACATTTCTCAACACCTCTTACGTAAAGATAAGAATGATAATGTACTTATTTACAAGGTTTTAATACCACAATGAGTTTGCATTTTAAAGAAATATTTAATCTAAAAGAAAACTCACGTAACTACAGAGGTTTTTATATTACTAAAGACTCTACTGACCTATCTTCAAAGCTCATAAAATATAAATATATTTCAGATAAACCAATTACATTTTTAAAAGAAAAATAATAACCAGATATTATTCAAGGCTTAACAATAACTTGTCTACTTAAAAAAAAATTACCTGTAGTAGCCCTCCATCATCAAAACGCAGTACTTCTATTATGCTCTCTGACTGAACGAATGCTGTGAAGAAAACAAAACATACCATCACTTACAGGAACATAAATTTGATTTTCATAACATCTTTGACTTTAAAGTTAATTAATATAATTTTATATCTAAAAATGGACTGCTTAATGGTGATGGTTGAAAAGAAAAATATGACTAATACTTCAGAATTTTACAAACTAAGAAATACTTTAAAATAAAACAAATAATAAAGTAACTTCAACAACCTACAGGCTATATGCATCAACTTCAAAATATCCATTACTGTTATATTATGAGAAAGCACAAAATAGTCAAATTCAACAAGATGCAACTAATTATTTTCCCTGATAGATTAATTGAAAATATCAAAAGCATATAGAAAAGATCACTACAGTATTATATTTCCCCCAAGAAATGATCAGCTGAAATTCGGTATCATCTGCTTTTTTGTAGTGATGATATGACCTGGGATCCACAGTCAAAGGGATTTGGTGAGGAAGTGGGCAGGGAAAATAGCAAAAGATTATTCTGATCCAAGAAACAGCAATGCAAAGGTAATATATTTAAAAGCTAACATAGTTATACCATACAATCTGGCGATCGTGCTTCTGGTATTGACTGAACTGATTTGAAACCTTACATACAAAAATCTACATACAATTCCTTAAAGCAGCTTTATTCATAATCACCAAAATCTGGGCATAGTCAAGATGGCCATCAAAGGTGAACAGACAAACTGTGGTATATCTATACAATGGAATATTACTAAAAGAAAAGGCTACATACTGTATGCTTCCAAGTACATGACATTCTGGAAAAGGGACAATTATGGAGATAGTAAAAAGATCAGTGGTTGCTAGGAGATCAGGGGGAGATGGGAAAGGTTGAATAAGTGAAGCACAAATATATTTTAGGGTGGTAAAACCATTCTTTATCAAATTGTAATGGTGGATACAGGACATGATGCATTTGTCAAAACAGAACTTCACAGCACAAAAAGTGAATCTAAATGTATGCAAATTTTAAAAATTTATTTAGAAGACTGGGAGACTCCAGGATGGAATGCATAAAATGACAAAACAATTTAACTGTATTACAAATGAATGAATCAACCTTACTGAAGTGGGGGGAGAGGGGAGAGTGCTCACCTAAGTAATTCTGGAAATGAATAGAATCTGTAAGACTAAAGGCAAAAGAAACCATACACACGCAATGTATTCTAGTTAATAATGCTTTTTCCCATGGGAGTTTGGGTTAACCATTCTGATGCCACTATACATGTACACTGAAATCGAACAATTAAGTACACAGATGGTGGATACTGGGAGCCAGGTGTCTCACTGTTGGAAGAGCAATTTATACAGAAACAAGGCGGGGGAGGCCAAAATGATCCAGGTGGTAATGGTTAAGAGTCAGTGATATCAGTAAGAATTCATGTTTAGTGAAACATATACATTATTACATACATATAAGAATATTTATAGATGTGTATATTCATAGGTTAGTATACATACATGTATTTCCTTGCTCTGTCAGCTCTAAGAGCCTAAAGCAATGACATGCCAATAGCAAAGAACACACCTGGAACTCAGATCTTGTGTTCTAATATTATTTTCCAATAAAAGAAACCAGGGCTTCCTGGAGCAATGGCCGATTTGAGGACAGGGGCAGGAAATACACGAGATGAGAATGGAGCATCCTATAGTGCCGGAAAGTAAAAAATAGAGAAAACCACCCAAATCCTACACTGATGGGGATAGAGAAAGGAAGGTAAGAATCAACAGAAAGAGCTCCCAAATGACCAAAGCTGAAACAATCTGAGCAACAAAATGAAGAAGTACTAGATGTAGCCCAAAGTATAAAATAAATATCCATAAACCCATATTGCTATAAATTGCTGAATAAATGGGAGAAAAGGGACAACTTTCACATGCAGAATTTCAACTATGTGATATTTCATTTGGCTTAATATGGAATTCACTGACTCCCATTTGTTGGTCTTTTGGAAATCAGGGAAGACACTCACTGTCCCACATATGTACCTGGCTGTTCCGGTATGACAAAAGTGGACAGTCAAGCAGCAGAATAAGATACTAGTTAATTAGATTACATTACCTCGTTGGATGTTTTTTCTGCCTGCCAAGCATCCTTTTCTCCTTAGTCTAGCAGTCACATCCTGATTTTATTTTGGGAAAACTCCTGTCCTCCATTTCCTGTGTTTCTCTTCAATGACAGTGCCAACCTGCTCCACTTCTATTCATCCCCTAACCAGTCTGTGGCATATAGAGAATATTCAATAAATACTGAAAGCATGAATGATGTCCCACCTTTTTGCTCAGGTACAATAAGCACTGGCATTTGTACTTACTGATGCAAATGACCTTTTTCTGGTTATGTTATCTCTAGTCCTGGCTTATAGTGGAATTTCAATATCAAGATCAGAGCTAATGGCTCCAACAGAATTACTGACACAGTATACTTAGAATGTCTCTAAGTAAAGTGATAAACTCATTACAATAAAGGACTATGAATATAAAAGGCTCTGCTCAGCTCACCCATCCCATTCCTCACCTGTTCCCCCCACTTTTTAACACAAACTGAAATTTCACAGGATCCAGAGAATTTTTTGGTTATTCCCTACTGAAGACAAATTTATTAACATAAGAACACAATGAACTAACAAGAAATAACTGAACAGCCAGATGTTCACAATGTAAAAGACATAAAGTCAAGGCCTCTAATTAGAAGCTTTATGTCTAATTGGCAGAGGAAACCAACAAGAAACAACTGGAAACGAGCTATAGGTGGCTGCTATTAAGAGTTCCAATAGAACGACCACTGAATGAGTTCCCACCATTGAGCCAGAAGAAATGCTGATCTAACTGAAGAGAACTACATAAAGGCAGTAGTTTGGGTATACTGCTTTTTAAATCAGAAGCTTTAAAAATATATAAAAATTCTATTATGAATTATGAATTCATATTTTAAAAAGTATGAGTTATGTTAAAAATATGAATGTTAGTTAAAAAAATTAATAACAGCAGCTGATTATAAAGTCTCAAAAGGAAAATACTATGTTACACATCACTGGCTTTCCTTAAAAGATGTAGAGATAAATAGGATTCAACTCTGGCATAAAACAAATTAACGTATTTTGCTTTAAACAGCCAATTATAATACCTTTCAATTATATGCCTCAAAAAACAGAACACTAGATACAGACTTAATCATTTCACATGCAGTTATTAAGCTATAAAATATAAAATGTAACAAAAGTCAGTCAAGTTATCACATCTCCAGATTCAAAACCAGAACTAGTAACAGCTTCCTCTCCCAAAAATATTTCCCCTAATTTTATGCTGTTAATGAATCCCAAACTTTCCTGATGTTCCCTAGTTCAAGCATCAAACAACTGTAATTGAAATAAAAATAAACTAATAATTACTGATCACTGTTGTTAATATTCAAACTAACCCTATGACACAGACATTATGATCCATTTTAAGGTAAAGAAATACACACAGAGAGATATACTTAGCAAGAAAGTGGCTAGAGAAAAGTATGAATTCTGGCAATGTGAATCTGTGCTTCTAAACCCATCCCTATTTATTTTCAAAATAAACTTTACAGAATGCTCATGACTAACAGCACCTTTTAGCAACCAAATTTTTTTAATTGGGCATATATTTCTGACAATAAGTGAGGAAAGGAAGATTTACAAAGGAAAGAAAAGGATTTACATTTCTGGCTTTTACGATTCTACTCATATTTACTCTGAAGCTGGGCTCAGTAAGATCTACTTTAAGCTCCTCACACCGACCCACATCTCTAAGCTGTCTGTGAGTAACAAAGCCATTTATAATCAGTGTAAAAATGTCAATGTGTCAGTTGTTTCAAAATAGGAACACTTGCTTTCAAAACAGAAGTTCACAAACTGTTTACTTCCCTATTTCATTTAGTTAAGATTAAAAATATCTTTCACTTTAAAGACAAATCTTTGTCTACTAAGTTTTTGTTTTTCTTTTAGGTGAAGGTATTTTTCTGAATATTACAACTGATGAATAAATATAATTTGCAATTTTAATACATCTAAAATAACTCATGAAAAAAACAAATGCTGTAAATAACTAGTAGAAAAATTTATGCCATATTGTGGGGGGTGGTATCAGGCATTAGGAACCTAGGTTGTCATTGCATATCTTTACCTTCTAGCCTTCACAATCTCCTCACCCACAAAAGGAGAAGGCTGGACTAGTCAAATCAGCGATTTTTAAACTTTCTTCTACAAAAACTAGGAACAGAAGAAAGGGCCACACAGGCAGGCCTCAGGAGGGTCCCCAAAGCTGTGTTACAGAGTCACCTTGCCTAGCATGCTGTTGTTATGGCTGGCATCTTCTCCTCCTTCAAGTCTCAGCCTTGACCCCACTCACAGTGTGGCCCTCCTTGGCTTCTCAGAGCAGCCCAGTTATCCTCTATTATATTCCCTATCTTAATTCTTATCACAATCTGTAAAAGTTCCTGGTTTGCTTGTCAATAATCTGTGCCTAGAAGCAAGTCTGAAAAACATAAGATAAGAAATTCTGGTTAGGATAATGACATTGTGCTTGAGCCCAGGGGGCAGAGGTTGCAGTGGGCTGAGATAGTGCCAATGCACTCCAGCTTGGGTGACAGAACAAGACCCTGTCTTAAAAAAAAAAAAAAAAAAGACACTGCTATTTTAGAATTCAACATTGTTAAATACATCAATATCTCTTTTACAGTTACACTTGCTCAATATTTTGTTTCAACAAAGGGCTCAATAGCAATTTTAAAACATCCTGGACTAGGTCCACATGGGTCCCTTCGAGCTTAAAGACATTTTATGATCAAAGCTTTGTTTCTTCCCTCATTAGTTTTATTATCTGAAAAATGTAACATATACTTGTCTTCTTGCCACATTAGAAGTACAAGGGAACTCATATAAACCATATTTTAATTTTATCAAGACCACTCAATATCATCAACTTCCTAAAGAAGCTAATGCCCATGTTGTTTACTAAAACTCAAAATATAATCCTATGTAATTCAGATGTGCAGGATATATACCATACATCTAAAAAGATGAGCCAGAAAGGTTTTTCAAAATTAATTTTATAGCTAAAGACAAAATACCATAATTAATTTTCACCTTATCCTAAAGAATCTAAGTCATCTAAAAAGATCTGTAAACTTCAGTTATAAAATGTAGAACTAATGCTCAAGAACCACCAACTACTCTTAGCAGCTTCAGTATCAGAAAATCACTAAAACTCTGAAGCTCGCACTGCAAATGCTCTAAAAACTAAGCTATTACTGGAACTATAGCCCAAAACAGCAGGCCCTAGTCAGGACCTATATGATAAACCTAAATAGGCTGACTGTTAAAACAAAGTATTTAAATGCAGTCATGTACCATGTAATGTTTTGGTCAACGATGGACTGCATAGATGATGGTGGCTCCATAAGATTATAATACTGTATTTACTGTACCCTTTTCTATGTTTAGATACACGAAAACTTGCCATTGTGTTACAACTGCCTACAGTATTCAGTATAGTAACATGTTGTACAGGCTTGCAGTCTAGGAGCAATAGGCTGTATCATATACCTTAGGTATGTAGTAGGCTATACCACCTAGGTTTGTGTAGGTACACTCTATGTTAGCACAATGATTAAATGGCCTAACACCACTTAGGATGTTTTCCACGTTGAGTGATGCGTGACCATAGTACCCAAAGTCTCCAAACAGAAACACCAAGTGTCCATCACAGATGAATGGATCAACATGGCAGTTACATAATGAAATATTATTCAGCCACAAAAAAGAATGAAATTCTGATATATGCTACAACATGGATGGACCTTGAAAATATTATAGTAAGTGAAATAAGCTAGACAAAAAAGGGCAAATACTGTGCTTCTACTCACATGAAAAATGTAGAATAAGCAAATTCACGGGGACAGAAAGTAGATTAGAGGTTACTGGGCAACAGGGTAGGGGGAAGTGAGGAGTTGTGGCTTAATGGTTACTGAGTCTCTAGGGTAATGAAAAAAGAATGGTGGTGTTTGTATAACATTGTGATTAATGCTACTGAATTGTACACTTAAAATAGTTATAAATGCTGAATTTTATGCTACATACATGTTATTTTAAAAACTACAAAACTCATTAACTTAGACAAAAAAAAAATTACAAATTGAACCCAGCAATGTATAAAATTATGCATCACGACCAAGTGACTTTTACTCAAGGTATGCAAGACTCACCCAAAATTCAAAAACTGATCATTGTAATTCACCCCATCAACAGGCTAAAGAGGAAAAACACATGATCATATCAACTGACACAGAAAAAGTATTTGACAAAACCGAACACCTCTTCATGATAAAAACTCTCAAGAAGATAGGAGAAATGTAGAACTACCTCAATCTCAACCTCTAGGTAATATCCTTCTTACCAGTAAAAGACTGAATATATAGGCCCTGAGACTGGGAACATGTCAAGGATGTGGCTCTCACTCTATTCAACATGTGCTAGAAGTTCTGGCCACTTTAACAAGGCAAGGAAAAAAAAAAGACGAACACACTGGAAAGGAAATAAAACTCCCTAATTGCAGGCTACATACTTGTCTATGTAAAAACCCCAAGGACTCAAAAAGAAAAGTCCTTCTTAAAGGTAATAAGTACATATAGCAAAGTTGCAGAATACAAGGTCTAAATCCTAAAATCCAGTACATTTCTATATACTAACAATGAATATGCAAAAATCAACATTAAAATGCCATTTACAACGCCATTTACGACTCCAAATAAAATGAAGTACCTCAGATATAAATCTAAGAAAGCATGCACAGGACATATGTACTGAAATATACAAAATGCTGATGAAATAAATCAAAGAAGATCTACATAAACAAGAAGACACACTATATTCATGGATTAAAAGACTCAAAATGTAAAGATGTTAATTCTTCCCAAATTAATCTGTGGGTTTAATGTAAACCCTGTAAAAATCCCAGGATAATTTTTTGTTGACAAGCTTATACAAAAAATTAGATAGGAACAAACCCTAGAATTGCTAAAAACAATCTTCAAAAACAAGAATAAAGTGAGAGGAATCACTCCACCAGACATTATGTCTTACTGCATAACTTCAGTAACCAAGGCAGTGTGATATTGGCAGAGGGATAGACACATAAATCACTTGCAGAGAGTAGAACACCTAGAAACAGAACCATATATGCCTCACTGGTTTTGACAAAATTGCAAAAGCAATTCATTGGAAGAACAGCTTTTCCAACAAATAGCACAGAAGCAATGAGACATCTATAGACCAAAACAATATTTTTCTTAAAGAACCCTGACCTAATCCTTACAACTTATACAAAAATTAACTCAAAATACATCACTGCTCTAAATTTAAAATGTAAAACTATAAAACTTTTTAAAAAGGATAGAGAAGATCTTCAGGATCTAAGGTTTGGCAGTGTTCCTAGAGTTGACACCAAAAGCACAATCCAGAAAAAAAAAATGATAAATTGTTGTACCTCATTCAAAATTAAAAACTTTGCCCTTCACATGACCCTGTTAAGAGTAGGACAGGACAAACTACGAAAAGGTATAAAATATTTGCAAACTACATATTTAACAAAAGTCTAAAGATCTAGGCTATATAAAGAACTCAAAAACAAACAGAAAAGAACAATCCAATAAGCAAGTGAAAAGATGTTCAACATCATTAACCATCAGGGAAATGGTAATGAAAGCCACAATATCAGGATGGTGAAAATGAAATACCCATTCCTATCAAAAGATCAACATCCTGGTTGTGACTTTGTAGTATTCTTTGTCAAGATATTGCCATTGGGAGGAACCAGGTACAGGCTACACAGGATCTCTCTGTATAACTTCTTATAACAGTGTATGATTCTAAAATGATCTCAATAAGAATCTGTATTAAAAAATGAAATAGCTAATGATAAATTCTGGTAATTAGTTCTACCTGCTCAATAGTTTATCTTCAAAATGTTTTTGTAATAGTGATTCTTAAATGGGTTAATATTTATAATATTAAGATAATGAAATTTAATTTCAGGACCTACATGCCATTATCAATGTTAATTCAATCAACTGGTTTTGACAGCAAAAGTTGAGAATAGTTTGAAGAAACAAAATAGCACAGAAGAAGAAAAAAAAGCAACAGAGGTACTGTCAGTGAAAATGGCAAAGTTAGGGACATTTGAAAATTCTAACAAGAACAAGAAAATTGGCAGCATCAGAATAAACTTTCTAAGAACTCTGGCAATTAACCAAAAGCTTGCAGCAATCTCCAAAAGCTTGCAGCAATCCATGGAATGTTAATACATTTTTAAAAAGCTGAATCTCAACAAGAACAGTGAAATATGTGGCATTTAACTTTTCTATTCTCATTCTCTTCTCTCCAGCTCTGTGACAGCACTATAACCAACAGCCCAATCACAGTGAAAATCAGCAGCCTGACAGGCAATAAGGGTGGCAGAACAATGCTGCAGCTCCTCGAAAGCCTGATTTCCAGAGAACTGTCTTTATCTGATCTGTGTGGTGAGTCCCAGTGAGGCCCCACCTGGAAGGCTACTTTTATTTGACCTGACTCAGAGCTTTCCCACTGTGAAAAGCCTCGACCCTGGTAACAGTTGTCAAAAACCTTTAGGGGAAATTTTTAAAAATTTGGCTGCAGAACAATGTGGTAGATGACAGTTGGGCCAAACAATAAGCAGACCCAAAAGTTTAAAAGGAAAAGTTGGGAATAAGATGTCCACAGGGGCTGTAAAAAGTGTTGACACCTTCCTGCCAATCTAGAAGGTCCTGTGTACGCATCGGGCTCTGGCTCTGCCTGTGCTCAGAAGAAACCTGAGACATCCCTAAGCTCTCACACCTGGGGCTGACCCCAGGCTTTGTGTAAACAGGAGGGGAAGGCTAAGGAACAGCTGTCAACTGCCCGGCTGAGTGTTTTGATGTGCCCCAACACACACATATGTACGCAAATACACAGGCCTCTCAACAAAGATGGGGAGAATTACTGGTTCCAGGTTTTTAAGGAAATCTCTGTTCAATCATTAGATGACTATGAAGCTCACCACACGGAGACTTCAGTAGCCATGCACCACAAATAATATAGATTTAAAATAACTTGTTCAGAAAGCCACTAAACAAACAGCAACAAAAACAACAACAAACCTTAGGGAGGGGAAAATCTAATTTCCAGAGTTGCCACCTTATATGTTAGTTGTCCAGTTTTCAACAAAAAATTGAGAGACATACAAAGAAACAAAAAAGTATAAAGGGACAAAAAGTATTTAATAGAAACTGCCCTTGAGAAAGCCCAGGTTTTAGAATTACTGAATAATTTAATTCAGCTATATTAAATATATTCAAAGAACTAAAGGAAATAATGTCCAAAGAACTAAAAGTCACACCAAATGGAGAATATTAAGAAGAGAAAGAAATTATTAAAATAACCAAATAGAAAAGCACAGTAACTGAAATGAGCCCCTCCCACTGCCCAGTTTTCAAATAAATTTAAAGAAACAAGAAAGTATGGCTCATACATAGGAAAAAATGCAATCAACAGTAATGGTCCCTGAGGACAGGACTTACTAGAAGACTTTAAATAAGCTATTTTAAATATGTTCAAAGGAAAAAAGGAAACCACGTGCAAAACTAAAGTATGAGAACAACGCTTCACCAAACAGAAAATATCAATAAAGAGAAAGAAACTGGAAAAAACAAGCAAATTGAAATTCTGGACATAAAAGTACAATAACTAAAATAATTCATCAGAGGGGCTCAATAGCATATTTTGGCAGGCAAAGGAAAGAATCAGCAAACTCAAAAATAGGTTGGTTAAGATTATCCAGTCTGGGAAACAGAAATAAAAATGAAGAAAAATGAAAAGAGCCTGAGTGACTACAAAACACCATCTGTACAACAGGAGTCTCAGAAGAGGAGAGAAAAAAAGGCATGAAGAATATTTGAAGAATAGGTGACATTAGTCCAAACTAAACTATTACAAGTTGATGTTAATTGTAATTCTCACAGCAACTATTAAAAAATAAATTTTAAAAATTCAGACTTTAAGATAAAAATTGCTACAAGAGGAAAAAAGACATTTAATAATAATAAAGGGATCACTCCATTAAGATGACATAATTATAAACATACGTGAACCTAACAAGAGAGCTCCAAAACACAGGAAATAAAAACATGCAGGATGAAGGGATAAAGAAGAAATTCAATAAAAATATTTGGAGAATTCAATATCCCACTTTCAAACATGGGTAGAACAACTAGAGAGAAGGTCATCAGACTAACAGCGGATCTCTCTGCAGAAACTCTGCAAGCCAGAAGAGAGTGGGGGCCAATATTCAACATTCTTAAAAGAATTTTCAACCCAGAATTTCATATCCACCCAAACTAAACTTCGTAAGTGAAAGAGAAATAAAATCCTTTACAGACAAACAAATACTGAGAGATTCTGTCACCACCAGGCCTGCCTTACAAGAGCTCCTGAAAGAAGCACTAAACATGGAAAGGAACAACCGGTACCAGCCACCTGCAAAATCATGCCAAATTGTAAAGACCATCAAGGCTAGGAAGAAACTGTATCAACTAACGAGCAAAATAACCAGCTAACATCATAATGACAGGATCAAATTCACATATAACAATATTAACCTTAAATGTAAATGAGCTAAATGCTCCAATTAAAAGACACAGACTGGCAAATTGGATAAAGAGTCAAGACCCATCAGTGTGCTGTATTCAGGAAACCCATCTCACCTGCAGAGACACACATAGGCTCAAAATAAAGGGGTGGAGGAAAATCTGCCAAGCAAATGGAAATCAAAAAAAAGCAGGGGTTGCAATCCTAGTCTCTGATAAAACAGACTTTAAACCAACAAAAATCAAAAGAGACAAAGAAGGCCATTACATAATGGTAAAGGGATCAATTCAACAAGAAGAACTAACTATCCTAAATATATATGCACCAATACAGGAGCACCCAGATTCACAAAACAAGCCCTTAGACACCTACAAAGAGACTTAGACTCCCACACAATAATAATGGGAGACTTCAACACCCCACTGTCAACATTAGACAGATCAATGAGACAGAAAGTTAACAAGGATATCCAGGAATTGAACTCAGGTCTGCACCAAGCAGACCTAATAGACATCTACAGAACTCTCCACCCCAAATCAACAGAATATATGTTCTTCTCAGCACCACATCGCACTTATTCCAAAATTGACCACATAGTTGGAAGTAAAGCACTCCTCGGCAAATGTAAAAGAATAGAAATTATAACAAACTGTCTCTCAGACCATGGTGCAATCAAACTAGAACTCAGGATTAAGAAACTCACTCAAAACCGCTCAACTACATGGAAACTGAACAACCTGCTCCTGAATGACTACTGGGTACATAACGAAATGAAGGCAGAAATAAAGATGTTCTTTGAAACCAATGAGAACAAAGACACAACATACCAGAATCTCTGGGACACATTTAAAGCAGTGTGTAGAGGGAAATTTATACCACCAAATGCCCACAAGAGAAAGCAGGAAAGATCTAAAATTGACACACTAACATCACAATTAAAAGAACTAGAAAAGCAAGAGCAAACACATTCAAAAGCTAGCAGAAGGCAAGAAATAACTAAGATCAGAGCAGAACTGAAGGAGATACAGACAAAAAAAACCCTTCAAAAAATCAATGAATCCAGGAGCTGGTTTTTTGAAAAGATCAACAAAATTGATAGACCTCTAGCAAGACTAATAAAGAAGAAAAGAGAAGAATCAAATAGACGCAATAAAAAATGATAAAGGAGATATCACCACCGATCCCACAGAAATAAACTACCATCAGAGAATACTATAAACACCTCTATGCAAATAAACTAGAAAATCTAGAAGAAATGGATAAATTCCTGGACACATACTCCCTCCCAAGACTAAACCAGAAAGAAGTTGAATCCCTGAATAGACCAATAACAGGCTCTGAAACTGAGGCAATAATTAATAGCCTACAAACCAAAAGAAGTCCAGGACCAGACAGATTCACAGCCGAATTCTACCAGAGGTATAAAGAGGAGCTGGTACCATTCCTTCTGAAACTATTGCAATCAACAGAAAAAGAGGGAATCCTCCCTAACTCATCTTATGAGGCCAGCAACATCCTAATACCAAAGCCTGGCAGAGACACAGGAAAAAAAGAATTTTAGACCAATATCCCTGATGAACATCGATGCAAAATCTTCAATAAAATACTGGCAAACTGAATCCAGTAGCACATCAAAAAGCTTATCCACGAAGATCAAGTTGGCTTCATCCCTGAGATGTAAGGCTGGTTCAACATACGCAAATCAATAAACGTAATCCATCATATAAACAGAACCAAAGACAAAAACTACATGACTATCTCAATAGATGCAGAAAAGGCCTTTGACAAAATTCAACATCCCTTCATGCTAAAAACTCTCAATAAACTAGGTATTGATGGGACATATCTCAAAATAATAAGAGCCATTTATGACAAACCCACAGCCAGTATCATACCGAATAGACAAAAATTGGAAGCATTCCCTTTGAAAACTGGCACAAGACAGGGATGCCCTCTCTCACCACTCCTATTCTACATAGTGTTGGAAGTTCTGGCCAAGCAATCAGGCAGGAGAAAGAAATAAAGGGGTATTCAATTAGGAAAAGAGGAAGTCAAATTGTCCCTGTTTGCAGATGACATGATTGTGTATTTAGAAAACCCCATCATCTCAGCCCCAAATCTCAAGCTGATAAGCAACTTCAGCAAAGTCTCAGGATACAAAATCAATGTGCAAAAATCACAAGCACTCCTATACACCAATAAGAGACAGAGAGCCAAATCATGAGTGAACTCCCATTCACTATTGCTTCAAAGAGAATAAAATACCTAGAAATCCAACTTACAAGGGATGTGAAGGACCTCTTCAAGGAGAACTACAAACCACTGCTCAGTGAAATAAAAGAGGACACAAACGGCCTGGCGTGGTGGCTCACACCTGTAATCCCAGCACTTTGGGAGGCCAAGACGGGCGGATCACGAGGTCAGGAGATCGAGACTATCCTGGCTAACGTGGTGAAACCCCGTCTCTACTAAAAATACAAAAACTTAGCCGGGTGTGGTGGCAGGCGCCTGTTAGTACCAGCTACTTGGGAGGCTGAGGCAGGAGAATTGCGTGAACCTAGGAGGCGGAGCTTGCAGTGAGCCAAGATCGTGGCACTGCACTCCAGCCTGGGCGACAGAGCCAGACTCCATCTCAAAAAAAAAAAAAAAAGACAAAAACAAATGGAAGAACATTCCATGCTCATGGATAGGAAGAATCAGTATCATGAAAATGGCCATACTGCCCAAAGTAATTTACAGATTCAATGCCATCCCCATCAAGCTACCAATGACTTTCTTCACAGGATTGGAAAATACTACTTTAAAGTTCATATGGAACCAAAAAAGAACCCACATTGCCAAGACAATCCTAAGCCAAAAGAACAAAGCTGGAGGCATCACACTACCTGACTTCAAACTATACTACAAGGCTACAGTAACCAAAACAGCATGGTACTGGTACCAAAACAGAGATATAGATCAATGAAACAGAACAGAGCCCTCAGAAATAATACAACACATCTACAACCATCTGATCTTTGACAAACCTGACAAAAACAAGAAATGGGGAAAGGATTCCCTATTTAATAAATGGTGCTGGGAAAACTGGCTAGCCATATGTAGAAAGCTGAAACTGGATCCCTTCCTTACACCTTATACAAAAATTAATTCAAGATGGATTAAAGACTTACATGTTAGACCTAAAACCATAAAAACCCTAGAAGAAAACCTAGGCAATACCATTCAGGACATAGGCATGGGCAACGACTTCATGACTAAAACACCAAAAGCAATGGCAACAAAAGCCAAAATTGACAGATGGGATCTAATTAAATGAAAGAGCTTCTGCACAGCAAAAGAAACTACCATCAGAGTGAACAGGCAACCTACAGAATGGGAGAAAATTTTTACCATCTACCTATCTGACAAAGGGCTAATATCCAGAATCGACAAAGAACTTAAACGAATTTACAAGGAAAAATCAAACAACCCCATCAAAAAGTGGGCGAAGGATATGAACAGGCACTTCTCAAAAGAAGACACTTATGCAGCCAACAGATACATGAAAAAATACTCATCATCACTGGCCATCAGAGAAATGCAAATCAAAACCACAATGCAATACCATCTCACACCAGTTAGAATGGTGATTATTCAAAAGTCAGGAAACAATAGGTGCTGGAGAGGATGTGGAGAAATAGGAACACTTCCACACTGTTGGTGGGACTGTAAACTAGTTCAACCATTGTGGAAGACAGTGGGGCGATTCCTCAAGGATCCAGAACTAGAAATACCATTTGACCCAGCCATCCCATTACCGGGTATATACCCAAAGGATTATAAATCATGCTGCTATAAAGACACATGCACACATATGTTTATTGTGGCACTATTCACAAGAGCAAAGACTTGGAACCAACCCAAATGTCCATCAGTGATAGACTGGATTAAGAAAATGTGGCACATATACACCATGGAATACTATGCAGCCATTAAAAAGGATGAGTTCATGTCCTTTGTAGGGACATGGATGAAGCTGGAAACCATCGTTCTGAGCAAACTATCACAAGGACAGAAAACCAAACACCACATGTTCTCATTCATAGGTGGGAACTGAACAATGAGAACACTTGGACACAGGGTGGGGAACATCACACACCGGGTCCTGTCAATGGGGTGGGGGGAGGGGGGAGGGATAGCATTAGGAGAAATACCTAATGTAAATGACGAGTTAACGGGTACAACACACCAACATGGCACATGTATACATATGTAACAAACCTGCACGTTGTGCACATGTACCCTAGAACTTAAAGTATAATTTAAAAAAAAAAAATACAAAAAAAAAGAAAAGAAAGAAACAGGGAGCATTACTAATGCTACAAAAAGAAATGAACTTTCCAATCTTACAGTAAAAGGGATTAAAAGAGAACACAAGAAACAACTATACACAAACAAATTAGACAGCCTACATGAAATGAACAAATAACTAGAAAGCACAAATTATTGAAATTAACTCCAAAATAAACAGAAAATCTTAACAAACCTAATTAGCCATCAAAGTTTCCCCGCAAAGAATAGCCTAGGGACAGGTGGCTTCACTGATGAATTCTACTAAACATTTAAAGAAGAATTAAAACATATCCTTCACAAGCTTTTTTTAAAAAGCATAAAGAAGGACAAAAAACAGGCTGGGCATGGGGAACGGCTGTAATCCCAGCACTTTAGGAGGCTGAGGCTGAAGGATCATTTGAGCCTAGGAGTTCAACACCAGCCTGGGCAACATAGCAACATACCATGGCTACAAAAAAAAAGAAAGAAAGAAAGAAAGAAAAGAAAGAAAAGAAAGAAAAGAAAGAAAAGAAAAGAAAAGAAAAGAAAAGAAAAGAAAGAAAGAAAGAAAGAAAGAAAGAAAGAAAGAAAGAAAGAAAGAAAGAAAGAAAGAAAGAGCTGGGTGTGGTGGTGCATGCCTGTATTCCCACTACTCAGGAGGCTGAGGCAGAAAGATTGCTTAAACCCAGAAGTCTGAAGTGACAGCGAGCTATGACTGTACCACTGCATTCCAGCCTGGGCAACAAGGCAAGACCCTGTCTCTAAAAAAATTTAAGTAACAAAAATTTTAAAACTCAAGAGAAAACATCACGTTCCAAATTATTATATGAAGCAATTCATACCCTGATACATAAATCAGACACGGTCATCACAAGAAAAGAAAACTACAGATGTTCTTATGAATGTGGATATAAAAATTCTCAACAAAATACAAGCAAATCATATCTAGAAACATATACAAAGGATTATACATCTCGAACAAGTACAAGACTTGTACACTGTGAACTACAAAGCATCACTGAAAAAAATTTTAAAAGACCTAAATAGAAAGATATCTGGTATTCATAAGCTAGAATACTTAATAATGTTAAAATGGTAATATTCAGATCCAACGCAATCTTGTCAAAATCTCACCTTGCTCTTTTGCAAATCGACAAGTGGCTCCTGAAGTTCATAAGAATATTCAAGAATAGCCAAAACAGTTTTGAAAAAGAAAGACACAATGGAGGACTCAAAACTTCCCGATTTCAAAACTTAACTACAAAGGTATATTAATCAAGACAGAACAGTACTGGAATAAAGATAAACCTTATCAAGGTTGGGCACAGTGGCTCACGTCTGTAATTCCAGCACTTTGGGAGGCCGAGGCAGGCAGATCATGAGGTCAAGAGATCAAGACCATCCTGGCCAACATGCTGAAACCCCATCTCTACTAAAAATACAAAAATTAGCTGGGCATGGTGGTGCGCGCCTGTAGTCGCAGCTACCTGGGAGGCTGAGGCAGGAGAATTGCTTGAACCTGGGAGGCAGAGGTGGCAGTGAGCCAAGATTGCGCCACTGCACTCCAGCCTGGCGACAGAGCAAGACTCAGACTAAAAATAAAAATAAATAAATAAATAAAAGATAAACCTAATCAAATAGATCAAACAGAATAGAACTGACAGTCCAGAAACAAACCCTCGCATTTATGGCCAATTGATTTCGGCACTCAATTGATGAATGCCAAGATAACTCAGAGGAGAAAAGAACAATCTTCTCAACAACTGGCACTGGAATAACTAGGTATCTGCTTGGAAAAGAATGAGGACGGACCCTGCCTAACAACATATGCAAAAATTAAATCCAGAAGGAACAAAGACCTCAGTGTAAGAGATAAAGCTATAAAACTTTTGAAGATAACATAGATGTAAATCTTCATAACCTCTGATGAGGCAATGGTTTCTTAACTAGAATAGGTAAGCAAAGACAACACAGATAAATTAGACTTTATCAAAATTAAAACAGTTTGTGCTTCAAAGGGCACTATCAATAAAGTGAAAAGACAACCCACAGGATGGGAGAAAATTTCTGCAAATGATGTATCTGATAAGAGATACATACAGAGAATATAAAAAGAACTCTTGCAATGAATAAAAGACAAACCTCCCAATCAAAAAATGGACAAGGAAACTGACTAGACATTTCTCCAAAGATACATAAACGGACAATAATACATACATACACGAAAAGACGCTCAAAACCAGTCCTTAGACAGATGTTAATCAAAAGCAAAACAACATACTGCTTCAAAAACAAAAGGATGGCTGTAATAAAAAAGACAACAATAAGCATTGATGAGGATGTGGAGACATCGAAAACGCCTAAGTCGCTGGTGGTAACATAAAATGGAGCAGCCACACTGGAAAACAGTTGGGTAGTTATTAAAAAAACTAAATATAAAGTTACCATACAATATACCAATTATACTCTTATGTATATACATAAGAAAACCGAAAATACTTGTGCAAACAAAAACTTATATACCAGTGTTCATAATAGCATTGTTCAAATTCATGATAGTCAAAAATGAAAACAACCTAAATGTCCACTGACTAATGAGCAGTTAACAAAATGTGGTAAATCCATTTAATGGAGTATTTTTCAGCCACAACAAAAAGGAATGAAGTACTGACACAAAGCTCACAGATGAATCTTGAGGACTAATGCTAAGTGAAAGCAGCCAGATACAAAAGGCCATATATTTTAGTATTCCATTTATAGGAAACGTCCAGAATAGGCAAAAAGAACCTAGATTAGCAGTTGTCAGGGGCTGGGAAGGAATAGGGTGTGACTCCTATTGTATAAAGGATTTCTTTTGGGGTGATGGAAATATTTTGGAATGAGACAGTTGTGATGGTTGTACAAGTCTATGAGTATACTTCAAAAACCCACTGAATTATACACTTTAAAAGGTGAAGTATGATATGAGAAATTGTATCTCAATATTTTAAAAGTCAACAACAGCAAAAAGCATGCTTTTGTGTTCTATTCCCTAAATCTTTTCTAAAATGTTTATCTAAATGGTATTTTAAATATTGTGTAACCAGAGGACAAAATGTAATCTCTGCTCAAGAGCTTTAAGCTTATAGTTCTTTCATGGATACAAATTCATTCATTAGATTGTGCACGGGGAGGAGAAAACAGCAAATGATAAAGCAAATGGGTCAAACTGTCAACAGCAGGTGAATCTGGGTAAAGAATATGAATGTTTTTGACTATTTTCATTCTTAAAAATTTTCTGAAAGTTTGAATATATGCCAAAAATTTGAAAAAAGAAAACCACTACTGTAAGACTTCTAAAAATCTCAACGTTTGAACACATTCACTCTTTTAAAAAGATATACATCAAGCAATTGTAAATTCACTTAAATTATGCTAAGTTGGAAATACTGATTACAGAGGAGGTTGGTATCCTTACTGTAGCCACAGATTAAATGTGCCAAGAACATGCTGCTGACATGTCTGTGACTACAGTGGTATTATAGCCATCTTAAAACACTCAGTGGTATTACAACCATCTTAAAACACTCAGTTAAAATGATGCTTATGCCAACACAGCTATTGTGCAGGGATTTTATCTTGCATTACATCTTGTAATATAATATTTATGATTGGAAATATGGTATATCCATACAGTTATCTATATTGCATACTCATATATAATCTATAAGATCACATTCTAAATATTAGATAAGTAATCCATATCTTGTTTTTTAATAAAAAAAGAAAAGAAATAATAAAGAATATAAATCAATAAAGTAGAAAGCAGAAAATAGAGAAAAATCGAAGGAAACAAAAGTTTTCTGTTTGGGAAGATTAACAAAATTGATAAACATCTAGCTAGTCAGTTTGAAAAAAGAGAAGCCAGGTATTGTGAACATAAGAAATGAGAGACTGAATACGACTATACTTTCTATAAACATTAGAAGACTAATCAGCAAATATAATTAACAACTCTCAGTTTATGATACGGACAAATTCCTTCAAAGACTCAAAATACCAAAGGTCACTCACAAAAAACTAGCTAACTTGAATAGGCTTATATGTACTTAAGAAACTTATTTTGTAGTTAAAATCTTCTCACAAAGATAACTCCAGGATTAGATGTATTTAACGATGAGTTCTCCCAAATATTTAAGGGGAAAAAAAAAATCATACGCAAACTCTCCCAGAAACAGGAGAAACTCTCCAAACTCATTTTACAAAGCCAGCATCACTCTGATCCCCAAAACAAATAAGGGTATTAAAACAAAAAAACTACAGACCAATTTCACATCTTATTACAGATGCAAAAATTCTTGTCAAAATTTCAGCAAATGTAATCCATTAATGTATAAAAAAGATAAAAACATCATGACCAAGTGGGATTTATCCCAGGAATGAAATACTGTTTAAATATTCAAAAAAAAAACTTCAACATATAAGACTTAAAAAACAAAATTAATCATTTCAAAAAACAGACAAAAAACATTGGACAAAATTCATCATCCATTCATGGTAAAAGATCTTGGCAAAATGGGCACAAAAAGAACTTCCTTAAGCTGATAAAAGACATGTACAAAAGATATACAGCTATCATCATACTTAATGGTGAAAGACTAAATACTTTCCATTTAAGATTAGAACAAGGTAAGATTGTTCCTTCTCACCACTCCTATTTAACATCATAGTGAAAGAATAAATGAAGGTAAGAGGGCAATCTTCGTGCCAATAAAACGCAAAGAAAAAAAAAGTATGTAGACTGGAAAAGAGAAAATAAAACTGTCTTTAGACACAGACATGATATCTCCTATAACACCTATAAAAATTCTACTAGAATTTTTTTGATTCTGGTACAATTTTTACAGGTGATACAGGATATAGGAAAGTAGTAAGATTAGGAAAGTAGGAAAATGCAAGGCCAACATATAAAAATCAATCATATTTCTAATAACAGCAAGGAACAACTGGAAAATAAAAATCAAAACCATTTACAATTGCATCAAAATACTAAGATAAATATTTGACAAAATACAGCTGGAAGAAATTAAAGAACACCTAAATAAAAAGAAAGATATACCATGTTCATGCATCAAAAGAACCAATATTGTTACAGCAATTTTCCCCAAATTGATCTAGACAGTCAATACAATTCCAATCAAGTTTTTTGTTGTAAAAATTTACAAGATGATTCTAAAAGTTATACAGAAAAGCAAAGGACCCAAAATAGTAAAAAGAATTTTGAAAAAGAAGAACAAGATTGGAGGACTCAACATTGCCTGATTTAAGACTTAAAATCATAGTAATCAAGATGGTATAAAACTGACACAGATAACAGATGTGTGAAATAGAACAGAGACTCCAAAAGTAGACCCCCACATATATGGTCAACTGATTGCAACAGGGTGCCAAGGCAATTCAATTGGGGAAAAGTAATCTTTTCAATAAGTCATGCTGGTACAAATGAATAGCCACATGGGAAAGAAAAACAAAAGAGAATCTGGATGCTCCAAAATTTACAAAAATCAACTTGAAATGAATAACAGAATTTATGTAAGAGCTAAAATTCTAAAGTTCCTAGAAATCAACACGGGAAAATTTTAGTGATCTTGAGTTTGGCAAAGATATTCTTAAGTAGGATACAAAAAAGAAAAAAATCTTGAACTATAAAAGAAAAAAAGATGAATTGAGAGGTGGATTAAAAATTTTTTTTTTAGCTTTTACTCCTCAAAAGACACTGTTACAAAAGTAAAAATACAAGCCACAGACTGGAAATAATATTTGCAAAATGCTTATCTGACAAAGGACTTGTATCCAGAATATGTAAATAACTGTTACAACTAAATAAGAAAACAAACAGCTCAATTTAAAAAAATGCAAAAAAGATGTGAACAGACATTTAAGCAAAGACAACATGAATAGCACATGAAATAAGAGGGCACATGAAAAGATGCTCAAAATCCTTAGTCATTAGGAAAATAAAAATTAAAACACCAGGAGACACCACTACATAACCAATAAAATGATTAAGATGAAAACTTCTTACCATATCAGGTGTTGGCAAGGATGTGCAGGAAGTGGAACTGTAATACCCTGCTAACGGGAATATAAAATGGTGCAACCACTTTGGATAACATGTCAGTAGTTTCTTTTTTTTTTATTTATTTTTTTTGAGACGGAGCCTCGCGCTGTCGCCCAGGCTGGAGTGCAGTGGTGTGATCTCGGCTCACTGCAAGCTCCGCCTTCCAGGTCCAAGCCATTCTCCTGCCTCAGCCTCCTAAGTAGCTGGGACTACAGGCACCCGCCACCACGCCCGGCTAATTTTTTGTATTTTTAGTAGAGATGGGGTTTCACCATGTTAGCCAGGATGGTCTCGATCTCCTGACCTCGTGATCTGCCCGTCTCGGCCTCCCAAAGTGCTGGGATTACAGGCGTGAGCCACCGTGCCAGGCCAGTAGTTTCTGAAAAAGTTGAACACATAACCCACCAGACATTCCATTTCTAGGTATTTGCCCAACTGAAATGAAACGTATGTGTGAATGAAAATGAAAGACTTGTACATGAATATTTAGGGAAGCTTTATTTGTAATAGTTCAAAAGAGGAAACAACTCACATTCCCATCAACGGGTGGGTGGATAAACAAATTGTGATACAGCAACACAGTGGAATACTATGCAGTACTAAAACAGTCAAACATGCAACATTACAGACAAATCTAAAAATAATCATGCTGAGTGAAAGAAGGGAGACAACAGAAGAGTAAATACTGTATGATTCTGCTTATACAAAGTTGTATAATATGCAAACTAATCTAAGTGACAGAAAGCAGAAGAACTGTCGCCTGGGATTAGGAAGGGAGGTAAGAAAATTCTACAAAGGGTCACAAGGAAATAGAGAGTGCACACGTTCACACAATCTTCACTATGGTAATAGTTTCACATGGGCCATAACTCAAACTGTACACTTTAAATGTGTGCAGTTTATTGTACATTAATTATACCTCAATAAATCTGTTTATTAAAAGTCAAGGCCAGGCGTGGTGGCTCACGCCTGTAATCCCAGCACTTTGGGAGGCCGAGGCGGGTGGATCACAAGGTCAGGAGATCGAGCCATCCTGGCTAACATGGTGAAACCTCGTCTCTACTGAAAAAAAAAATACAAAAAAATTAGCTGGGCGTGGTGGCGGGCACCTGTAATCCCAGCTACTCGGGAGGGTGAGGCAGAAGAATGGCATGAACCTGGGAGGCAGCGCTTGCAGTGAGCCGAGACCATGCCACCGCACTCCAGCCTGGGCGACAGAGTGAGACTGTCTCAAAAAAAAAAAAAAAAAAAAAAGTCAGTATTTATTTTTACACCCCACACAGGGCTTGCTTCTTTTGGTTACTTTTATACAATAGCTTCTGAAGGATTCCAAATCATCATCTCACATCAACTACATGAAGGCCTTACTCCAAAATTGCAACCATTTTCCTTGCCTTATTTCTTGTACCTGCAAACCCAAAGGCCTATCATTACTAAATCCTCCTTCTGAGAAACACATCACTATGTTTTGTGAGGATGATGGCTACCAATCTCATTACGTGTCTTTCTTACAGAATATCCAAAATTTCAGCACAAGACAAAAAATAAAAATACATCTATACATATAGATACCTTATCAAGCCAATATTTAACCACTTCATTAAAGCAGTGAATGGAAAAAAGTATTTCCCCATGAAAAGTGTTCGCAAGGCTTTATAGTCTACATTTTCGTCTGTATGATAGTTAAAATCATTAACTATAATCAAATACATACATATATAAAGATTTAAAAAGCTACGTACCTAAGATGTGTGTGCTCTACTGATTATAAGCTATGTTTCAATTTAAAAACAGTCAAAGTTTGAAGATAGCAGTGCTGTGTTTCATGGACATTCCACCTTTCCTCTCCCTGACTGTCCTTGTGGCTTCTGTAGCCCTAGTCCTCTCTCCAGTATGCCATGATCCTAATGTCCCTACACTTGCTTCTCCCCCTGCTAGCAGCTCTACACTCTGTGGCAAAGAGCATCAGGACAGGGTCTCTTTACCGGATATTCCCCTTCAGGCAGCAACAGACTGGGAGAGCAGTTAACATCACTGACTTAGAAATAATTTTTTTTTTTTAATTACGGGTTTCTCAGAAATCATGTAGAAGTTGAATGAGTTCAGAGCCAGAACTAGGGCATGGGTCTGCTGATTCCAAGACTCCAATATCTACCACATCTGCATTCTGGTTTATCAGCTCAAGATTCCAGTCTAGTTTCTCAACACTGTGGAATGAAAAACTGCTCAGCCATCAACTTGTAACCAAAGATGACTAATATTTTAGCCAATAAGGATTAAAAGGAGGAAAACGAGCTTAGTTTCCAGGTACTAATATCCTTTTAATAGCCTAAATTTGCAGTAAAGAAAGTACAATAAGCTGGAAATAGCCAACAAACCAAGAGGAACTCATTTCCTACAGAACACATGCACTGTTAATTTTAGGGATTTACCAGAGTTGCACATTTTAAAGTTAAAATGATAGAACCAGAGAACAGAAGCAGAGAGCAGAATAAGTCAACAGTTCACTGATGGTGCAGACTCACATTCAGCACAACCAGACATATTGTAACAGGAAAAAAAAAATCCCTTTAAGTGAAAATAAGGATTTAAGGAAGTTAGAAAAACATGGAGTCAGTTAGGTTTGGTGTGTAGGTTCTGGTCTACTTTTGTAGTCTGTAGTTCCAAAGACAATTGAGTTTTGTAAGCCCCTGTGATGGTAATATGTGTCTGCTTCATTCTTCTAGCTCTGCTGGAGCTCCCACTGGATAGCTTCTGGTGCCACACAGCGGGGTGGAAGGCACATCCTCAGGCTGCACAGTATGATTAGGCCAGTGGGTAGGGGACTGCCAGACCTGAGGGGTGAATAAGAGCATTTCCCGTGGCTTGTTCTACAGTCACCTCACTGGTAAGCTTCTCACTCTATCTCTGCTGGGCCACTGTTGTGGGCAGACTAGGCCTGCTACTGCCACTGGGTAAAATGTCTCATTGGCAAGTCCCTCCTGGGCTTCCCTTTTCCTGATCCTTTGGCCAGAGAGGACAGGGTTTTCTGTTTTTTGTTTTTGTTGCTGTTTATGCCTGTTGGCAATTTCAAGTTGTACTCCACTCCAGTCTGGGATACACGGGGGAAAAACACAAACACGCATACACACCACACCGCCCCAACACACATGCATGGAAATTACTCCAGTCCAGTGTGTTTCAAGTCCTAACGTCCCCTAGCCAGTCCACCCGCTTTCCACCTTTTAGAGTCCTTTAATACCATACAGGATCAGTGAACTTGAAGACAGATCTAAAGAAGTGTTCAATTTCGGCCAGGCGCAGTGGCTCACACCTGTAATCCCAGCATTATGGGAGGCCAAGGCGGGCAGATCACGAGATCAGGAGTTCAAGACCAGCCTGACCAACATGGTGAAACCCCATCTCTACTAAAAATACAAAAATTAGCCAGGTGTGGTGGCGCACGCCTGTAATCCCAGCTACTTGGGAGACTGAGGCAGGAGAATCGCTTGAACCCGGGAGGCGGAGGGTGCAGTGAGCCAAGATCACGCCACTGCACTCCAGCCTGGGTGACAGAGCGAGACTCCATCTCCAAAAAAAAAAAAAAGAATTGTTCAGTCTGAACAGCTGCAGAAAAAGTAGGCTGAAACAAAAAAATGAACAAAGCCTCAGGGACCTCCAGGGCAATAATGAAAAATCTAACATTAGGAGAGGAGAAAAAATGTGACGCTGAGGGAGGATTTGAAAAATTAATACAGGAAAACTTCCCAAATTTGGTGAAAGACATAAACTTACAGAGCGAATTCCAGATAGGATAAACCCAAAGAAATTCATATCAAGACACATCACAAACTTCTGAAAACTAAAGACAAAAAGTCTTAAAAGGAACCAAGAAAAATGACACATTACCTATACTAGAACACCAATTCGAATTGGTGTTCAGTCTGAAACCATGAAAGTGCAAAAGGAGTGGCATATTTCTTAAATGCTGAAATATAAGAACTGAAACATAAGTACTGTCAATTGTGTGGGCCCAGCACGGTAGCTCATGCCTACAACCCCAGCACTTTGGGAGGCCGAGGCGGGAGGGCCACTTGAGCCCAGGAGCTCGAGACCAGCCTGGGCAACACAGTGAGACTACATCACTACAAAAAAATTTTAAAAATTAGCTGGGCATGGTGCTGTGCATATGTAGTTCCAGCTACTCAGGAGGCTGAGGTGGGAGGATTGCTTGAGCCCAGGAGGTCAAGCTGCAGTGAGCCATGATTGTGCCACTCACTGTACTCCTACCTGGGTGACAGAGTGAAACCCTGTCTCATTAAAACAAAAACAAAACAAACAAAAAACAACAGAAAACTGTTAATTATGAATGCTATAACCAGCAAAGCTATCCTTCAAAAAAGAAGGTAACATAAAGGTATTAGCAAATTAAAAATTTTGTCACTACCAAGCCTACGCTTAAAGAAGGTCTAAAGGAGTATCTTCAAAAAGAAAGAAAATAATAAAAGGCAGCTTGGAATTTCATAAAGGAAACAAGAGCAAAGGAAGGGGTAAATATAAGAGACCATCCTTTTCCATCAAGTTTCTTAAATCATACTGACGGTTAAAACAAACTTAACATCTGCTGTGCTCAATGTATGGAAATGAAATAACTTCAGAAAAGTGCATTTTAAAAAACAGAGAAGGCAAAGAGACCTTAATGAAAGTCAGACAAAACCCAACTACATACCGTCTAATAAAACTTATTTCAAACACATCAGTTTTACATAAAAGGTCGTTAAAAGATATATCATGCTAACATTATTTTTTAAAAACAGGTATGGCTATGTTAACACAGATAAGGTAGATTTCAGAGGAAAGAAAATTACTAGAGACAAAGACATTACATAACGATACTTTAAAAATCAATCCATCAATAAAAAAATACTGCTCCTAAAAGTAAATGCACCAAACAACAGAGTTGCAAAATAATAAAACAAAAACTGATAAAGCTAAATTACAGGTGGAGATTTCAACACTTCACTGTCAGCAACTGGTAGAACTAAAAGAAAATTAGCAAAGACAGAAAAGAACTGAACAACAATCAACCAACAGGATCTAAAAGACATCTCCAGAACACTCCACCCTACAACAGAATATTCATTCCCTTTAAGCTACCGTGGACCATGCACCAGGACAGACCATACCCTGGGTCATAAAACAAACCCCAACTATTTTAAAATAATTAAAATTATTCCATTTTCCAACTATAATGCTGGTGAACCTTAAGTTCATATGATTTCCAATCACAATGTAATCAGACTAGAAATCAGTAACAGAAACATAACACAAAAATCTTCAAACACTTCTGTATACCACATGTCTAAACAAATCATTGGCCAAAAAGCAATAGAACAGCAAAAAATACATATACGTAAATAAAAATAAAAACGCAAAATATCAAAAAACAGTTCTGACCGAAACACTTATGTCACAGTGACGCTTATATTAGAAAAGAGGAAATGGTCTCACATTAATAATCTCTGTCCCCTACTTTAAGAAACTAGAAAAAGTAGAGCAAAATAAATTCAAAGCAAGTAGAATGAAAATTATAAAAACAAGAGCAGAAACCAATGAAATTGAAAACAGGAAAATAACAACAACAAAAATCAATGAAATCAAATACTGGTTCTCTGAAAAATAATCAAAACTGAAAAGGCTCTAGCAAGACTGACAAAAAGGTGAAGACACAAAGCACAACCATCAGGAATGAAACAAGGGATAGCTTCATACTATAGCCATTAGAAGATTACTAAGGGCATAGAATGAATAACTTTATGCTCATAAATTTGACAACTTTGAAAATACGGACCAATTCCTCAAAAACCACAAACTACCAAAGCTCAACCAAGATGAAGGAAATGGCCTGCATATACCCATAACCATTAAAGACAGTGAATTTGTGAAGAGAAAGATCTCAGCCGGGCGCAGTGGCTCACGCCTGTAATCCCAGCACTTTGGGAGGCCAAGGCGGGTGGATCACCTGAGGTCAGGAGTTCGAGACCAGCCTTACCAACATGGTGAAAACCCATCTCTACTAAAAATACAAAAAATTAGCTGGGCGTGGTGGCGTGCGCCTGTAGTTCCAGCTACTCAGGAGGCTGAGGTAGGAGAATTGCTTGAACCCGGGAGGCAGAGGTTGCAGTCAGCTGAGATCACGGCATTGCACTTCAGCCTGGGAGACAAGAGTGAAACTCCATCTCAAAAAAAAAAAAAAAAAAAAAAACTAAAAAAGAGAAAGATCTCCAAAAAAGAAATTCCCAGGCCAAAATGGCTTTACTGGAAAATTTTACCAAACATTTTAAAAAGAATTAGGGCCAATTTTACATAATCTAGTTTAAAAAAACAAAGAACATTTCCCAACTCATCTAATGAAGCTAGTGTATTACTCTTGACATCAAAGCTAGACAAAACCATTGCAAAATTTTTTTAAAACTATAGACCACTATTCCTTATTAAGTTAGATGCAAAAACCCTCAAACAAATACCAGCAAACTGAATCTAGTAATATAGAAAAAGGACTACACACCATAAGCAGAATTTATCCGAAATATGCAAGACTGAATCAACATTTGAAAAAAAATTAATGGAATCAAATATACTAATAAATAACAAAATCATATGATCATGTCAATTGATGCAAAAAAAATCATTTGACAAAATCCAACATCTCATCATGATACAAATTCTCACTAAAATAGGAACAAACTGGAACTTCCTTTACTTGACAAAGAGCATCTGCAAAAATCTATACCTTAATGGTGAAAGAATGGTTTTCCCCTAAGACTGGGAAAAGGTGATCCACAACTTTTTTTCAGCACAGTACTAGAAATTCTAAGATACTGCAATAAGGCAAGGAAAATAAAATGCATACAGATCAGGAAGGAAGAATAAAATTGTCCGTATTGGCAAATGATACGATCGTTTACATGGAAAATCCAAAGGAACCTGTGAAAATCATCTAAAACTTCTAGAATAAGTAAGTTCAGCAAGGAAGCAGGATATAAGATTAACACACAAAAATCAATAACATTTCTATATACTAACAATGAACATATGGAAACCAAAAAGTTAAAAACAAGACACTATATACTAACAATGAACATATGGAAACCAAAAAATAAAAAACAAAACACCATTTACAATCACTCTGGAAAGTGAAATACTTGCAATCACTCCGGAAAGTGAAAGCTATGTACAGGATCTATATACTAAAAAATTTTAAATGCTGATTAAAAAAAGAAAACCTAAATAAATGAACATATATAATAGAGTACTTAACACAGGAAAAATGTCAATTCTCCCCAAATTAATATACAGGTTTAATGCAATTCCTATCAATATCTCAGCAACATATTTCATACACACAAACTAGCTTATTCTAAAATTTGCATGCAAAGGTACACACCCTAAAATAGTCAAAACAATCTTGAGAAATAAGGAAAAAGTGACAGAAATTACTTTCCCCAATATTAAGGTAGAGTAAGAGTAAGGGTAGTATTATTCTAGTAATAGAGTACCTGAGAGAGTGTGACATTGCCAAAATGACATGCACAGACTAATGGAATAGAACAGATGACCCAGAAAGAGAGCCACACAAATATGCCCAATTGATTTTGATACAAGTATGAAAATAATCCACTGGAGGAATTTTTTCAATTTTCAATAAATGGTGCTAGAGCAACTGGACATCCACAAGCCAAAAAGTGCCAAATATTTTTGTATCTCGGAACCAACTTGCTAAATGGAAATGTGAAATAGTTACAATGGCCCATCAGATAATTTCTTGATTATACAGAGAACAATTATATTTTTACTCCATTCTTTAACTCATGTGGTATTGATCTCCTATTACTTTGATCAAAGTTTCAGGGTACAAATTAAAATTTCGATTTTTTTTCAAGGAAAGTTTATAAATAACAGGTCATACTCCAAAGTGGTAAAAGAAAAAAAAGACTTAAAGTTTGGAAAATTTTCTTGGGCATAGTAGTAACTGGGGTAAAAAGAGAAAAATTTATGTCAAAGTGAGAATGTGTTATATATATTTAAAAATATTTCTCTTTTTTCATTAAGTAGTGTAAACTAGATTTTTTTTTTACTACTAAACATGACTTTTGTAAATACATGGTCCAAAAATTTTATTCTCTATTAGTCTTTAATAGTTTATTCTCCATCTCTGACATAAATTTTAAGTTAAAAAATTATCCAACAGCGGCTGGGCACGGTGGCTCACGGCTGTAATCCCAGCAGTTTGGGAGGCCGAGGCAGGCAATCACCTGAGGTCAGGAGTTTGAGACCAGCCTGGCCAACATGGTGAAACCCCATCTGTACTAAAAATACAAAAATTAGCCGGTGTGGTGGCATGTGCCTGTAGTCCCAGCTATTCAGGAGGCAGAGGCAGGAGAATAGCTTGAACCCGGGAGGCGGAGGTTGCAGTAAGCCGAGATCGCGCCACTGCACTCCAGGCTGGGCGACAGCGTGAGACTCCGTCTCAAAAAAAAAAAAAAAAGTTATCCTACAGCAATAATTTTTAAAATGAAGTTAAATGTTTGAATAAATGTGAGACTTTGTTCACATTTATTCCAAAAGGAAAAAAATTGAAAGACACCAAATTTGGCAACTTCTAAGCACAATAATGTTTACATAAAAACAAAAAGCAAAGAAACAAAAATTTTGTTGTGCCTGGTACTTAATGATTTACATAAACTAAATTTTAGCATTACTATGAATTTTAGTTTATTATTTTTAAAATTTATTTAGTCACATGTTTTACTTTTGACTACATACATATGAAACAACATTATATATTTTATTTTTCCCCCTCTAGTAACCAGGCACAAATTTTAATGTACTTCTAGTCTGTCCTGGCTTGCTTTGAAATTCAAGGGATACTATTTTGGTGCTGACCACTGACTATAAACAGAAAGTACCAGCTAACTCATAGGATGGGGAGAGGCAAGGTTATTTCATGATCTCATTGTGGGATGAGGCAAACCTAAACTTAAAAAAAGAAACAAGTTACCTCTTCAAGACATTAGTTTAAAAAAAAAAATGTGCTCAAGTGTTAGAACTTCTATTCCAAAGGACAAAAGTTTCCTGTTTTGAAAACATGCGGGAAAGCTTATACCTGCTGGCATGGCTGCCAAGTATGTTGACAAATAATGAAAGTTTCAAAACTAGGCCTCTGAAATACAATTAGCTAATGTCATAGTAGGTGCCTTGATTATTCCAAAAAAAAAAAGATAACTTTTAACTAAAAGCTACTGCACATAACCACAGTGCTAACGGCTAAGGCTGGACCTCCTCAAGGAACTCATACACTGAGATGAGACACAGACGAATAAATCAAGTACTGGGTGCTCCAGGTGCACTGAAACCACCAAATTCAGCCACAAGGGTTTATGGAGTGGTTACGTCTGAAGGAAGAGTCAGGTGAACACGGAGGTTAAGGTAGGGCATTCCTACCAGAAAGCACAACAGTGCAAAGGAATTTGAGGTATGAAAAATCATGGTTCTTTAAGAAGATAAGTCATTTCATAGGTCTGAAATCTGGGGAGCATTGAAGAGAATTAAGAAGAGGCTGGAGAGGGGGGCAGAAGCTGAGCCACCATCCACACCAAACCCTGGAAGTTGTGTGCTATTTTTCCCATTTTCCAGTAATTTGCCCAAGGTCAAACTTCTGGCAAGTGGCAGAGATGAGAGGACAGATCAGGTCTGCATCTCTACAAAGCTCAAGCTCAGGCTGTCTCTCAACGACCTTCCAATACTTAGAATAATCTCCCAACAGGTGCAGCTTCCTGAAGACAGAGAAAGCCCATGGTGAAGTAGAACAGTAACAAACCCTGAAACCAATCATTAAAGTAGCTGTTCTCAAAGTGGAGTTCTTGGACCACTGCATTAAAATGCCTTGGTACTCAGCAAAAGGTAGATTCTGGGCCTACATTCAGACATACTGAATCGCATTCTCTGAGACTGAGCCTGGGAGTCTGCATTTTATGATACCCACAAGCTTTGAAGGCTGGTGATTTAAATGCCTGTTACGCCTAGGGCAAGTGACCAGATTTGAAGGGGCATATGAAGAAAGGAAAGGCTTAATTCAACTTCAGATAAATGGGATCTGAGTTAACAATGAGCTATGCAAGGAAAAATGCTGAAGCAGGCAGTTCCAAGACAGTACTTGAACTTGGGGAAAGGGACACCAACAGAGGGACGAAACTGAAGCTCTCAGCTTTCAAAAATCAAGGAAGAAATGGTAGAGGGCTGAGCTCTGCAACTTATTACGGGCAGAACCTCCCTCCAGCAGCAGTGGAGCACTGACAGTGGAGGTTTATGAGCAAGAGGAACAGAAGAGGGCATGTGTCATGGAAGCCAAGAAAGGGCTCAACAGTGTCAAAGACTATCCCACAGAGAAAAGAAGAGGACAGAGGGGCAGAGACTTGAAAATAAGCCACCAGAGTTGGCCAATTGGAAGCCACTGGTAAGTCTTGAGACAGGTTTCTGAGTGGCAGAGAGAAGCCAGACTCTAAAGTAGATGCCTTGGAAAGTCAAGAAAACAGGAGAAGAGAAAGGAGAAGAAAAGCTCTATCTGAAGACTGAAGTAAAGAAACGTGGGGGGAGACACAAACTGAGGTTACAAGAAGGGAGAAATAGAAGGAGCTGACGCTGGAGGGTCTGTTTCAATGAGCTAAGATACAAGGTCATCTGTGTCTCTGGGGAGGTGGGGAAGAGCTGGACAGGTTTGAAGAACCAACTGCTTCAGCCCCATGGTCAAGGCCTGGAAGAGCCACTGTGGTCCTGACTCTCAAACAGGGAAGTATTTTCTTGGCGCACCTTTTACTGTAGAAAAGGTTAACCTACAGAATAGTTAAAACAACTGTATTTATCAGATTTGTTTCAGCACATTCTCCCTTTCTCTCTCTCTCATATATATGAGAAAAAAATATATATATGTCTGCGTGTGTGTGTGTGTGTGTATCTATATATGGTCAAACCATTTGAAAGCAGGCTACAGACACCACAACACTTCCCAGTAAATACTTTCAGCACAGATCCCTTAAGAACAAAGACATTCTCCTACATAATCACAATTTTATTACCACAGCCAACCATTTTAATACTGACATATAACATTTAAAAAATACAGTCGGTATTTAAGTTTCCACCCCAAAATGTCCTTTATAACCTTTTTTTTCAGTCCAGCATCCAATCAAGGATCATGCATTACAGCATTATATTTGGTTGTCACTTTAGTCTCCTTTAAATTACAACAGTCCCCCTCAAAAGTTTTTGTCTTTCATGACATAATTTTTGGAGAATCAAGACCTAGTGTTTTACAGAATATCCCACAATCTTGATTTGCTTTATTGTTTCCTCATGATTAGATTCAGGGCAAATATTTTTGGTAAGAATAATATAGAAATGACATGCAACCCTAACAAGAGACTGATATTTCAATTTGTCACTACTGGTGATATTAAATTGGATCACTTGCTTAATGTAGTATCCACCAGATCTTTGCATCACAAAGATGTATTTTTCCCTTTGTAATAGATAATTCATAAAAAGAATTTTGAGATAGTACACATATACCCAATAATCTTTACCAATAATTTTTAGCATCCATTGACAATTCCTGCCTGAGTCAATGATTACAGTGGCAGTTGTAAAACGGTAACTTTCTAATTCAATCATTCCTTGTACATTTACTAGAAGGCATTCTTTGGTAATGTCATTTTTATTTCCATCCACCTTCTTCATGTTTAAGTATCACTATGGACTCATATTTTCTTCCAATATAACTGATTACTTTTTTTTTTGATGTTCAAAATGTTCCAAATTTGGCCAATGAGAATCCCTTCAAGCCAGTTTTTGTGTTGTTCTAACTTGTTTCCATTAGTCCTGGAGCACATGTTTGCTTTACGACACAAAATGATCCAGTATCATTTTGCAGTTTTCCTGTCTGAGCCTTAGATGGTTTCACTGGTTAATTCTAACAAATGATGCTAAAACGGCTTAAAAGAAATAAGACTAATTCTATAAAAATGATTCAACATTGTAAGAAAAATCCTTCCCAACTCATTTGATGAGACCAGCATTAATCCAACACCAGAAATAAAAATAGCATACAAAAACTAAAACCAACAGACTTCATTAATGCAGACATAAAAAATGCTTAAAGGTGTTTTACCAAATTGAGTCCAGCAATATGTAAAAATGAGTAATATATAACATCCAAACAGAGTTAATACCAGAAAAGCAAGGATGGTTTACATTTTTAAAAAGTAATGTATTTTACCATATTAACATTCTAAAAAAAGAAAAACTAGTTACTTCACCATCTTAATATAGAGAAAAAGAATTTGATAAAATTCACCAATTCATGATGAAAATTACCAGTAAGCCAATAGAAAGAACTTCCTCAGCGATTATGAACACTTATTAAAAACTTACAACTGACATCGTACTTGATGGTCAAAGACTGAATGTTTCCCCCCAAAATTGGGAACAAGGAAAGGAAGCTGTAAACACTATCTAAAAAAAAAAAAGGTGCTATTAGAACAAGTAAGGTTATAGCACGTAAAGTTAATAACAAATATCAATTACATTTCTATATACAAGCACTGAACAATTGAAAAATAAAATAAAATATAATTTCATTGTATTTGGAAAAAATACAATCGGTTGTATACAGAACAAATATCCAATTGTTTGTATACTTGTATACAATATACAATTGTTGTATATGGAAAAAATACAATTCCCTATACAACAGCCTCCAAAAACATGAGAGATAAATACTGTTTAAAGAAATTAAAAAAGATCTAAATAAAGAGATGAATCTTGTTTGGGATTAAAAACTCCATGTTGTTATATCAATTCTCACCAGTTTGATTAGAGTTAATGTGCTCTCAATCAAAATCTCAGGTTGTTGTTGTTTTCGAAATTGACAAGTCTGAAATTTACATGGAAATGGAAGTAACTAAAACAGCCAAAGCAGTTGCAGTATTCATACTGCCTCCCTTTAAAGACTTACTAAAAGACTGCCGTAACCAAGCTAATACAGAACTGACAAAATGATATGTAAATCAACAGAACAGAATTGAAAATCGAAAAACAGACACGCAAATACATGGTCAACTGAGTTTCAATAAAGGTGCCAAAGCAACTCAATGGAGGAAAATGAAAGTCTTTTCATAAATTGTGCTGCAACAGCTGAATATGCAAATGCACTTTAAAAAGTGAACTTACGGGAAATTGTAGGTCAATATTTTAAAAGTCAACAACAACAAAAAGCATGCTTTTGTGTTCTATTCCCTATTGCAATATGCATTATTTACATATTCCCATTATTTGAATACGCAAATAATGAATATTGACTCCCACCTCCTACCATATATAAAAATTAGCTCAGAATGGATTACAGACCTAAATAAACAGCTAAAACTATAATGTTCTAGAGAAACACACAGGAGAAAATTTTTGTGATCTTGTGGTAGGCAAAAATTCTTACAGGATACAGAATATACACAGACCTGTAAATGAAAAAATTGAAAAACTGTACTTCATTAAAATTTAAAATATTTACTCTCAAAAAACGCTGCTTAAAAAATGAAAAGGCTGCCTGGCGCAGTGGCTCACGCCTGTAATCCCAGCACTTTGGGAGGCCGAGGCAGGTGGATCACAAGGTCAGGAGATTGAGACCATCCTGGCCAACAGGGTGAAACTCCATCTCTACTAAAAATACAAAAAAATTAGCCGGGCGTGGTGGCGGGTGTCTGTAGTCCCAGCTACTTGGGAGGCTGAGGCAGGAGAATGGTGTGAACCCGGGAGGTGGAGCTTGCAGTGAGCTGAGATAGCGCCACTGCACTCCAGCCTGGGCAACAGAGTGAGACTCCGTCTCAAAAAAAAACTATAATGAAATACCACTAAGTACCCACTGAAATGACTGACAACATCAAGTGTTGGGGAAAGACATACTGTAAAATCAACTGGAACTCTCACATCCTGCTGGTAATGGTTTGACAGTTTCTTCTGAAGTTAAACATAATCTTACCATACAACTCATCAATCTACTCCCAGGTATTACTTGCGAGAAATGAAAATATTTGTCCACAAAAAAACTTTTACTTAAACCTTCATAAAAGCTTTAATCATAATAGCCCTAAACTTGAAACAACCCAGAAATCTATTAACAGGTAAAAAACTAAATTGTAGTTTACTTAGCAATAAAAAGAAACAAACATGATAAATGTAACGTGAATTTCAAAAGCATTATGCAAACTGAAACAAGTCAAAACAAAAGACTGCATGTAGTATGATTCCATTTATTTACAATTCTAGACCACGCAGCAGCTACAGAAAGTGACAAAAAGCAGAGCAATAGTTGTTGCCTGAGACCAGTGATGAGGAAAAGGCACTGATTGCTAACAGGCACAGGGGAACTTTCTGAGATGATGGAAATGTCCTACATTAAGATGGTGCCATTTTCACAACTGTATGTTTATGAAACTAATCAAAATGCACACTTCAAACTAGTGAATATTACTGTATGCAAATTATACCTCAATAGAGTTGGCTAAAACATAAAGGAAAGAAAAAGAAAGCTGGCACAAGTTTAGTCATGTTCAACCTTACAGCATTGTTTTAAAGTAGGTTATTACCCTGGGCTCTTAATACCCTGAAGGCACATAGATGTCACCTCATTTCTGTCTTTTATTAATTTCTTGTATGTTAAAAGTGGGAGAAAAGGAGCTTTACTAATTTTTGATAGCTTTTTTGTTTCCTTAAGGTCTCAGGAACCAGTCAGCTTTAAGAATTTTTGAGATTGCAGGCCAGGTATGGTGGCTCATGCCTGTAATCCCAGAATTTTGGGAGGCTGAGGTGAGCAGATCACTGGAGGTCAGAAGTTTGTGACCAGCCTGGCCAACATGGCTAAACCCTGTCTCTACTAAAATTACAAAAATTAGCTGTGCTTAGTGGTGGGCACCTGTAATCCCAGCTACTCAGGAGGCTGAGGCAGGAGAACCGCTTGAACCAGGGAGACGGAGGTTGCAGTAAGCGGAGATCGCGCCACTGCATTCCAGCCTGGGTGACAAGAGTGAAAACTCCATCTCAAAAAATAAATAAATACAATAAGAATTTTTGAGATTGCTAGAATAATTTCCCTTTGTTGTTGTTGTTATATATAAGCTAGAATAATTTTATCTTCACTTATAAATCAGATGTTTATACTACATCACATATTTTTAAAAGTTTTTCTTCTATGCAAATGCATAGTGGTAAATTTTTGCTAAAAGTCTGAAATATCTAGATACAGAATGAATTAATATTTGGAAGAATAAGTTAACTTCTCAAATATAAATGTTTTCCAGAATCCAGTTCTAACAGGCTTACATAAAAGTGGCACAGGTATAGTGTACAGTAATATTCTAATACTCCAACCGACTTCCAAGGAAACTGGCAAATCAAGCATTCACATTCCTGAATGTTCTACTAATAGAATGACAGCAATCCCTACACACTTATTACCACATACAGCTGCAGTTAAAGGTCTTTCTCAAGAAATCTCCTATGTCCCCAGACAAAATAATAATAATAAAGGAGACCACCACCTACAAGGTCAAAAATACTGCTGTAATACAATTTAGGAAATTAGGAGAAATGTTAAGGCATTCTACTTTTATACTGGATTTATTCAAGGCTGGTCTCTAATCTCTGTTTCCTTGCAATTTTGCTCATGTCACTTCCTATTACTGAAAATGATATGCAAGCCACATACCTCCTCTTTAGAGTAAATTCAGTTCCACTGCAAACAAATTGCAGGGAAATACAGTTGGGAAAGAAGTCAATGTTTTCCATAATTTCTTTAAAACAGTCAAATAAATATTACAGAGGAAAGCAAAAATCACATGCAACTAAGAATTGGATCTATTTTTATCATATCAAGCTTGTTAAACACACATTTGAAATATACGTCCTTGACTAAGTCAATTCTACTGCAATCAAGATTTTTCCTTAAACCACCTGTTTACTCCCAGACAGAAAAACACATCGAAACAGAAATAACCCAAGTAAAATGTCTAACCATATCTCCTAAATGCTTTCTACATCCTGACACTGTACTATGCAATCTGCATGCACTATTCTTATTTAATTCCAACAAATCCTGGGAAGGAAGATACTAATCTATAAAACAGAAATAAGTTACCAAGCAGTAAATTAATACACACTATTATCAGCAAACTTTGGGAAAACACTGACTCTTGGTCTTTACAACCTCAGTCTCTTCATCTATAAAATATAGATACAATTCTTTTTTGTGGGAAAGAGAGTTTCTAGGGTGCCAGATGAGTTGGTCTCCCCTGTGTGAGACACCCACTGGGAGCCATGGGCGGCCTCTGAGGAGAAAAGTCTCCTTATTGCCTTCATGTCTTTATGCCCCAAGAGCGTAAGAGCTCCGCGGCATGCCACAGGTTGCTCGGGGAAATAACACTCCCTTGAAACAGTGGAGTATAATCAAACATCTTGGTTCCTCTTGAAACCCACTCCCACCCATTTCAGTCCCGGTAAGTTAAAGATCTTAAGCCGTTTAGACACACGCCTTTGCTTGGGGAAATTCACAGAAACCGCCACTGCTATATATCTTATTGAATGACTGACGAGTTCTCCTTCACCGATTAATTCTTTTCCTCATCGCTTCGTACCCCTCCCATCTACCCTAAGAACAAAGAGCTTGTAAACCAATAAATTGGGTGGAGGCTGAGAGTTCCGGGCTGTGAGCAAGCCTCTGACACTCTGGTCCCCTGGACCCACCTTTTAAACTCTTATTCTGTCTCTTTCTAACTCCTTTGTCTCCGCTGGACTCGGGGTACCCGCCAGGTGGTGTGGGGCTGGTTTCTCCAACATTTTTAAAACAGGCACTACTGCATAGATTACCTGGCACATAATAGCTACCACTTACTACCAAGGGCCACGCTGCTAAGCACCAAGTGGACACCAGGAATGATGAATCTGGATGGCTGTGACAAGCCCCATGGCTGGGCACCAATTCATCTAATCTCACAAACAGCACAGATTACTTAAAAATTTCCTAATGAAATTAGGGAATGTGTAATGAAAATTACTGCTCCTAAAAATCTGAAGAAATTCTCCTGTGAATTTAGATTGTGTAAAATTACCTACTCCTAGACAGGCTAACTTCAAAAGCTATTTTCTACCTTTCTTTTGCCTGCCCATGGAGAAGTGATTTAAATGTAACCCTGAAATTCACATAAAGGTAGAACTAGATGGCATTAGTCAATTTTCCTAGGGTGGCTTTTCCTGCTAGAGCTAAAAATTTGAGTAGAAAAAGAACAGTAATGCAAGGATAATTCAGTAAAAGAGAAAGTAAGCAAAGCCTAGAAACAAAAAAATTGAACAAAAGCAATTTTTTAAAAAAAAACTTAAATTGCAAAATTATCAAATTTATTTGCTATCATTTTGACAGGGGTATATTTTTCCCTTGTCATAAAACAAATTTCTATCATGAATATCTAGTATGTTAGAATAATTACTAGAGCTGACAATGCATACACTGAACATGTAAGCCTCACAGGGTAAATCGGCTGTTCTCTGCTCACTGCAACATAACTTAGCAGTAGTTAAACCAGCAAGGTGTCTGGCATTCGACTCAGACAAAATCTTTCCGGGTGGTTAACAGAGTCTGGAAGGGACAATTTCTCCCTAAATTACCTAATACATTACTTTAAAAGAACCCTTTCCTAATTTTTTAAAATTTCTTCCACTCTTCAAATCTTAATTCTTTGAATGTCTTGATCTTAAAAGTATTTTGAGAAACTAAAGAGAACACAATAAATAAAAGGTATAAACTACTTGAGGCCAGGAATCACCCCTTCTTCATCTCTTAGGTTCCAACGACCAATCCAGTGTCTGACACAGTGGCCCTCAATAAATGTTTGTTGAGCTGACTACATGGATTACCTTCAGACTAAGGAGTTGGTCTGGTCCAACTGAAAATAGCTTCAAGTTGGCTCACCTGGGATTACACAAGTAGTCCAGAGTCAAACATAACATGAATATGCAACAAGAGCTAGCACTAATCCAGCACTTACTACATACCAAGCCCTACAGATGATTCAATACTCACACCAACCCTAGAAGACAGGTATTCCTATTATCCCCATTAAACAAATTAGGAAGCTGACACATGAGGACTAGTTAACTTGCTCAAGGTCACAGTCAAGCCCATATTCCAAGTCAGCAGTCTGTTTACTCTCTACACCACTGAGAAAGGTAGCCAGGCAGGTCCCTCATATAAGATGACAAGACTAATCACTTACGAAGACAAGCCCTTGCTTTGACCAAACTTGTTCCAGGGGTGTTCACAGGTGTGAATTCAACCACACCTGCCCACCACCTAAAACAAACAAACAAACAAACAAACAAACGGCACACTTCTTAGATGGGGGCGGTGAGTCAGATGGAACTTATGGAGTATTGTTTTGACTCACCATAAAAGGGAGTTACTCAGATCCAGACCTAATGCCCCATTAGAACTGTCCTCTCTAATTTCATAAGCTGACTGATACACAGGTCTGTGTATACAGTCAACCTAGCTCTCTCCTGTGGCACACACATATTAATATGTACCTTTAATCTTACACTGTAATTGTTTATGCCTGTCTCTAACAAAAAAATTCTTGGAAGCTAATTACTATCTTACTCATAAACATATCCAAGGACCCAGCAGTGTACTGAAAAATATACTGGTTGCATGAAAGATGCACACTGACAGAAAACAGGAAGTGTAACATAAAACAGTACAGTGTGTAAATTTATTCATATGTGACTACAAAATGAAATGTTTATTTATTTAAATTCCCTGGGTACAGACAAATTGTCAGAAAGGAAAGAGAAAAAAAAAAGAGTATAAAGATCACATGGAAATAAGAAATTTAATAAGTAACAAACTGCTTATAATAAAAAACTGTATACTCAACTAATTCGAACGGTGCAATGGAAAATTTTTCAAGAGGGTTGATAGTGGGGGGAGAGAAGATGAAGCTAAATAGATTAAGCATCCTCAAACCAAAAGTTTAACCTCTTCAACATTCCACAGAATACTTTTATTCCCACTTAGTCTAAGAGGAAACAGACTCTCAGGGATAAGTAACTTGTACAAGGTCACAGAGCTAGTAAGCACTAGAGCCTCGATGCTCTTCTTATCATACCATGTTGTCTTCCCATGTAACACATCCTGTTGGGATGTCTTACGCCACTTTTTTTAGGTTGTTTTTTTTTTTGGAGAGGTTTTTTAAGGTGGGAGGCACAGAAGAAAAATCTCAGAACTCTGAGACACAGACACATAACAAGGCTATAATGTCTTACTGCCTAAGACCTCAAAATGAGTTACTTATTCTAAGTAATGCCCTAGTACACTAAGTCCTGTCCCCAGCACCCGACCTATCCTGGCAACCACTTATAACTCAGCATCCATCTGTAGGCCTGTTCACTCCACCACACTGAAAGCTCTTGCAAAGCCAGAATTGTGTCATTATCTTTCTACACCCAGCCTAAGACATGGCACCTACTGAATAAAAATTAACGAATTAATTTGCTGGTGTTCTGTCTAGCCTAGTGACCAGATAAGAACCGAGGAGTGACTACCAGATAAGGGCGCAGAGGGTCTATGTTTCCTTTATTATATATATATTATATATTATGTATATCTCAATGTGGTGTTTTAATATTTTAAGTGTTAACACTTTGAGACACCAACATGAACTTCGGACGTAAACATGGGAATAGTCATGAACCTGCCTGTCAGTGTGTAATTCAACTTTCAACTGAATTGAGACTTACTGAGCACTTGCTGTGTACCACACACATTTCAGACAACACAGTGGGCACTCCTATCTCCCTGCAGTAGGGTCTCGGAAAATGAGTTCTCCCTTTGGAGGGGCAATGTTCAGACAAAAACATAAGTTTCAGGAAGTATGCCAAGCAGTGCTGACATGTTTGTAGGGAAGCCTGCACAAAGCAAGAGTGACTCCCAACATCTCCCACTCATCTGTGCGTAGTGAAGACGAGACCTGGCAAGTTTCCTGGCTCCCATTATCCAGAAGATTATACTCCTTCCCCAACTTCTCATTTGAACCAGTTTGCTAAGGCACATCCTTCCCATCAGAATAAGGATATCGGGCAGGCGCACTGGTTCTTGCCTGTAATCCCAGCACCTTGGGAGGCCAAAGTGGGAGGATGGTTAGAGGTCTGGAGTTCGAGACCAGCCTGGGCAACAGAGTGAAACCTCATCTCTACTAAAGAAAAAAAAAAATTAGCTGGGCCTGGAGGCGCACCTCTAGTCTTAGCTACTTGGGAGGCTAAGATGGGAGGATCACATGAGCCTAGGAGATCGAGGCTGCAGTGAGCCATAATTGTGCCACTCACTGCACTTGAGTATGGGTGACAGAGACAGACTCTGTTTCAAAAAAAAAAAAAGGAAAAGGATATGACAACATTTATGTTAGTTAATTCAGCTGACAAACTAACTCATTTAAGAGCAATTTGTTGATGTATTATGACCACTAGACATGTATAAATTAAGCCTTTTATCTTCAATTGTACAAAAGAGAAGTTACCCTGTACACAGTACATATCATAAGGCCAGCCGCCTAATGATAGGGGCAGGGTAAGGGTGTGTGTGCTTAGACAGACAATTGTTGCTTTAATCACCAGTTTCTTCCAGGCCCTCCACCAAGCTCCCCATGTTTGGGCCCTTCTGCCCCAACACCTCCTTCCCTGACAACTCCCCTCCATTAGTCTGTTACTTCTTTCCTTCTCTAACTCTCTGGCTGCAGACACCTAACTGCCTGTATTATTTATGTTTTCCAAAATATTTCCTTTTCAGATGCTAATTAATGACACCTGCAGGTCTTCTTGGCTATCTAAGAATGATGTATCTTTCTGTGCTAACATTTGTCTTCCCAGGCTACTATTCTAAGGCCTTAGAGTACTTATTCTGCTATGAGTCAAAAACATATCTACACACTATTTGGTGAAGATTATTCCATACATCACTGTACACAAACTGCTCAAATAAAACAAGTTGATGCAATAAAAATCTGCAGGAATAGAACTATGAAACTGAAAGCCACGCATATTCTCCTACAAGTAGCTGATATCTAACCACATGCTCTTACTTTATTAATAAGCAGTGTTTCATACAACACTGGACTTTCTGATGTTACTGTAAAAAATGCAAAATCATCCACTTATCTAAATGTTACTCAGTGCCTTTCACAACGATCTGTCTGATGTGGAGTTGTTCAGGGTCCCAGGAAGGTCAAAGTTAGTCTACCTCTGTGAACCAAGACCCTGGCAACATTCCATTCCATTCCATTCTCCTTGTTGATGAAGAATGACTGTTATAGTACTGCTGAAACACAGAAATGTTTCCAGAAACGTGCTATTGTGAGCCCTAAGTACAAAGCATGAGACACATCTTAAGGTGTATCCACTTGGGAAAATCTGTTTTTCTACTGGAACCAGCATGGATACTGAAACGGAATGCAAAATTTGAATAAATAAAACACAGTACCTTAAAGAAATGGCTACCTCTTTTGGGGATGGCCTTAGACTCCCCTTGGCCCCAAGGAACTGCTCAGTAGGGAGCATAAGGGTATCAAGGCTGATCCAAGAGACAAATGCTCCATGCCTGGTTTCTTTCACTGGAGGCAAGGTGCGGGAGGAGGTAAATAGAGACATAGGCCAAAAGAAACAGTACAGAGAGAGGAGACAAAAGATAGCACGCCTAATCTGCAAACATATCTGAAAACTAACATTTCAAGACCTATGGCAAAGTGCCTAGCAACTCTATTAAGCATGTTTATGCCCACTGTACAGTTGAGAAAGGTCCACAAATAATTTGCCCAAGGACACACACAACAAGTAAATGATAAACCAATACGTGAAGAAAAGCCATCCATTTGCAAAGCCTTGACCTCATCTATTCACCACTCACTCCAGGCACAAACCAGCCTGGTGGAAGAGCAGGTGCTCTGCTGACTGGGCTTCTGGTCCCAGGATTGTGGCCAGAGAAGAGTAACCATCTGGGCCTATTCCTGAAGCAAGGACAAAGTGCTGAGTGCTATGGCCAACTTCTGGTGGTCTGCCATGCTGGACATATCTCATTCACTTTTACCCAGGAGTGTGCAAGTAGAAGCAAGCAGAACGCAGCAGAAGAGAAGGTATTACAAATACCTGCTGGCTTGACTATGTGCTCTGGAACTGGCTCTACTGACCTACTGACACTCAACCATTCTTGGACAAATAAAAGCCGGGTTTGTTTTTAATGTAGCCTATGGTGGGGGGAGTATAAAGAATGATTAAAATTATTATTCACCTTGCACATTAACTTCTGGCTTAAATAAACTACTACTTTAGAATTCTATCAATAATTATTTAAACATATGAAGAAGATGGGAGTCAAATACAATATGAAGACAGTTATGGAAGCAAAAGTGCTAACTTCAGCTCAGAGCTGCTATACATAAATTATTCCATCAAATCAGGTATACATAACCCTTTACAAAGGGCACTGGGTAAAGGTCAGGGAGAAAATCCTGGGCTTTTTCAGAGATCACTGAAATTGCTGACAATGTGGGGGATGACACACTGAAGTCCTGACAGGAAAATAGCACACAAGGAGGTGTTCCACGTGACAAAAGCAACAAAGAACATAAGGCATTAGCTGTGATAAGTGGAGGAAGGGGGGAAAATATACCATTCTTCAATTTTAAAAGAAAAAAAATACTGAAATATAAGACAGTTGATACTGATCTAAAATTACATTTGTGGCTATCAATCAATTTCCCAAGCTTGAAAGTTTCTATACGTTGCCAAATGCAATGGGCTGAGAAATTCTCAAATCAAAACTTTGTGAAATAATCCATAAAGTTTTCTGAATCATACCTGAAATTAAAATAAGCTACTTCTAAATGCTATGTATGACAGACAGGCTATATATAACCAACACATTTTTAAAGTATAGGTTTGTAGTCTCATTGTTTCTAATAATGTCTTACTGTGTGTAGGTTAAAAAGAAAATCCTAATTAGCTGGGCATGGTGGTGCATGCCTATAGTCCCAGCTACTCAGGGGGCTGAGGCAGGAGGATTGCTTGAGCCCCAGAGGTCGAGGCTGCAGTGAGCTGCCATCACACCACTACATTCCAGCCTGGGTGACAGAGCAAGACCCTGTCTTAAAAAAATAAGCAAAATAAAATAAAATCCTATATAGACAATTCTTCACTGTCATCAAAAGAAAGGAGCGGGCACAGTGGCTCACACCTATAATCCCAGCACTTTGAGAGGCCAAGCTGGGTGGATCACTTGAGGTCAGGAGTTTGAGACCAGCATGGCCAACATGGTGAAACCCCATCTCTACTAAAACTACAAAAATTAGCCGGGAGTGGTGCCACATGCCTGTAATCCCAGCTACTCGGGAGGCTGAGGCAGGAGAATCCCTTGAACCTGGGAGGTGAAGGCTGCAGTGAGCCGAGATCTGCCATTTCAGAAACAGAAACACAAGGTCAGAAACAGTGCCTATTTCTGCCAACTGGAAAAATCCAGAACTCATGACATACCAGAGAGACTGCTCAGGAGGGCCTTACCTCAGCTGTGGGGAATAATCAGTCCAAAACTGAACAATGTTCCAGGCCCACCTAACACATCTTAAAAGCAAGACCCCCCAGAAACTGCACTACTCCCACCTGGGTGACAGAATGAGATCCCCTGTTAAAAAAGAAAGAAAAGAAAAAGGAAAGAAAGGAAAGAAAGGGGAGGGAGGGAGGGAGGGGAGGGAGGGAAGGCGGGCGGGAGGGAGGGAAGGCGGGCAGGCAGGCGGGCAGGCAGGCAGGCAGGCAGGCAGTCTTAGGCAGAGACCATTCTAAAAACCATCAATCTGTGGTGGGCAAAATAATAGTCATCAGCCCACTCCAAGACGCCCACATCCTAACCTCGGGATCTTGTGAATATGCCAAATCACATGGCAAAGGGGAATTAAGCTCCCAGATGCAATTAAGGCTCTAATCAGCTGATGTTAAAATAGGGAGGTTATTCTGGGTTACCTAGGTGGGCCCAATGTCCTTAAAAGTGGAAGAGGGAGGCAGAAGAGGGTGACCCAGAGAGAAGGCACATAAGGAGGACTCGGCCCAATGCTGCTGGCTTTGAAGGCAGGGGAAGGGGCTACAAGCCAAGGAATGTAGGTGGCCTCTAGAAGCTGGAAAACTCAAGCCAACAAATTCTCCCCTAGGGCCTTCAGAAAGAAATACAGTCCTACAAACACATATTAAAAAAAATCTTTTTTAATTTTGTGGGTATAGAGTAGGGGCCTACAAACATCTTGATTTTAGCCTGTGAGACTCACTACATACGGACTTCTGATCTCCAGAACCATAAAATAATAAAGTTGTGTTGTTTTTAAGCCACTAAATTTGTGGTTATTTGTTACAGTAACAGCAAAGGGAAACTAATACACCATACTATCTCACATTAATTACCAAAAATTTTCTGTACCAAGAGGTTTAGGAATAACATCTGAAAATAACAATGCCAGTTACACTGTAGAATAATAACTGATGCAGACATATGAACTTCTACTTCTGGGCATGATGTACCCTCCCATCCTGAAGCAACCAGAAACTCACACGAACTGCATTAATTAAATGATCATTTTCAGACCCTAAACATCAGTCAACGAAGGACATGGGAAACAAACAAGGTAAGCCCTATGATTGGCCCAGCTTACTGCCTCAAGGGAGTTACTAGGCCACAGTGCAGGGAGGGGAAACAGTGGTAGAGCTTGGTGGATTTTCCAAATTGATGAGACAAAGCTGAGAGTCCGAGGAAACCAAGGCAATTAGAGTTCATAGAAAAGAATACCAAAATGGAGTGAGCTGCATAGAGAACCCTGGAGAACTACAGAGGGTCCCCATTGAGTCCTCGGTGAAGTACTGATCAGTGCATTTGTGTGAGGTAACTCCCCAACGCTGGGGAAGGAACCATCCAAAAGGATTAGAGGAACAATGCCCACCATTCAAACAGGGTCAGAAACAGTACCTATTTATACCAACTGGAAAAAAATCCAGAACTCATGACATACTGGACAGAGTGCTCAGGAGGGCCTTACCTCAGCTGTGGGGAATAATCAGTCCAAAACTGAACAATGTTCCAGACCCACTTAACACATCTTAAAAGCAAGACATCCCAGAATATCAAACTGTCAAGTAACTTAACTGCATCTTAAAACAAAGCTCAAGAATATTTATGGGAATACAAAAATAGCAGCACCCAACAACGTAAAATTTGCAATATCTGGCATCCAATCAAAGATTATCAGGCACACACAAGAGACAGAAAAACATGACCCAATACGAGAATAATCCATTGAAACCAACCTAGAACTGGCACAGAAGTTAGCAGACAAGACAATAAAACAGGTATTATAAATGTGTTCCATATGTTCAAAAAGTTAAGTAGAGAGATGGAAGATACAAAGACAAATTATACTTCCAGAGATGAAACCACAATTTGTGAGATGAAAAAAATGTGATGGATGGGATTAAGGGTGGATTAGACATGCAAAAGAAAAAATTAGGGAACTTGAAGGCATAGCAGTAGACCCATCCAAAATGGAACACGCAGGAAAAGATCTAAAAAACCTAAACAGTGCAATGTGCTGTGGGATCAACTTCAAGCTGTCTAATGCCTGCAGAACTGGAATCCTCAAAATGGGGTTGGGAGGAGGAGGAGGAGGAGGAGGACAGGAAAAATGTTTAAAGAAATAGTAAGCAAAAATGTCCCAAACTTAATGAAAACTATAAATCCAGAGATCCAAGAAGCTCAACAAACCCTGAGCTCAACAAACATGAAAAAAACTACACCAAGAGATAATCAAATTATTTCAAACCAGATTTACAAAAAAAATCTTAAAAGTATCAAGAGAAAAAAAAAGACATGTTATATACAGAGGAACAAAGATAAGGATGACATCAAATTTCTTCTGGAAAACAATGCAAGTGGGAAGACAGTATCTCTTTAAAGACTAAAAGAAAAAGAAAAAAAAAAACATGTCGACCTGTAATTCTATAGCAAATAAAAGTATCTGAGAACAAAGGCAAAATGAAGACATTTTCAGAGATATAAAACCTGAAAGAATTCATTACTAGCAGATCCACACTACAAAAAAATCCTTCAGGCAGAAGGAAATGATACCAGGTGGAATACAGATATGTGTTTCTCAATAATTGATGAATAAAGCAGGCAAAAAATCAGCAAGAAAATGGTGAACTTGAACAGCACTACAACCAACCTGACTGACATTGACAGAGTACTCCAACAACAGCAGAAGACATATTCTTCTCAAATGCACACATTCACCAAGATAGCCTATATTCAAAGTCACAAAACAAGTCTCAAAAGAACTAATGTCATACCAAGTATGGTCTCTGGCCAGAATGGAATTAAATTATGTATCAATAACAAAAAGATCTTTGATAAATACCCAAAGACCTCAAATCAAAAACCTCAGTATCCACCTTAAGAAACTAGAAAATAAAGGAAAAATTACACTCTAAGTAAGCAAAGAAAAAAAAAAGAGAAATAAAATTCAAGTGAAAAAGTCAATGAAACAGAAAAAGTGAGACAAATACAAACATATACAGAGAATAATAAAGCCAAAAGATGCTTTTTGTGAGATTAAAATTAATAAACTTGTAGCCAGTCTGATCAAGAAAAAAACGACAGAAAACACAAATTATAAGTTTCAGGAATAAGAGAAGTGTCATCATTACAGTTGCTACAAATATTCAAAAGATAGTAAGGGAACATTATGAACAACTTTGCCAATTAATTTGACAACTTAGATGAAATGAACAAATTCTTTGAAAGATATTAATTACCAAAGTTCACTCAGGAAGAAATAGATAACCTGAAGAGCCCTGCTTCTTAAAAATTGAAATTGTGGTTAAAAAAATCCCCATAAAGTAAACTCCAAGCCTAGATGGCTTCAATGGTAATTCTTACCACATATTTATGGAAGAAATAACACCAGTTTTATACAGATTCTTCCAAAAAATTAAAAAGGAAAAACACATCTCAACTGATTTTATGAGACCAGCATTACTCTAATACTGAAAGGGAAGGTATTACAAGAAAAAAAAAAAAAAAGACCAATATTCCTAATGACCAAAGATACAAAAATTCTAAGTCTTAGCAAACAAACAAACAAACAAAACTTTAAAATAAATTGCATAATACCTATCATGACCAAGAAAAAAATGCAAGGTTAGTCATTCATCATGTTAACCAAAAAAATCCATGATACAGACAAGGCATTTGATAAATATCCATTCCTGTTAAAAACTCTCTTCAAACAAGACATAAAAGAACCTCCTCAACCTGGGAAAGGGCATCTATGAAAAACCTATGGCTAACAGCATACTTAATGGTGGAAGACTGAATGCTTCCCCCCTAAGATTATGAACAAGACAGAGATGTCCACTTTTACTACTTCTATTCAACATTGCACTGGAGGTCATAAGCAGTACAATCAGGTAAGCAAAACAGAAGGTATCCAGACTGGAAAAAAACGTATTTGCAGACATGATCATCTACGTAAAAAGTCCAATGCAATCTACAGAAAAGCTATTAGAACTATTAAGTCAGTTTAGCAAGATTACAGAATACAAGATCAACATAAAATTTACTTCTATATACTAGCAATGAACCAGAAATTGAGATTTTAAAAAAATATCATTTATTAATAAACTAGTATCAAAAATATGAAATACTTAGAGATAAATATGACAAAAGATACTTTAAAAATTTTATACTGAAAACTACATTAAAGACCTAAATAAATGGTGAAAATATCCCTGTTCATGTGTCAGAAAACTAAATACTGTTAAGAAGTCAGTTCCCCCCACAAATTCATCTATAGATTCAACACAGTCCCAATCAATACCCAAGAAGGCTCTGTTGTACAAATTGATAAGCTGATTCTAAAATTCATAATGAAATGTGAAGGATCTTGAATAGGCAAAACTCTGAAACAGAACAAAGTTGGTGAACTGACACTGTTTCGGTAACTATAATACAGCTGCAGTCAAGACAGTGTGGTACTGGCATCAAGGCAGAAAAATAGATTAACAGAACAAAAGAGAGACAGACAACCAGAAATAAACTCACACATGTACATGCAATTGCTTTTCAACAAGTACAAGCACAATACAGTGGGAAAAGGGTAGTAGTCTTTTTAATTGACTTTTTAATAGACACTAGAAGAACTGGTTATTTATATGCAAAAAAAAAAAAAAAAAAGAACTTGGGTACAAAACTCATATCATATGTAAAATGAACTCAAAATCAATCACAGATCTAAATGAAAGACCTACCACTATAAAACTTCCAGAAAAGAATACAGGAGAAAATCTTTGTGACCTTGCATTAGGCAGAGATTTCTTAGATACGATACCAAAAACATGATCTATAAAAGAGCAAATTGGTAAAGTTGATTCAATCAATTAAAAACTTCTGCTCTTCAAAAGACTGTTATGAGAATAAAAACACAAACCTCAGACTTGGAAGGAATCCTTGTAAATATGTATCTCCAGAATACTGGTACCCAGAACATATAAAGAACTCTCAAATCTCAAAAATAAGAAAATAGCCTAATAAAACATGGGCAAAAGATGTGAAAAGACACTTTACCAAATGAGATATATGGATGGCAAATAAGCACATGAAAAGATGCTCAACATCATTATTCACCAGAGAAATACAATTAAAATTACAATGAAATGCAGGAATGCCTCAGAGATATTGCCAGGTTTGGTTCCAGACCACCACAATAAAACCTATATCACACAATAAAGCAAGTCAGGTAAGTTTTCTTGATTTCCCAGTGCTTATAAAAGCTACATTTACACTGTATTGTAATCTATTAAGAGCGCAATAGCATTGTATCTAAGAAAGTATATATCTTAACTTAAAAATACTTTATTGCTAAAAAATCCTAACAATTATCTGAACCTTCAGCAAGTCATAATCTTTTGGCTAGTGGAGAGTCTTGCCTCAAGGTTGATCAGGATCAGGATAATGGTTGCTGAAGGGTGGGGTGGCTGTGGCAATTTCTTGAAACAGCAATGGGCCAGGCGTGGTGGCTCATGCCTATAATCCCAGCACTTTGGGAGGCAGAGGCAGGCGGATCATGAGGTCAGGAGTTCGAGACCAACCTGGCCAACATAGTGAAACCCCCGTCTCTATTAAAAATACAAAAATTAGCCAGGTGTGGTGGGGGGCGCCTGCAATCCCAGCTACTCGGGAGGTCATGGCAGAAGAACTGCTTGAACCCGGGAGGTGGAGGTTGCAGTGAGCCGAGACTGCGCCACTGCACTCCAGCCTGGGTGACAGAGCAAGACTCGGTCTTGGGGAAAAAAATAATAATAAATAATAATAATAAAAAACAGCAATGAAGTTTGCTGCCATTTCATGAAAGATTTCTCTGTAGCATGCAATGCTGTTTGACAGCATTTTACCCACAGAAGAACTTATTTCAAAACTGGAGTCAATCTTCTCTAACCCTGCTACTACTTTATCGACTAAGTTGATAATACCCTGAATCCTTTGCTGCCATTTCAACAATGTTCACAGCATCTTCACCAGGAGCAGATTTCATCTCAAGAAATCACTTCATCTATAAGAAGCAACTCTTCATTTGTTCAAGTTTTATCGTAACACTGCAGCAATTCAGTTACATCTTCAGGATGCCAGCCACTCTGTTGCCCAGGCTGGAGTGCTTACTGCAGCCTTGACTTCCTGGGCTCTAACAATCCTCCCACCACAGCCTCCTGAGTAGCTGGGACAACAGGTGAGAGCCACCACACCTAGCTAATTTTTGTAGTTTTTGTAGAGACAGGGTTTTGCCACAGTGCTCAGGAGGTCCTTGAACTCCTGGGCTCCATATTCCTCCCGCCTAGGCCTCTGAAAGGGCTACCATACCCAGCCCAAGCTTCACTTCTAATCCTAGTTCTCTTGCTATTTCCACTGTATCTGCAGTCACTTCCTCTACTGACATCTTGAACTCCTCAAAGTCATCCATGAAGGTTGGAAGCAACTTCTTCCAAACTCTTGTTGATATTCTGACCTCCTCCTATGAATCACAAATATTCTTAATGGCATCTAGAATGGCAAATCCTTTCCAGGAGGTTTTCAATGGACTTTGCCCAGATCCAACTGAGGACTCAGTCTCTGTGGCAGCTATAGCCTTAAAAAATGTATTTTTAAAATAAGACATGAAACTTGAAATTACTTCTTGATCCTTGGCTGCAGAATGGATGCTGTGTTAGCAGGCACGAAAACAACATGCAGCTCCTTGTACATCTCCATCAGTGCTCCTGGGTGACCAGTTGCCTTTTTAACAAGCAGTAATATTTGGAAAGTAATATTTTTTCCGAGCAGTAGGTCTCAACAGTGGGCTTAAAATATTCAGTAAACCACATTATAAACAGATGTGCTGTCATTCAGGCTTTCTTGTTCCAGTTATAAAGCACAGGCAGAGTAGATTTAGCATAATTCTTAAGGTCCCTAGAATTTTTTCAGCATGACAGATGAGCATTGGCTTCAACTTAAAGTTACCAGCTTCATTAGTTCCTAACAAGAGAGTCAGCCTGTCCTTCGAAGCTTTGACGCTAGGCACTGACTTCTCCTCTCTAGCTATGAGAGACCAAGATGGCATCTTCCAAAAGAAGGCTGTTTCATCTACATGGAAAATCTGTTGTTTAGCGTGGCCACGTTTATCAATGATCTTAGCCAGATCTTCTGGAAAACTTGCTGCAACTTGTACATCGGCACTTAACCACTTCACCTTGCACTTTATGTGATGAAACTGTCTTCTTTCCTTAAGCCTCATGAACCAACCTCTCCTGGCTGCCAACTGTTCTTCTGCAGCTTCTTCCCCTCTCTCAGTCTTCATAGAACTGAAGAGAAGAGAGGGGCCTTGCTCTGGATTAAACTCTGACCTAATAGAATGCTTGTGGCTGGTCTGATCTTCTATCCTGAACACTAAAGCTTACTCCTATCAGCAATAAGGCTGTTTTGCTTTCTTATCATTCATTTGTTCACCAGAGTAGCACTTTTAACTTCCTTAAAGAACTTCTCCTTTGCATTCACAACTTGGCTGTTTGGTACGAGAGGCCTAGCTTTTGGCCTTTCTCAGCTTTGACATGCTCTCCTCGCTAAGCTTAATCATATCTAGCTTTTGATTTATAAGGGAGAGGTGTGACTCTTCCTTTCACTTGAACACTTAGATGCTATTTAGTACTACTAATTGTCCTAATTTCAATATTGTTGTCTCAGAGAAAACGACAGCCTGAGGAGGGGCGAGAAGTGGGGGAACAGCCAGTTGGAGCAGTCAGAACACAGGCATTTATCAGTTAAGCCTGCAGTGTCATATGGGTGTGGTTTGTGGGCATCCCAAAACAATTACACAATCACATCAAAGATCACTGATTGCAGATTACCATTACAGATTTAATACTGAAAAAGCCTGAAATATTGTGAGACTTACCAAAATGTGACATAAAAATAGAAGTGAGCATATGCTATTGGAAAAATGGTGCTAATAGATTTGTGTCAGGCAGGATTGCCACAAACCTTCCATTTGTAAACAGCATATTGGCTGTGAAGGAGGCAAAGTGCAATAAAATGAGAAATGCCTGTACCACTACACACCTGTTAAGATGGCTAAAATTAAAGGACTGACCATACCAAGCACTGGCAAGCATATGGAGGAAATGGAACTCTCATACACTTCTTATGGGAATATAAAATGGTACAGCCGCTTTGGAAAACAGGTTAGCAGTTTCTTAAACATACAGCTACCATAGGATCCAGACATTCCACTCATATGTACTTACCTGAGAGAAAATAAAATACATGTGCATACAAAGACTTACACATGAATGTTCAAAGCGGCTTTATTTATAACAGCCCCAAACTGCAAACAACCCAAAATTTCAACAGATGAACAAATAAATCATGGTATATTCATACAACAGAATACTACTCAACATTAGAGACTAACTATCAAGACACACAAGTTGGAAGAATCTCAAGTGTCTTGTGCTGAGTAAAATAAACCAGTCTTAAAACCATACAATCTCAAATTATACACACTAATTTCATTTATATGACATTCTCAAAAAGAGAAAATTACAGTGACACATAACAGATCAGTGGTTGACAAGAGTCAGAAGTGGACTATATGGAGATAGCACAGGTTTTGGAGGGTAATGAAAATGTTCTGTATCCTGACTATGGTAGTGGTTATTCAAATCTATACATGTGCTGAAACTCACAGAACTACACACCAAAAAAAAAAAAAAAAAAAAAAAAAAAAAAAAAAAAAAAGTTTAAAAATCTGTTAAGGTAGCTATCCACACACATACACTCTTTATAACCTTGCTGCTTTCATTTATCAATATACTTTGGAAATCACTAAAAAGCATATTCTAGAGGTTTTCCTCATTCTTTTTTAAGGTGCATAATGATCCATTATGTGGATGTAACAATTTATTCAACTATATAGGGGCATTTAGGTCATTTCCAATAGTTTTCATTCACAAATCATCATGCTATGAATAACCTTATATATATGTATTTGTATTGTTAAAACAGCCAATTCCTAAAAATGAGATTGCTAGGTGAAAACCGTAACATATATGTAATTTTGTTAGACACTGTGCCAAACTTCTTTCCATTAAGGTTGTATCTTTTTTGCATTCCAACTAACAAGGTGTGAGAACACGTGCTTTCCTGCAGTCTCATCGAAAGTGTTGTGAAGCTTTTAGAACTTTGCCACCCAAATAAGTGAGAAATGGTATCTCATTTAGGTTTTTTCCCCCTTAGATGAAAAGCCTATCAATTTTTAATAAAACTTGTTTAATAACAGCTCCCATTTTAAGTATATAATGCATAGTTTTCAGTGTATTCAGAGTTGTTCAACCACCATCCCAAAGAAAAACCCTTGTACCCATCATCAGTCACTCCCTACACTGCTCTCCATAGTTCTAGACAACCATGTTATCTATTTTGTCTCTGTGGATTTGCCTATTCTGGACATTTCATATAAATGGCTTCTATGGTCTTATATGGTCTTTTGTGAGTGGCTTTGTTCACTTATCACAATGTTTTCAAGGTTCACCTGTGTTGTAACAAGCATTCATAATAATACTTCACTCATTTCTATGGCTGAATAATATTCCATTTGATCTATTCTTCAAACATTTCAGTTGTTTCCACTTTTTGGCTACTATAAATAATGCTGCTATGAATGTTCCTGCACAAGTTTTTATGTGCAAGTTTTTGTGTTTTCGTTTCTTTGGAGTATATACTAAGGAGCATAACTGTGGGTCATACAGTAACTCCGTATTTTCAGGACCTACCAAACTGTTTTCCAAAGCAGCTGCACCATCTTATGTTACCCATAAAGCAACAAGACATTCCAATGTCTCCGCACCCTTGCCAACATTTATTATCCATCTGTTTGATCGTAGCCATATTGGTGGGTGTGAAATGGAATCTCATTTTGGTTTTCATTTGTATTTCTCTGATAGCTAATGATGTAGAGCATCTTTTCATACGTTTATTATATATCTTTATTAGGAGAAATGCCTATTCAGATCCCCTGCCCATTTTTTAATTGCACTGTCTGTTGTAACTGAGGTTATGAGTTCTTTATACATTCTAGATACATATCCCTTTATCAGATACATGATTTGCGAAAATTTTTCTTCCATTCTGTGGGTTTTCTGCTTTCTTTATAGGGCTTTTTAAAGCACAAAACTTTCAAATTTTGATGTCTACTTTATCTATTTTCTCCCCTTTTGTTGTTTGTGCTTTTGGTGTCACATCTATCAAGAAAGCTCATTAGAAACTCAATGTCTGTGGTAGGCTGAATAATGACTCCCCAAAATGTCCATGTCCTAATCCCAGGAAGCTGTGAATGTTACCTTACATGGCAAAAGGAATTTTGTAGATGTGATTAAATTAAGGATTTTGAGATGGGGAGATTATCCCAGATTAGTCAGATGGGCCAAATATATTAATAATCACACTCAGAGGAACAGAATGTGATATGCAAGATGTTTGGATTAGGAAAAGGGTGATGTCAGAGGCCATGAACCAAGGAATTCAGGAAGCCTCTAGAAGCTAAAAAAGACAGAAAAAGATTCTCCCCTGAAGCCTACAGAAAGAGCACAGCCCCAACACCCTTGTTGGAGGCCACACAAATGTTTCTTGTAATTAGGTACAACTGAAGCCTGTTAGTAATAATATGAACCTGTGATCAATTAAGCAGCCAACCAATCGTTACCTCCTCCTCCATGCTCTTGTTACCCAATAAATACAAAAGGGCTGTAGAAGCTCAGGGGTTGCCTTTGCTCACTAGAAGCAGGGAGCCCTTTCATTCTTTTCTTCTCTCTTCTTCTTCCCCATGCTAGCCTTTCCTTAAAAATTACTTTTGTTTTTTGTTATCATTTCTACGTTTGTGCCTTCGTTCAGTCTCATAATGACGGTCTCAGACAGTAACAGTAGAAACTGCTGTAGTGACAGTCTCAAGTAGTAGCAGTGACAGTCAGCTACAAGTGGTGCCTGAATTCCAAAGGGAGGAGGGTATAATGAGACATGTCCGACCCCCTCTTCCCATCATGGCCTGAACTAGTTTTTCAGGTCTCTTCGGGTCTCTTCAGTTCTCTTCAGGTCCCTTTTTGTCCCTGATAGTCCCTTCAAGTTCCTGTCTAGGCGCCACTAAGGGCTGCATAATCTGCAATTGTCTTGCTCAATTAATTTAAAAACAAAAAGGAGATGGAGGCTGCACAAATGTTTCTCATGATTAGGCATAACTGAAGCCTGTCAGTAACAACATGAACCTGTGATCAATTAAGCAGCTGACCAATGGTTACCTCCTCCTCCTTGCTCTTTACCCAATAAATACGAAAGGACTGTAGAAGCTCAAGGGGGCTGCCTTTGATCACTAGAAGCAGGGAGCTCTCCTCTTCTCCCCATGTTGCCTTTCCTTAAAACAGTTTCTTTTGTCTTTTTTCATTTCTATGTTCGTCCCTTCGTTCAGTCTTGTAATGATGGTCTCCAGTAGTAACTGCAGTAATGACAGTCTCAAGCAATAACAGGAGTTAACTGCTGTAATGATTGTCTCAAACCATAACTGTGGCAGTCAGCCACACACCCTGACTTTAGACTTCTGCCCTTTGGAATGATAAGAGAATAGACTTGTGTTTTAACCCACTCAACTTGTGATAATTAGCTACAGGCACAATAGGAAACTAACACAGAGTCCCAAGGTTTTTACTTGGGGCTAGCCACACGGTACCCCTCTGCCTAACACATACCAAAGTTCCAGACTCCCAGAAGAAAAGTAGGTTAACATAAACCATATATACTTAGGTCTATTACTAGAATTTCTATTCTATTCCATTAATTTGTCTATTTATATACCAGTACTTATTCTAATTATACCAATTACATAATAGTTTAAGAGCAAGTTTTAATAACTGCTTGTGCTAGTCATTCCTCATAACTTTTCCAGAATTTTCCCAGTATTTCTACATTTTCATTTTTTCATAGAAAATTTAACAGCAACTTTCCTAATTCCATAAGAAGTTTTCTTGGTATTTTTTTTTTAAATATCAAATTAATTGACAGCAAACTGATGTCTCAGTCCATTTGAGTTGCTTTAAAGGAGTACTGGAGGCTGGGTAATTTATAAAGAAAAGAGGTTTACTTGACTCATGGTTCTGCAGGCTGTACAGGAAGTGTGGTACCAACATCTGCTTCTGCTGAGGGCCTCAGGCTGCTTCCACTCCTAGAAGGCAAAGGAGTGTGCAGATCACATGGCGGCAAGGGGGGTGGTGACAGGCTCATTTTAATACCAGGTCTCAGGTGAACTCTCTTGGAAATTAAATGTGAGAACTTAGTTCCCCATCCCCCTGGGGAGGGCATTAATCTATTCATGAGGGATTATTAATATATATTATATATAATGATATATTACTATAATAATTACTATATATTGATACATCAATACTCATGAGGGATCATATCGATATAATAGCTTTTTAAAAAGAGTTTTAGTTAAAAACAAAACCACAATATAAAAATATGCACATTAACTAAATGGAGCAAATGTGGAAGTGTGTGAGTATAGCCTGGCAGCTGCAGGCAGCCCAAGTCCAATGGGTATCCCTGGACGAGTTTACTAGAGGGAAAACAGACATGGGTATAAATTCACCAAGAGAGTTCAGTGCAGCTAAGAGGACTGCTCCTACAGCTTAAGGTAAAAAGGTCATAAAATAACTCCATGGGATAAAATGTAGTAGCTGTCCCTAATAACTCTTAAAACTAAAACTCTTTAAAAATATAAGAAATTTCCTATTATTAAGAACATCTAACTTCAACCAACTACCCCAATCATACTACACAATGAAACACTTAAGGTATTTTTCTCTTAAAAAAACAGAAAAACATAAGGATGCCTGCTTTTTCATCACTCTTATTTAACAATGTTCTGAAGCTCTAGCCAAAGCAATAATGCATAAAAACATACATATTAATATTAGATTGAATAAGTTGTTAATTATGTTGGACTGACAAAAATTATAATTTCATACAGTTTTACTTAATACATATATATATATACACACACACACACAGACTTAGGAGAAAGACAAACAAAATGGAAAACCCTATAAAGATGTCAAATTCCAAATTTATCTAACGTTTTAATGTAATTGTAACCAAAAAGCAAATAGCAACTTTAAATTTTCTTTACAAAATGATTTGAGGATTCATAGGGAATAAAAACAAGATAGATAAGAAACTGCTTTTTGAAGAATAATCATTTAGGGAGAGGGGATGACCTGCCAAGCCAGCTAATGAAATGTATAAATAAGCTATATTACCTAAAATAAAGTTAAAACAGAAATGTACAAATGCATAGACATATACATGAGAAAAAAAAATACCCTGGGAAAAAAAAAATCAAGAAATAGATCCCAGTACATAACAGAATTTGAATGAAAGGAAATACTGTATATAATTCAATAAGTGGTGTTAAGGCAACTGACTAATGATTTGAGGACAAACAGATTCTCTACCTGATGCCAACGGACTGAAGAAATAGAGATTTGCATTTAAAGATGGAAGCACGGACATAAAATATTGGTGAATATATAATCTTTAGGGGTGTTAAGGTATCAGAAAGGCAGAAACCATTTAAAAAAAAAAAAGAGAGTTGCCTGACAGGTATAAAAATAATAGAAAATAAAAAATTCAAATGCAAATAGAAACTCAGAAAAATATTAAATCCTTAAAGTCAAAAGACTAAGTCAAAAAGAAAAATTCAAACATCAATGGGAAAACTGACAAAAGACTGATCAAACACAAATACAAATGGTCGCAAATGTATAAAAGTATTCAGTCTTAGTAGTAATTGTTTTAAAATAAATTAAAACAACGTGACAACTTTATTGGTAGACTGGTAAGAAAAGAGTAACAGCCAGTGTGGGGAAGTAAGCACATGCATACAGTATGGTTGAGATGTGAATTGATTGCCTTTGAAGAAAACTATTGGCAGTATCTATTTTTTTAAATGGGGAATAGGGGCAGGAAAAGAGTGAGGAGAGGGAAGAGAGATGAGGAAGGAACAGAGACCAAAACATGGATGACTCATGTTAGTTCTTGACTGGTTACAGTTTTTCACCATTTATTAATCTGCATTTTATAATCTGTTTTATTCTTACAATCAATTTAAACAAGAATTTCTAGGATTCCAATAAAACTGGACCTAATTCCTTGCCTGTTTTTTCCTTCCTACATCTCTCTTCAAAACAATTCTCAGTAACCTATTTTCATGCCCAGCCATAACTCAACAGAAGCCACCCAGAATAATGAGGTGGACCCCTAAATACCTAAGAACTCCCCTATATCTGAAACATAACCACTGCTGCACCCATTCTGAAAGAGACATTACCTCTTGGTAGTGCTGACCACTACTTCATTTCCCATTTGCTAATCAAGAAGCAATACTTCAGATGAGCCCATGTCACCAATCCATAGAAGCATTTCTAAAGGTGGTCCAATTTCGCCCAAAGGTTTGAAAGCACACTACCCTCTCTTGTACACTGCTCTACCTAATAACTTTTGGAATGACAAACATAAACTATCTCAAAGATCTTTATAAATACAGTTAGGTTTCACAGAGCACCTTTGTACCATGAATAATTGCCTAGAAAATCTTCTGCTCCCAGTTTAATCATGCTCTAAAAAGAAAATCCATGTAGGGCCCTTGCCATACCATGAATACAAACCACTAATTAACCTGAATCCATAAAGTTGGCTATGCTATTTCTCAAACTTCACTGCCAAGACAGTTTTTAACTAGCACATCCTTTGATCCAAATGTAATACTAGAACTATACAGAAAAAATCAGCTTTCAAGAACCAAACTGCCATATCACTTTGCAATCATTATAACTGATTTAAAAAATAGTCACAAATTGGCCAGGCACAGTGGCTCATGCCTGTAATCCCAGCACTTTGGGAGGCCAAGTCAGGTGGATCATGAGGTCAAGAGATCGAGACCATCCTGGCCGTGAAACCTCATCTACTAAAAATACAAAAATTAGCTGAGCGTGGTGGCACACACCTGTAGTCCCAGCTACTCAGGAGGCTGAGGCAGGAGAATCGCTTGAACCCGGGAGACAGAGGCTGCAGTAAGCTGAGATCGCACCACTGTACTCCAGCCTGGCAACAGAGTGAGTCTCTGTCTCAAAAAAACAAAAAAACAAAAACAAAAAAAAGTCACAAACTGTTAGAACTAACGAGGGCTTAAATGTCTTTCATTTTATAGGCAGGTAATTAACGAAATACCTTAAGTACGCAGCATTTTTTCTTGTTTCAAATATGGAGTGTTTACTAAAAACTATGTATTTACAACTATTAATGATACACTGATTAAAATCATTAGTTCAAAAATGCATGTTTTATTTACAATGACATCAAAAAGAATAAAATACTTAGGAATAAACCTAACCAAGGAAGTGAAAGATTTGTACACTGAAAACTACAAAACACTGCTGAAAAAATTAGACACAAATAAATGGAAAGACATCCCAAGTTTATGGGTTAAAATACTGTTAAGATATCAATACTACCCAATGTGATCTATAGGTTCAACACAATCACTATCAAAATCCCAAAATCCCAAGGCAAGTAGAAAAGTGCATCCTAAAATTCATACAGAATCTCAAGGGACCCCAAATAGCCAAAATAATCTTGAAAAGGAAGAAGACAGTTAGAGGTCTCACATTTCCTTATTTCAAAACATATTACAAAGCTATAGTATTCAAAATAGTCTGGTACTGGCATAAAGACAGACACACAGAGCAGTTAAACAGAATAAAGTGTCCAGAAATAAACCCTTGCATATATAGCCAATTAATTTTCATACAAGGACACAAAGACTACTCAGTGAAGAAAGGACAGCCTCTTCAACAAATGGAACTGGAGAAACTGGATATCCACATGCAAAAGAATAGAGTTATACCCTTTATCTTACACCATAAATAAAAGTTAACTCAAAATGGGTTAAAGACCGAAACATAAGACCCAAAACTATAAAATGCCTAGGAGAAAGCATAGGGAAAAAGTTCATGACATTGGATTTGGCAATGATATCTTGGATATGACACCAAAAGCAAAAGTAACTATATCAAACAAAAACTTTTGTTCAAAGAATATGATCAACAGAGTGAAAAGGCAACCTGCCAAATGGGAGAACATAGTTGCAAATCATCTGATAAGGGGTAATATCCAGAATATATAAGGAACTCCTATAACTCAACAACAACAACAAAACCTGAATATAACGTGGGCAAAGGACGTGAATAGACATTTCTCCAAAGGAGATATACAAATGCCCAAGAAGGATATGAAAAGACGCTCAATATCATTAATCATTAGAAAAATGCAAATCAATACCACAATGAGATAGCACCTCACACCACTATCAAAACAAAACAAAACAAAAACAACTGTTGGCAAGGGCATGGAGAAATTGGAATCCTTGTGCATTATTCACGGGATTCTGAGATTATGCAACCACTATGGAAATGTGGTGGTTGCTTAAGGAATTAAATATAGAACTATCACATGATCCAGAAATCTCTCTTCTGGGTAGATATGCAAAATAGTTGAAACCAGGGTCTTGAAGAGATATTTGCATACTCAACTTCACAGCATTAGTCACAAGAGCCAAGAGGTAGGAGCAAGCCTAGTGTCCACGGATGGATGAATGGATAAACAAAATGTGGTATATCCATACAATGGAATATAATTCAACCTTAAAAAGGAAGGAACTATAAATGTTGTCTTTTTTATATTTTTATGAAAAAGCAGAAAATTACTTTTGAAGAAAACAGGCTATTTAAATATTGAAATATATGTATGTTGTGAGTTTAAGGAGCCTGTAATTGTCAGTTTTACAAAATCATCCGTGTTCAATGGTTGTAAATAAATTCTCAAAACATCATTTCAAAAAACAAAACAAAAAAAAAAAAAAGGAAGGAACTGTCACATCCTACAACATGGATTAACCTTACAGATATTATGCTAAGTAAAATAAGCAGGTCACAAATCCTGCATTATTCTACTTATATGAAGTATCTAAAGTAGTCAAATTCATAAACACAGAAAGTAGAATGGTGGTTACCAGGAGCCTGGGGGTGGGGATTAAGGGTAGGGAGAGAAATAGGAAGTTGTTTAATGGGTATAGACTTCCAGCTTTACATGAAGAAGTTCTGAAGATCTGCTACACAACAACGTGAATACACTTAACACCACTGAACTGTACATATAAAAATGGTTAAGTATTTTGTTATGTGTTTTTTTCACCAAGTTTCTAGAAAATAAATAAATGAAAATAAATAAAAACGTAGGTTTCATACTCTATCATGACTGACCATCTAAAAGATCCTCTTAAACATCAAACCTCTGCCCTAAAACGGCAGAGTTGTATGCAACAAAATCAATCAGGCAAATGGCAAAGGCTTTCTAGAAACCCTCCATCTGTGGTTTTAAAAGTAATCACATGGGAATTAAAAAACAACAACAACAAAACAGATTTGGAACTACAGATGAGAACTAATGACCACCTAATTCCAAAATGCCCTAATAAGAACAAAGCACCTTTGAACTTCTTCTGGAGCCCTTGGACCTCTAATGGAAGTCTGCGAGAGATTTCTGCCTGCCGAGGCAAATGCCACTACCAGCCCTTGCATTATCTCCAGCTCCTGTTAGTCCAGGGCCAGCTTCTGAGAATATTCCACAAGTCTAGACTAACTCATCACACCAATCTGGAGCTAAGCAGTATCTACAGAAGGCAATATTGCTTAACCTTAGCAATACAACCAGGTATCTAAGTCATCAAGAACAAAGAGACAGTAGCTTCGAATACCAAATATTCATTTCCCTGTATTATCCACTCACTGGTTTCCTTTTAAGAACCTTCATGATCCAGAATGGCCTGTGATTACTTAAACTGTTAACAAGTCAACAGAAAGTGATATGAAAGCTTGTGGCTGATTGAAAAAAAAAAAAAGTACATTTTACTTGAATACTAATACATGGGTTTTGCATGAACTGTCAAGTCTGTTCTTTTTGCAGTTGGTACAATATAACAAAATCTAATTCCTGAAGTGCTCATTTGGGGTTACATAGTTTGGCTCAAGGGACAGATGTCTTAGGGCGGAATCCTGGCTCCACTATTTACCAGCCCTATCACGCTGGGTATATTACTTAACCTCTCTAAGCCTCAGTTTCATGATCTCTAGATTAGGGTTTTATGAGAATCTGAAAATCTTAAAATCAAAAAGTTATAAAAGTGATGGTTTAGATAAGTGTATACAACTCCTTTTAGTTACAAGGAAAAGCAACATGTGGGGAAGAAAAAACTGGTGTTACTCAATGTCCTACTATAGCAGACTTCCTCATGACATCTGCACCAGAACTGAATTTTACCTGTACTTCTGACTCTCAGGTTCTCAGGTATAAAAAGTCCTATGCACTTTTTTCATATGCTTTGTAAATAGTTTTGTACTGTGTTTTGCACCTACGTCACAAATACAGCTTAAAACAAAAATTTGTGCATGAAACTATAGTACACTGGCAAAAAATTTTAAAAGTCCTAATAAAGGCTGTCAAACGTTACTCTGCCATTTAATTGCCAATTGATAGAACATGTGACTATGAAATTTAAATTGTCATAGGTTGAAACACTCTTGAAAATTTATTCGAATTTATATTTACTAGATACATAAACTATAGCTTCTCATTTATAATAAATTAAATGCCTTCCAAAAACCCACTTCACAATGAAATTATATTACAATGAAAGTTTAGGCAAACTTTCAATCAAAACTGAATGCCTGCTATTTATGTACTACAGATGTTGACAAAGGTTCTGCCCTACAGAAATTCCAGCCTAGGTGAAGAATGACACCCCTGAAATCATTTAAGTAGCTAACAAGGCAGTACACAATTAGGTGTCAAAATGAATGATGAATGATTAACAAAGACCACAAATTCAGAGGGAGCATGCAGGACTGAACAGAAATGGCGAAAGGCGGTAGGAGAGAGGCTGCTGCAGTGCCCCATGGTGAAGGCAGTGGGAGAGTGATCAAAAGAGGATGTAACAGGCACTGATGCCACTTGGTGAAGGGTCAAAACTGAATCCAGTGGGGCAGGCAGAATAATCATAGCATTAATAAAAAACTGAAAACTGGAGGTGGCGCAAGATAATTCTGCCCTGGACACATGCAGTGTGCACCAGCAGCTAGACACACACAGGGAGGAAGACAACCAACAGGCAATTGGAGAGCAGCAACTGTCAGCTAGGGCACAACCAGAACCGAGAAGTACAGAGTCACCGAAACAATGCCAGATGCTGCTTACAAGAGACCGTAGGGGAAAATTCAGCTGTAGGAAAAGGGCCTCTTGGTCTGGCAAGGCCAATCAGAGCGCTTGAGTCACATATAGGCAAGAGAGAGAACACCTAAAATATCAAGCACCTAGCAAAGATTTTATTTTCCTCCAAGAGTAATTTGGCTTATTGCTACTCTGGATAGTAACAATTAGATGAGTTTACATCTACTCCCAAAGCAATCTTGTTGGCAGATGTCTATGAGGGTCCACTGTAAGAATTAGAAGGAGGAGGAAAATGGTCATTAGCAAGAGGAAAAAAGGACACACTTTTTCCAACTACAAAACTCCAATGCTCCATCAGGCAACAGCCTTTAGTAAAAGCAGGCTACAAACGTTCATTAGTGAAGCACTTATTAAATAACATTCTATTTACAAGGCCCTAAATTAAAAGGTACCCACTCTACCCCATACAAAGGGTTAACACATCTCACTCTTAAGAAAATCACTTTCAAAAACATTTTAACATTATCGAGTAATAAGTAGGTTAAAAATAGTTTGGTTAAGAAAAAGTAAATAACACTCCTAGTCAATTTGGCTACCCTTAGAAAACTATTAGATTCTTATCTGTTTTCTTGTGGTCTTTAGTCCTATGCACTTTTCTCATATGCTTTGTAAATACTTTTGTACTGTGTTTTGCACCTATGTCACAAATACAGCTTAAAACAAAAATTTGTGCATGAAACTATAGTACACTGGCAAAAAATTTTTAAAGTCCTAATAAAGGCTGTCAAACGTTACCCTGCCATTTAATTGCCAATTAATAAAACATGTGACAATGAAATTTAAATTGTCATAAATTGAAACATTCTTGAAAACTTATTCGAATTTATATTTACTAGATACATAAACTATAGCTTCTCATTTATAATAAATGCCTTCCAAAAACCCACTTCACAATGAAATTATATTACATGATATATAATGCTTTTTTAAAAAAGGTCTTATTTGCCAGTCATAATGGGCTGCTTTATAATTCAAAAGACTACTAAAAGTATACATTTAATATATACACATACACATGTATTTTCACTATATATTTTAAAAATATATTTTCACAACTCACACACATTTTTGCTATTCTCAGTATCTAGATGTTAGCCTCAAGACAAAATCTTGCCACCAATCTAGAACTAGTTATTTGTAGTGATTATAACAACTTCTATCTCTGGAAACTCTTTCAAAGTCCTTACAAACTTTACATCACAGCCAAAACCATCTCAAAGGTACCTTTCCTCTGGACTAGTGATAGCACACTCCCATAGCTCAGTTAAGTCATATAGGATGTTAAGACAAGGAATGGTCCATGCTTCTGACTCAAGAAAATCAACATCAAGTCCAAACATGAAAAACTACATTAGGTAATTTATTTCTGCAGCTTTTCTTCAGGAGACAATGAGTTTTATTGTCTTTTAAAGATTTTGCAGTGAAATTATACAGTAATGAAGGAAAAGAAATACAAACATACAAAATACCTGCAGAATCATCATTAAAACTGCAGGTAAATCTTAACTTTGAAATTTTAAACTAGTTTATGCTACTTCAATAGACACAAAATTCCTCCGGGTGTGAATGATCAAACTGAACTCAGCCATCTTCAGAAATCTGCCCAAACTTGCTGAAAAACTCAACAGTACCTTTTAGGACAAATACTGTATTTGTGCCTCATCAGATGCCAGACTCACAGTGTCACAATCACGTAAGAAAATAAATTGCTTTTCCCCTACTTACTCAGAAACAATACTGGAATATGATCAGTTTTAAAGGAGAAGCCATTTCTGGAGATACCTTCACAGAATATTTGATTAGAACCAGATCTGTTTATGATGGGTAGAGGCCTATGTTCTATATCAGCATCATCTCCATTAATATCTTGGATAACCGCACACACAAATTGTTCATACAGAAAAGCATGGGCCACAAAGGATATCTGATTCACCCAGGCCACTGGCTGATTCAACCACCCCTTTAATACATACTTAACACCCTGGCAAGTATTCTCCTCATCCAATCCTTACACACATTTATGGGTATTAGAGAGGTGCACTAACATGTATAAACTATGCAAATGAGAAATTAGCAAATATATTTTAGGCTGACAGTTCTCAAACAAAAGGTTTGTTTACTTAACTTTACCCAGAGTAAAGTTTTTATTAGCATATAAAATGGCTGTTGGAAAAATCAGCAGCAGTAGAAGGAAAATACAAACTTAATGCTTTACTAGATTCAACCATTATTTCAATTCCCTGTGCTAAGGGCGCATGAAGACAGTCATTCACTCAAAGGCTAAGCGCCAGTGTGTCTGGCACTGTGCAAGGTAAGCAAAGGAACAGAAAAACAAGGACACAATACCCACCAAGGTCTACTTGAAGTCCCACCCAAAAAATGTCCATTAAATTACTGCACTATTTTGGGTTCACTGAACACCCACTACAGGCCAAAATGCTAGGTGCCACGATCACACATAAGAAAGAACACTCAACTAACTGCAGATCTGTGGCCAATGATGTATTATGACAACCCCAGGACCGACTAGTCCTAAAGCGGCAATATTTTATTCTGGAAATAATTTTGCTTCCATCAATTAATCCTTTCTATAGACGACAATTCTTTGAATAATTTCCACCAATGTTAACTCAGACTAAGGTTGCTTAGAGAGTTAGATAAGGGAATGTAATGTGGACAAAAATAAAAGAAACAGTATACTGAAGCACATTTGCACTTTAATACTAATTTGGTTTGTATTTGCTTTCACCTTCAGCAACAATAAAAAGCAAGTGACTTTAGTCATAAAGTAGAATGTTAACTCTAAAATTACCGTGGCAAGAAATTGTTTTCTTGTACAGGCAGTTTCATGTGCAATGCTAAACTAACAAGTTTTGCGTGGTTTGTTTTTTTTTTAAACTATTCACTTAGTCAATTCTTCATGAAGGCTCTGTGACCATTCACATGTCCCTTGGCTCAAAAAGAGGTAGTGTAGATGAAATTACACTGATTTGGTCTTCAAGATTACAAAATAATTTTTGACCCTGTCCAAGTACCCGTTTTGCAGCAGTACAATACTAATGAGATTTTTAAAATAGGGGCCAGCCCTTAACTGTAAATTATAGATAAATGCTTGCAAGCTGGCAACTTCACGTTTATTTTTAAAGGCTTTCACATCAAAGATAAAGGCACCGAATCACGTATTTTAAAATAAGAAATGTAAACAGGCTTTCAACAGCTTACTAAAGAGTTAAATGGAATTGTATTTAGGTCTAATAATAAAGTTATCAATAACGCAGAGACACTAAAGGAGGAAGCTACAGGACCAAGATTTCCCCTCGAAGAAATGTCTGAACAAATTCAAAGTGAAATTTTTTAAGCTGTGTCTCGCTATTTTTACCACATTTTAAAGTAAGCTCTGTCTGCATGCAACCAACCGCAACCAAGAAAACAGAAGTGTCCTAAAATGTACCTATTCGCCGCAATAAAGCCAAAAAATATGCCCCTCCTACCTAGCGGGCCAAGTGGCAAGAACGTACGAGAAGTCAGGAAGTTTTGAAATGGCAGTGACAGGAGACGGGGGAAGGCACGGGAAGGAATCACGGAGAGCGAAGGCCACTCCGTGCGGCGGGCGCCGCGAGGTCCCGGCTCGGGACGGTACCCGACCGCCCAACTTTGCGCCGGAGCCCCGGCCGCGGCCCTTCCTCCCGGCCCAGCCCTCCCGGCCTCCGCGAGAGCGGGGTGACAGCCCCGCCGCAGGGACGCCGCCGGGGGACACCCACCTTCCTTCTCGGCCCGCGCCGCAGCCACTACGAGGGTCATCACCAGGTGCAGCGCGCCTAGGAGGCCGGCGGCCGCGCTCCGCGGGCCCCCGCTACGGGCGGCCGCAGGTTCCAGCCCGGCCCCGGCGGACGTGGAGACGGCGGCGGTGGTGGCTCCGGTTGCTCCTCCTCCCGCCCGCTTCCCCATCCCTGCCGGCCGGGGGCCGCCGCGCTCGAGGTCCGGCGCGGCCCTTCTCGGCGAGGCGGCGGCGGCGCGGAAGCCGTGGTCCGGGCTCTGGCCGCGGCGCCGGGAGCGACAACGGTTGCGAGCCCGGGGCTCGATCTCCGAGCGTGGGCCTGGGTCCGTGCGTGCGTGTGAGCGAGAGTGTCAGTCACGGTCTTTGCCTGGGCATCGCCTACAAGCAGTCGGAGCGGAGAGGCCGCGGGTCAGGCGCGGCGGGCGGCCATACTGGAAACGGGCACGGCCCGCGAGCCCTGAGCGCTGGCCTGCGAGGGGCGGGGCGCGGCTCTGGGCACCGCCCACGCTGTGCCGACACCTGGGCTGTCCGGCGGTCAGTCTGTCCGCCCCGGAGCCCCCTGGGCCCCACCTCCTCGTCCCGCTCTCGGAGGCCTGCGGCTTCACGGCCAGACAGAACCAGGACAGAACAACCCCAGCCCGTTACCGCTACCTGGCGCAGGAGAAGGAGGGAGGCAGGCCCAGGTCCAGCTGCCAGGACTTATGATGGCGGCTTCTGCTTCGCGGAGGCGGTGTCGGCAATCACGTGGAGACGGGGCGGCCTCGCCGCGCAGCCGCCGCGTTGCGTGGGCGGGGCAGGGGCGGAGTTGCGGGGCGCTAACCTCTTCTCCGGCGCCTGGGCAATCCTCCGTGCTCTGTCCTACAGTGGTAGAGCCTTCCAGGGGTGTGAGTGCGCATACAGACCGCGAGACGAGCGCGGAAGGTCCGTTCCAGTGACTCTTCCTGGTGGCACCCCCACCTCTCGACCGCTTTGACGTCGAGAATACCCCGGGCCTGACTCAGTTCTTGATGGTGCTTCCTTGAGGATGGTGGCCCGCTGAACTCATCCTTGGGTCTTCCAAATCATGGTACCCAGGAGGAGCTTGATGGAGTCCTCTTGCCTTGGCTTGTGCCCACATTGGCGCGGAACACCTCGTGTGCAGAAAGCGTCGGTGACTCTGGATGGAGAAGGCAGGGGCAAACAGACTGCTCTTTAGAATATCCAGTAGCCGGCTTCCTCTCTCGAGGAAGAATTCTTTTTTTTCTTTTCTTTATTTTTTAATTATTTATTTATTTTTGAGACAGGGTCTGGTTCTGCCGCCCAGGCTGGAGTGCAGTGGTGCGGTCTGGGACTACAGGCACCCGCCACCACGCCACGCCAATTTTTCTTTTTCTTTTAAGAAACGCTGTCTCACTATGTTGGCCGAGCAGGTCTCGAACTCCTGGGCTCAAGCAGTCCGCCTTCCTCGGCCTTCCAGAGTGCTGGGATCACAGGCGTGAGCCACTGTGCTGGGCCCGGAAAAATTCTTAAGACGTCTGTTACCTTCACGAGCCATCTCGCGCCTCTTAGATGCCCTTTTCATCTTAGGTTGAGCTTCTTGGTGCGCATGGCTGTTGTCTCCAAGACTTAATTTAAGCTCTTGGAGGGGGTCCTTCTTTACTCATCTTAGTAACTTCCTCCCAGCTTGTAGCCCAGAGACATTTTACTTTCCTTAGCTGTATTTGTTGAGTGAGTCGATATATGTGTAAGGCCAAGTCTGCCCACAGTACGTCTCAGAACAAGCTAGATAGGAAAATAAGGTTTCAGAAAGACAAAAGGAACTCCAGAATCTACTCTATGAAGTAGTCCCCTGTGTCAAGCAAGCACTTAAATTTATTCATAAATTAATATATATTTAAATATGACCTTAGCCTAATGATTTTAAAAAGCAATTTTAGGGCAGGGCGCAGTGGCTCACGCCTGTAATCCCAGCACTTTGGTAGGCCAAGGTGGGCGGATCACCTGAGGTCAGGAGTTCGAGACCAGCCTGGCCAACATGGTGAAAACCCGTCTCTACTAAAAAATATAAAAATTAGCCGGGCGTGGTAGTGCATGCCTGTAATCCCAGCTACTCCGGAGGCAGGAAAAACGCTTGAACCCGGCAGGTGGAGGTTGCAGTGAGCCAAGATAGCGCCACTGCACTATACCCTCGACAAGAGCAAAACTCCGTCTCAAAAAATTAATCATAAGCAATTTTACTTTTTTGAATATTAGCCTTAAAATTGAGTAGTCAAATTTTATTTTGATGTAATGAAATAGGAATAATTATCTCTTAAGTTGGCGTTTAAAATGTCTGAGGCAAGAGATTTCTGGAAGGCTTTTGACTCACGGAAGAGATCAAACCCAAGGATATGTAACTGAGCGCTTTTGCTTAGCCTCCAACGTGCTAGCTCTGCAAGTCAGCAGCCCTTCCCCCATGGCCAGATTCAGGACAAACAAGCCTTTCCAACCATGAAGTGCTGAGGTTCTCTTACACAGCAATCAGCCACATCCCCTGGTTAGCCTGAGGCTCAGCAGCTCCATGGGAAATAACTTGCACCTGTCTGTAATTGGATCTTTAGACGTATACAGACATGTTTGATCAGAGTTCGATTTCCCATGCAGCTAATGAAGCTTAAGCCGCAGGGCCCCCTCTCTTGCACAAGTTCCTTCCAAGTCCCTGAACCTAATTGTGTATTTATAAGCCTGTATTCTTGTTCTTAAAGGAGCCCTCCCAATAGTTGGGTAGGCTTTTAAGGCCCACCATACCTGAACCCTCCCCTGTGCCTGAGGGACACTAGGAGCAGGAGGGGTGATGATGGAACTTTCCTCCCAGGAAAGGACAATGAGGCCACTGAGAGTCTAACAGTGAAAGACGTTTTGCTAGACAGCATGGTAAACTGTGTGTTAGAGAGAACCTGGCGTGGAGCCACCATCACCCTATGATCCTCTACCCCCACTCCCCAACCCTCATGTGTCTCAGGAGAGAACCAGGAGTTAAAATTGAAGGAACCATCACACTAAGGACTCTCAAATAGTTCTGATTAGTTGTGAACTTTTCTCTTTTTCCCTTTTGGAAATTGGAGAGACCTGGCCATTTGGCAGGTGGAGGTATTAGCTGGCAGAGTCAGGGAAAACTCGCTAAACCAGTGGTTCTCAAGGTGTCATCCCCAGACCAGCTGTAGCAGCAACACCTGGGAACCTGTTAGAAGTGCAAATTAGCAGGCCAAATCCCAGACCTGTGGAATCAGGAATTCTGGGTTGAGGTCCAACAATCTGTTTAAACAAGGCATCCAAGTGATTCTGATACAGGCTCAAGATTGAAGACTGTTGCACAGTGATATATGCCAGGAGCTACAAGCTGTTGGGACTCCTCACTTTCTGTTCATTTTGCTCTCTATGCAGGTTAGTAATTTACCATTCAAGGCAGAATTATAAGAGACTCAGACAAATTTGAACTTAAATCCCATCCCTGCCTTTACTAGCTATATGATGCTGAGCAAATGACTTTTCTGGCCTCAGATTCCTAATCTGTAAAAATGGGGATTATGATATAAATTTGGGGAGATTAAGCATATAGGTTTGTGAAGCATATAGACTAGTGTCTGGGACATAGGAGACTGTCAAAAGTAGCTATTAGTGAGCACTCACTCTTTTCAAAACACCACATTAGGCACGAAGATCCTTGATCCATTGATACCTCCACTTCATTCCACAAAATACTTAAGGAGGTGTGCAAGAATGCCTTCTATGAATTAAAACTGGAACTAGGAGGGAGTAAACTGTTGGGCTTTCCAGGGTTCTATCTCCTTTGCTGCATAGGTGAATGCACCTGGTATCCTGCCGTTCAACACCATCTATACACTTTCAGGTCCCCACTTCATGTCACCAGCCAGACCTCGCTGTCTCTATTGCTGTTCCCACTCAGGTGTATAATGAGGTGTCTTAAACTCACATGAACTCCACATCTTCCCATGCAAACATGCTTCACCCACAGCCTTTCCTATCTCCAGGGCAACTCCAACCATCCAGTTGCACAGGCCAAAAACCTGGGAGTCATTCTTTACTCTCTCCACATGTACCCAAATCTAACTGCTTCTCACCACCTGCACTACTCCACTCTGGTATGAGCCCTGTCATCCGCTGCCTGGATTTCTGCAAGAGCTTCCTAACAGGTTTCCCTGTTTCCACCTGTAAAAGAAAATTTTCCACTTACAACACTTGCATAGTAGATATCAAAACGGAATGCTATGCTCTACCACAACTGGTTCTAACCAACTGAAGCAGATCAAGGACTGTGAACTTTGAGTGACCCCATACCAGACCCTTGTTAGACCTAACCAAAGACTCCTTTCTGACCAGTTAACAAAGGGACATGTTTTATCAACACTATTCCAACCTATCCAGAGCACTACTTTCCAGCCCTTAATCCGCATAACCTCCAAACTCCCTTCTCTCTTTCTCACACTTAAAAAACCCTGACTTTTCCTAATTCATGAGTTACTCAGTGAACTTTTTCACTGGTGTGTTTACATCCACCCCTGGCAGTATATAAACTCATCTTTGATTTTTTTTTTTTTTTTGAGTTTTGTTGGGCTTTGCTTTATATTTTGACATAAATTTGTACTTTTATAGTCTATTGTCAACCTGACAGCCAGCATGATCCATTTAAAACATAAGACATGTCACGTCTCTCAATGTTCACATCCTGCAGTGGCCTGCTTAATGTTTTTAAAAGCAGTTGGGGAAAGTGAAATTTTAATTTTTAGAGACTGTATATTAAAAAAAGCAATAACAGGGAATATTTGAATACCCATCTCAGGGTAAAAGCTTCCTTGATCTGGCTTGCCCCGGTCTTTCCATTCCTCCTGGATTCCTCCAGGCTCGGTCTGTTTCAGCTGAAATGACCACCATTTTGTTCCTGGAACATATCAGGAATGCTTCTACTCCAGGGTCTATCCTCTAGCCCTCCACCTGAAGTGCTTTCTCCCCACCCCCTTCTCCCTGGTTCTCTGCTGGGCTCACTGTCATACTTCCTCTCAGTCTTGGCTCAGTTATGATTTTCTTGGCGAAGCATACCCTGATCACCACTGTTAATACTGCAGCTTATTACACCTACCCTCAAGACCCAATCCTCCTTACCTTGCACTCATTTTCCCCCCATAACACTTATCACTTTCTATAATACTATATACTTTACTTACTCATTAAATGTATTGTTATTACCAATCTTTCCCCCCATTCGTTTTGCTCACTGATGAATTCCGAGCTTCTACAATATTGGCACATATTGGGCACTCAATAACACTTATTACATGAATGGATAGATGAATGGATGAATGAACAGAACTAAAAGATAAAGATCACGAAGACATAGTCCTTCTCCTCCAGGGAGCTTCAAATCTGGTAAATAAGAGACATATACAAAATATGGTAGAATAGGAAGAAATGAATCAAAGGAGGAAAGAGGAGGAGTATTAAATGAAGGCAACTCTGGGTTCTACTCATTTCTTTATTTACCCAGCCTTTTCAAGTTCTTTAACTGATTTTTCTTTATTTTCAGTTCTCTGTCTCTTTCATCTAGTCTGAAGCCCACAGCAGTCAAGCGAGTAAGAAGGAATATGGCATCTTGTCTGTCTTATTCAGGATGAAGAGTAACCTGCTTATTTTGTCTCCTGTGTCCCTTATTCCTTGGGAGGTTTCCCTGGGTGTTATTCTTAAAAAAAGTCAGCTCACGAAGCCTAAGGTTTAAGTCTGTTCAACTTAGTAGTAAATTATGGTAACCTAGGGTAGGGCAAATAGACCTCAGTCAAGTTCATGCAGCAGGATGAGGGTAGTAGCTTCTGAGCATGTGGGCCGAGCTCTGTATCAGTGTGGATCCCATATTTGAAGATCCTTATTCATATATTCCTCAGGAAAACTAGATTCCTTTGCAATTTCTAAATCTACATGAACTAAGATCTCATCAATGACCACTACCACAACACATACATACCTTTACTAATAAACATACTGGATTTAGATGTGAGAATTAATGATGGGTTTGTTCAATATTTTCCTTCCAAGCTGACTGACACAGTTTATAAGCTTATATTTATTTTTCTGGCATTCTTTAGAAATGTTTTTTGGGACAAACAGCCAAGTTTAACATGAATCAAAATCTTGGCCTGCCCTTTCAACTCCTCCACAATAGGCTCCAGCGCCACTCTGATTTTTTCTCTCCTGCAACATTTAATTATTAATCTTGTGACTTTTGAAAAATGTCATGTGGTTTGGTAGTCTTTCAATTAAAAGGAGGGAAATAATACCCTAGTATTTTTCTTGTTCCTTCCACCTCCCCTTACCATTGTCCTCTCTAGTACTGATGAGTACTTTAAAGTTGATTTTTAGGCTGCCCTGAGTTTCTGAATGTTCCTAAACACCATTATTAAAGAAGCCTGCCTCACCCGTCATTCAACTGTACTTAATATTGCATTGCTTGGTGGAAACTAACAGCCATGGAAAGCCATTCAGGGGAAAAAAAGGCCATTGAACAATGTATTGAGGGATGTTTGTGTTTCTCCCTCTCCCTATTATTTAATTGCTTGTAACTGTAAAATTCCCAGCAATAGTAAGTAAAGGCAAAGATCAACATATTCAAGATGCAGATAAATACCAGAAACAATGAAAAAATTAAAACAGTAAAATAATGACAATTGCAGAGACAAATATAAGGTAGGAGAGACACAATTCTCTCTGCCAAGTCTGGTGTGAGTTCCCTAAATGAAGAATCGAGAATTGGCCATTTTGCATGGCCTCTGCAGGGTGGTCTGAGGGCAGGCATCACAGCTAGCGCACACACGTACCTGTGCAGTGTTTTCCAGAAGGTAAATTCTACTTCCTTTAAATGTTATTACTTTAATTTCTGGTACTTTAACAAGTTAAATTTAGTATTTTAAATCTGATAGGCTGGGTGCAGTGGCTCACGCCTATAATCCCAACACTTTGGGAGGCCGAGGCGGGTGGATCACCTGAGGTCAGGAGTTCAAGACCAGCCTGACCAACATAGTGAAATCTCGTCTCTACTAAAAAAAAATTACAAAATTAGCCGGGCGTGGTGGTGCATGCCTGTAATCCCAGCTACTTGAGAGGCTGAGGCAGGAGAATCGCTTGAACCCAGGAGACAAAGGTTGCAGTGAGCTGAGATTGTGCCACTGCACTCCAGCCTGGGTGACAAGAGCAAAACTCCATCTCAAAAAAATAAAAATAAAACAAACAAATAAATAAAATAAATCTGATATTTTAAAACCACACACCATGGCTGGTCAGAAGTCTTTATGACCATGAATTAACAAGTGTTTGAATTATTCTTAAAAATGTTAGCAAAGAAATAGTCTGTGCAAAATCTCAAGGGGAATAATTTTGTTTCACCTTTAGTCTACATTACGGTGAGCATCTGTATTCAGTCCTAAAGTTTTTAAAACTAATTTTTTAAATTAACAAACAATAATTGTATATATTTATTGTATACATGATGTTTTGAAATATGTATATGTTGTGGAATGGCTAAATTGAGCTAATTAACATATGCATTACCTCTAATACATTCTTATTTGTGGTGAGAACACTGAAAATCTACTCTCTTTGCAATTTTCAATAATACAATACATTAACAATGGTTACCATGCACTGTCATAAAAGTTTGATGCTTCGAAGCCCTTTCATAGTTTATGCAGGCAAGGAAATATTAATAGCAGAGTCTTTGATCTCCATAAAATATGTGTTCTATCACACTGGAAAATATGATTGCCAGTAAGAGAACTGCTCTTTTTGGTGGAGTAAATATGATTTTCATTTTGACAATGTAATTTTGCTTCTTGTGAATCATCTTACACCAAAATAGCCATAGGATTTTAGAACAAGAAATGGATCTTAAATATTTATTTGAGTCTGGCTTTGGAAGTATCTCCTCCACTTCCAGCTATGGTTTGACAAATTACTCAGCCTGTCTAAACTTCAGTTTCCACAGTTTCACGTTTTTAAAAAAGGGTAAAAATAACTACTGAAGATTAGTTGTAAGAATTGAATAAACTAAAGTACCATGGAATTACCTAGCAAATGGCAGATATTCAACAATGTCACTGTTATAATAATAATCATTATTATAAAAAAGAAAACTGAGGCCCAGAAATGAAGAAACCTATCCAAGACCATGGCAGGGCAGAGACATGACTTCCAGGCCAGGGTCTCGTCTTTTGTTTCGTCTTCGGGTCCATTTAATTAAAGTTGTATATATCTTTGGTGTTTTATATGGCAGGCCACTCTTATAATTATTGTTTTAATCTCATAATAATGTCGAAGACTACAGAATTAAAATTCTACTCCTCTAGTAAAATGATAGCATGGATCAATATAGTAATATCATAAGAGGTGAATGAAATGATTCCTCAAGAGGACTGACATTAAAAGGTTATTAGCCTTAGCTTGAACTTCCCTGAAATCACAAGCTTAAGCCTAGCCACTTTCTATAAGTCAGGGTAGGCCAAGTTATGCTGTGATGATAAAGAACCCCCAAATCTCAATAGCTTAAAACAGCAATTTGTTTTTTTCTCTCCCACAACATGTTGATCCAGGATCCTGGCTAGTGGAGTAATTTGGGTCACTTGTAGCAGAAAGAAAAGAGGGTTATGGAGGGTCTCCTAATGTCGATTTAAATTTTCTGGTAAGAACTGACGTTTCATCACTTCCACTCACACTCATTGGCCAGAACAAGTCATATGACCACACAAACTTCAAGGTACCAGGGAAGTTCAATCCTCCCATTGGCTGGAGATAAATAAGTGGGCCCATCAGTGAACAGCCCTAGTGACTACCATAGGCTTTGACATATTTTCTTTTCTTCTTAGACAAATAAAAAACAGCAGCCTGAGAAAGGATGATGGAAACTATTTTCATTTTCTCATGAATTATCAAGTTCTAAAGAGCAGATTTAATTTTTTGTCATTTATACATTTTTGTTTGTTGGCTTTATACATTTTTGTTGTAGTCACCAGTGAAATATGAATGTTTTTAAAAGCAGTTGGGGAAATTGAAATTTTAATTTTTAGTCTATGTATTAAGAAAAGCAGTAACAGGGAATATTTGAATACTGATTTTTTTCCTTCCTTCCTTCCTTCCTCCCTCCCTCTGATCTTCCCTCCCTCCCTCCTTTCCCTCCCTCCCTCCTCCTCCTCCTCTCCCTTCCTTTTTTCCTTCCTACCTCCCCTTCCTTCCTTCCTTTCTTCCTTCCTTCCCTCCCTTCCTTTCCTTCCTTCCCTTCCTTCCCTCCCTTCCTTTCCTTCCTTTCCTTCCTTCCTTTCGTAGAGTCTTGCTCTGTCACTCAGGCTGGAGTGCAGTGGCATGATCTTGGTTCACTGTAGCCTTGAGCTCCTGGACTCAAGCAATCCTTCCACTTCCGCATCTTGAGTAGCTGGGACTACAGACATGCACCACCAAGCCCAGCTAAATTTGTGTGTTGGGTGGGGGATGGGTCGTAGGGGTATTGGGAGGGGTGCGTCTCGCTTTCTTGCCCAGATGGGTCTCAAACTCCTGACCTCAAGTGATTCTCCTGTCTCAGTCTCCCAAAGTGCTGGGAATACAGGCGTGAGCCACAAAGCACAGCCTCTACTATACTTCTGATGAGAATTTATTAATCATCTTAGACGTAATAATGGCTATTTTGGATTTTGTAGAGGTTTTTAAAGATTTTTTAAATTCGTTTTATCTTTCAGAAATATATACTGAAGTATGAATCAAATGATATAATGATATTTATTTCTAAATAATCTGCAGGGTGGGTGGGGACAGTGGGCGGGGCTATAGAAGAAAGAGGATCAGCCATGAGTTGGTGATTATTGAAGCTGGGTAATCAACGCGTGGAAGTTCATTATGTTAGTCTGTCTAGTCCCTCTACTTTAGGTACGCTTGGAACTTTCCATAATAAAAAGTTCAAAAAGACAAAAGAAGCAATGATAGGCCTACAGCTACTTCAGATCTAGATGAAGCTCCACTAGAGATGGCTAGCAAGGATCTTAGCCCGTTGCTGGTGCAGGTGGGGCCTGCCTGAGGGTGCATCAGGCCCTAGGAAATATTTCCTCCACAGAATTTTCACTGTTGCCAAACGTCTGAATCAACCAATCTTAGCCTGCAGTGGCAGCCAATGGTGCCCATGCTTTGCAGCATCTACTGGGACCTCAGGACCACCTGCTCTTGTCCTCTAAAGAGGCAGTACCCAGGAGCCTCCTGAGGCCATGATTGCTTGCACAGGTTAGCACAGAAGGCTTGAGTCCAGCTCTGAGCTAATTTCCTCTTCTCTGGTTAGTCTGAGACCCTGGTAGGACACTAAAGTTCGTTTGTTCACTAACATGATACGCACAGACTTTTGATGTCTCTGAGGCAGGCAGAAGCATGTGAGGCATTAGCCTGAGCCAAACACAGGCCTAGGATATGACCTGAGAGCTGCTGCAGATGCACCTCCCTGCCTCCTGAGGCCCCTGCTTTCATCACAGCTCCTTTCCCTTGAGCAGCCTGCTCTCAGCTCTAGCTGCTGCCAATCCCTTCCCATCAGAGATGCAGGCTGTAAGCATCACCAGGGTGAAGTCTGGTGCATCACCCGTTTGTTCTCCCTCTGAGAGCGCAGCTCCCCTGCCCACAGCGGTGGACCTCTGGCACACAGGCTTGTTCTTCATGGTCTTGCCTTCCCTGCCATAGTTAATTGGCCATGGACTCCTTTCCCACATTGGCCCAACCAGATTCTCTTGAACGTTTTCTCCAAGAAATATGGATGTTGAAGATGAGTCTGAATTATGTAAAATGTGAAGCTTACATGACTGTCTATGAACTTTTGCTACAGAGGTACCCTTAGCCCCACCCTGCCAAGAACTGGTTGCTCAGCATTTCCATGGATGCCATTGAAACTGGACTTTATGTATACAAAGTTACATACATATATAGTTTCGTAGTTACATATATGTATAAATAGATATATAGTTACATATGTATGAAACTATATATGTAGTTCCAATGACATATATATACACGTATATATATACGTATACATGTACACGTATACATATATATGTATATATACGTATACAAGTATACGTATATGTGTACGTATGTATACGTATATGTGTACGTATATATACATATATACATATATATATCTCATATATATATATTTCATATATGAGATTGAGGTTGCTTTCTTTGCCAAGTGACTAGAAGGGTGTGGTGGGAAACCTCTAAGACAGCGCCGATTATCTCTACATTCTTCTGTAAACACCCCCACCCCTTGTGTGGGCCAAAGCTAATAACGTTTCTGTTGAATTAAACATGGCTAAAGTGGTGTGTTTTTACTTCAAGTTTAGTTTTAAAAAAAATCTCTGTGTCAGCCTGATGTGGTGGCTCATGCCTGTAATCCCAGCACTTTGGGAAGCCGAGGCAGGTGGATCACCTGAGGTCAGGAGTTGGAGACAAGCCTGGCCAACATGGCGAAACCTCATCTCTACTAAAAATACAAAAATTAGCCTGGCGTGGTGGCGGGTGCTTGTAATCCCAGCTACTTGGGAGGCTGAGGCAGGAGAATTGCTCGAACCCAGGAGGCGAAGGTTGAAGTAAGCCGAGATTTCACCACTGAACTCCAGCTTGGGCGACAAGAGCAAAACTCCATCACTGAGCCCCTGTTACATGCCAGGAGATGCAATAGCACAGGAGATACAGTGCTGAGCAAAACAGCACAGTCGCTGGCCCTGCAGACTCCACCACTATTCAGCAGGACACTTCCTTGGAAGGTGAGAAAAACGAACTCAGACCAGATTGGCCAGAAAGGTAGACATTATCATGAGGAAAAGGAAGTGTGCCGTGGAGACCTGAGAAGGGGGCTGTGGCTGGGTCCCAGAAAAGGATAACACTTGGAAGAGGAAAGTCTCTGAGGACACTTTTTATCTATGTGCCTCTCATCAGCTTCAGTCCTGTCCCTGAAGATGGGTGTTCCTGTTACTCCATCCCCATGGCATAAAACATGTCAGCTGCAGTCTGCACAGAACGGACAGAACCAGAATTTCAGACTCATTTTCAGTTGCAGGAAGTAGAGGCCGGGCCCACCAACTGTGTTTGGGAGGGGGTGGGGCCAAGGGTGCAGTATTCCAGTGCACCCACAGTCCTGGGTGCTCTTCTATTCCTGTAGGTAACAAGGGCAGTGAGAGGATCACTGTGAGCTTGGCTGATTCCCCCACATGTTATACCCACCAGGCCTAAGTCTCACGCGTAGGAATCTGAAAGTCTTTGCACTGACTGCTGGAGGCTATAAAATCACCAACAGTAACCCATTTTGGGGTTCATCAGAAATTAATGGGAATGCTTATTCCCCCTACCCCTTTTATGTTTTGTGTTTTTGGACAGGGTTTGCTCTGTTGCACAGGTTGGACTGCAGTGGCGCCATCATGGCTCACTGCAGCCTCGACCTCCCAGGCTCACTGCTTCTCCCAACTCAGCCTCCCAAGTAGCTGGTACTACAGGTACACACCACCACACCCAGCTAATTTTTATTTATTTTAACAGAGCCGGCGAGGGAGGGGGGGGTCTCACTATGTTGCCCAGGCTGGTCTTGAACTCCTGAACTCAAGTGATCCTCCCACCTTGGCCTCCCAAAGTGCTGGGATTACAGGTACTTAGTAGGAAAGTCTGGAATCAAATACAAATACTAAAAAGCAGGAGAGGGAAATGAACTACATGTCAAATCTTTGCTCAAGTCATCCTCTCTTGAGCTCTGCTCTGGCACCATACCCATCAAAGCTCTTGTCATTATCACCTAGCACCCAGGTCTTGGGATGCAGACCATGCAGCTGCCTGAGGCCCAAGAGCAGAAAATGTTTCTCTTTGATAAATTCTCAAATTTACAATGAAAATATTATTTAATTTTTTTCTCAAGCAATCTCTTCCTATTATAGGAAGGGAGAAGGGGCAGGCAGAGTAAGTGAAGGAGAGCCAGGTTTTCCAGAGCTGCTGGTGCAGCCCCCCAGGCCTGTGCCCTGTGACTGTCCCTAAGCTGCCTTGCTTGGGGCCAAGAGGATCTTGGCTCCCCAGCTCTTCCCAGGAGTTCATGGGTCGAGCTGGTCCTTTCCCTGCTCTCGGGTTCACCAGGGCTCCCAGGCCTCTCTGGGGGAATTAATTTCCCCTCCTTCTCAGGCCCAGGTTTGCATTCCCGGATCACAGTCTTGCCAGACTGTTCTGCCTCCTTGCCTGTGGTCTCTGCAGAGCCAGGTCACCATCCTGTGCTATCTCAAATTTGCTTTGTAAATGATTGTTTAAAAATACATTTTCCCACAATTAAGCATAGCAGTTTGCGCAGATTGTTGCTGTACATGCGATATAGTATCTTCCAGAGCCTAAAATGTAAAATTTCAGAAAAATCTAAACAACTAAAGGTGAACAAAAGGGATGTTACTTTTACTATGGATTTGGGGGACACTTGCAGAAGGTATGCTGAGCAAAGGCACTCCTTTCTCCCTACAGCCTTCCACAAATGCAGTAGAAACACGTGAGTGTTACATGGACAGTTCAGTCCATGGTGCTGGACATTGAGGATTATTTTTTCTAATTTTTTTATTTTTTGAGACAGAGTCTTGCTTATTATTTTATTTTTTGAGACAGAGTCTTGTCGCCCAGGCTGGAGTGCAGTGGCACAATCTAGCCTCACTGCAACCTCTGCCTCCCAGCTCAAGTGATTCTCCTGCCTCAGCCTCCCCAGGAGCTGAGATTACAGGCAGGCGCCACCATACCTGGCTAATTTTTGTATTCTTAATAGAGACGGGGTTGCACCATGTTGGCATGTGCCACCATACCTGGCTAATTTTTGTATTCTTAATAGAGACGGGGTTGCCCACCTCGGCCTCCCAAAGTGCTGGAATTACAGGCGTGAATCACCACACCTGGCCAAGGATTATTTTAAAGCTTTTGCTTCCTGATTACTTTTCTATCTATAGAAGTTTGTATTTTAATGGGGATGTGTGAAAGAAATGCAGATATTTTAGAAGCTGTTTTCTCCCCTTATGTTGAATTGGGATGTTTTATGTGGGCTATATTATGAGAAAGTAAGGATTTAGATAAAATACTCAATACATGCATTTGAAAGCTATTTTAAATTAGATTTATTTTCCTTGTCCATTAAAAAGGTAAAGAGAACATTGCAGAATAATAGAAATTGTTTAATTAAAAAATCTCTTGATTCATAAAAGTTTCACAGCTACTGGCCCTACATCATGGTTAAGGCTTAGGCTCAAGCCTACAACTGCCTGAGTTGCTTTTTGTTTGGTTGGTTTTTAACTTTTTATTTTGAAGTAATTATAGATTCATGCACAGTTGTAAGAAATAAAAACAGAAATCCTGTGAACCCTTCATTCAGTTTCACCCACGGGTAATATCTTGCATACTACTGAACACTACTGAAACCGGGAAATTGACATTGGAACAATCCACAGAGCTTTTTCAGATTCCACCAGCTTTAATACATCCTGTGTGTGTGTGTGTGTGTGTGTGTGTGTATTTAATCCTGTGCAACTGTATCACACATAGATTTCGGTATCACACCACCACCACAATCAAGACCCAGACCTGTTCTATCACCACAGGACTTCTCATCCTACCCTGCTATGGCTTCAGCCACCTCCCTCCCTACCCCTCTGACCTGGAACCCGTTCTCCATTTTGATAATTTCGTAATTTCAAGAATGTTACACAAGAATGTTATGGAATTAGACAGTATGTGACCTCTTAAGATTGGCTTTTTTTTCTCCCTCAGCATAATTCCCCTAAGATTTGCCTGAGGTTTAATACTGACTTCCTGCCTCACTGGCTGTGTGCTTTTGGGCAAGTTATTTAACATCCCTGTCTCAGTTCCATTCAGACACAGGCCCGCCTGACCATGAAGTCTCATTGTCTACCCTCCACACACCTTCTGCTTCTCACTTGCAGTTGAGAGGAGGCCTTCCATAAGCCGTATTGTGTGTCTCTGTGGAATCTTGGAACATGATTGCGACCTTGAACTTCTATTTTTGTTTAGAGATGAGGTCTTGCTCTGTTGCTTGGCCTGGAGTGCAGTGGCACAATCAAAGCTTATTGCAGCCTCGCACTCCTGGGCTCAAGGATCCTCCCACCTCAGCCTTCTGAGTAGCTGGGATTACACGTGCATGCCACCATGCCCTGATAATTTTAAAATTTTTTTGTAGAGATGGGGTCTTGCAATGTTGCCCATGCTGGTCTGGAGCTCCTGGCCTCAAGTGATCCTCCTGCCTTGGCCTCCCAAAGTGTTGGGATGACAGGAGTGAGCCTCTGTGCCTGGGGGAGCATGCATTTCTAAACCTTTCCTCGACATTTTCGGATCAATGCAGTATAAGGAAAAACATGATTGGGAAATACTCTGGATAGTTTTAGGTATTTAGATTTTGTCAGTCTACTCTTTTGATAAGTAATTCAATATATGTTTACAGGAACATTGTTTTGAATGGGAGCCCATTTCTAGTGCTACCAGTTTTTATTTTTGGTCAGCTTCCCTTTCATCAGTGGGGATGCATACCCAGCTGGCAATTACGCCTCTTTTAGAGGTCATTTGATCCAGCCTTACACTGTGACAAGGCTCTGGGTGTACTGCTGAGGGAATAGTTCCCCTACTGTGCCAGTTGGCTGATTATCTGTGGTTATCCTGTGTATAAAGCATTTTTATAAGTTCACAGACCTCTCTGCTCAAATGTCAGGTCAACATAGAGGCCTCCCTGACCACCTCTAAAATAGCATCTGCCTCCTGTCTCTCTTCATTCCTTTTCCCTACTATATTTATCTTCAGAGCACTTGTCACCACTTGACACATTATATATTTATTTGTTTACTGTCTGTCGCTCACCTTCAAAATGTAGTCTTCAGGAGAAAAGGAACTTGTCCTGTTCTCTGCTTTTCTTTCTCTTCTTTCTTTCTTTTTCTTTCTTTCTTTCCTCCTTCCTTCCTTTCTCTTTCTTTTTCTTCTTCCTTCCTTCCTTCCTTCCTTTCTTTCTCTCTCTCTCCTTCCTTCCTTCCTTCTTTCCGTTTCTTTTTTTTTTTTTTGAGACACAGTTTCACTCTTATTGCCCAGGCTGGAGTGCAGTGGCATGATCTTGGCTCACTGCAAGCTCTGCCTCCTGGGTTCAAGCGATTTTCCTGCCTCAGCTTCCTGAGTAGCTGGGATTACAGGCACCCACCACCACACCTGGCTAATTTTTGTACTTTTAGTAGAGACAAGATTTCACCATGTTCCCCAGGCTGGTCTTAAACTCCTGACCTCAGGTGATATGCCTGCCTTGGCCTCCCAAAGTGCTGGGATTACAGGCATGAGCCACCATGCGCAGCCTCCTGCTATTATGTGTGTTGCCTGACGTGTTGCCTGACATGTGCCTGACATTTGTGTTGTCTCTGACATGTGGTGTTTATAGAACGAATGAATGAAATGAGGGAGTGAATGAATAAATTCTCCCACTGCTAATGGAGGGAGGAAGGAGCAATCTATACTTGAAGAAGTAGAAGGAGCAGGAAGGCCAGGCGCGGTGGCTCACGCCTGTAATCCCAGCACTTTGGGAAGCCGAGGTGGGAGGATCACCTAAGGTCGGGAGTTCAAGACCAGCCTGACCAACATGGAGAAACCCCGTCTCTACTAAAAATACAAAATTAGCTGGGGTGGTGGCGCACACCTGTAATCCCATCTACTCAGGAGGCTGAGGCAGGAGAATTGCTTGAACCTGGGAGGCGGAGTTTGCGGTGAGCTGAGATCACGCCACTGCACTCCAGCCTGGGCAACAAGAGCAAAACTCCATCTCAAAAAAAAAAAAAAAAAAAAAAAAAAAAAGAAGGAGCCGGAAGGTACTCAGGGTATGCCAAGATCTCCATTTGAGCCAAAGAGCAGAGTTAAACAAAGCTAACGACCACAGCGACTCTGTGGCGGGGATATATATGTACCAGTCCACAAATGTGCAAGGAAAAACAACTTCATTTTTCTATAAGTCAACTCAGTTTCTATTCTGAGGCTTGACTTTGACAGGATGAGGCACTTAATAGCTTTAGAGTTGTAGTCCTGCCCCACCTTTGCCCAGAGGTGAGGGGTCGGAGTTGAGGTGCGCCCTACCTGTGCTGGGGTGTAGTGTCTAGTTCATCCTCAGATGCTGAGACAGTGCTCCTGCCTCTCCACACAGGCCAGAGAGACCAGCACTCAGTGGCACCCTGAGCCTCGCCCACCAGGATTTTCCTTTCATCAGTTTTTCCTTGCTCACCCACTGGGTGCTATGACAAGAAGGTGCTTTCTCTACAGCTATCTTCTGCTTTTTAGCCATGGCTTCAGTTTCTGTTCTCAATTCCAGGGTAAGTTTCAGTTCTTTATTTTCATCCCTGATGTAAGACCTGATTCTGAGGTCTAATGATTTGGTAATGAAATGAGGTAGTTTTGCTTGGAGACTCCTACACTGCCCTTTTTTCATCATGAATGTTTTAGAACATTTCCTAACTAAGGCATTTCTTATTAGTATTCCTCCTAAACCAAGTACTTTGTTTCACTTAAATGATGAGTATATATATATTAGAGCCATATTGGTTAATACAGCGTTGGTACTTGGATTTCTTTCATTATAAATTAATTATTTATCTAAATAATTGAAAAAATCCAATTTAAATGGAATCATAGTACTAAAATTTTGTGAGGGAATTTTTAGCACTATTATTAGACACTGTTTTACTTTGTCTGCAAACTGGGGGTTTTAATATAAAATGTTAGGAATTAAAGTAATCGAGGTCAGTAGCCAGCAGTGTATGTCAGTATCATCTGTGGGGGCTTCTTAAAATACAAAAGCCTGGGTCCTATCTGCAAAGGCCCTGATTTGGAGAGTTTCCTGGAGGTCTGAACCCTGTATCCCACGGACCACAAGCCAAAAGTCCAGTCCAGCCCCCTCATTCTTTTTACCGATGAAGAAACTGAAGGTCCCAAAACCACAGGAATTTGTGTAGCCTCCCACATGCGAAAGAAGTGGTTTCAACAAGTACATCCCAGCAGACTCTGACTCCAAAGCCGGGGTAAAGCTTTCTGGGTGACGATGTTTAAAACAGAACGCGATGTTTGTCATGTCTTTGTAATTCTGCAAGTGAAAATGATGAAGATATTCTTTTTACTGGAATCAACCCTCGGGTGGTCAGGTTAGCAGTTCCCAAAGGTCATATTTACATTTTAGCCGAGCCAGTTGTCTAAAGAGAAAGTGTCTTTCTTCCCTGCCTGTGGTGAAGCTTAAGTTTACAACAGGACTGGGGGCATGCAGTGGACACAACCATGATTACGAGAGGGTGGAGAACGCAGGGGACCAGCAACCCCATCACGGCTCAGGGACCCTCACGGGACTTGATGCTCAGAGAGGCAGTTGACACGTATTGCAGGCACACTGGCTGAGTTCCTTCAGGACATGGACAGAGGAGGAGGCCCCGTGACACAGACTCATCTATATCATTGATGTCACTCTCCAGAGAGTTTAAACATGGGCCCGCCTGGGCGTCAGTGTATTCTCACCTGCAGCTAGGATTGAGAACTTTTGCTTTGGGAGACTTTCATTATCCTTTTATGTACATTACTAAAAAGTAGGAGATGGATTGCAGATAATTTAAGATGCCCAACACCACTGCCCTACATGCACGCACATGCATGCCCACCCATGTTAAAGAATGAAAGCCCAAGCCCACGTTATCAACATATCTTAACAACGAGGCCTTGCAGAGTGGTTTGGATGAAGTTGCCACCTTCTTCTTGGTCTAAATGTCTCACTCAAGTAGCCTAACCTTCACTTGGAGAGTAACTGGCTACTTCTCAGTTCTTGCTGCATTCTCTGGCTGGAAGTTGAAGACCACCAGCCACCAGCCCACCAGTCCACCAGCCCACCAGCCTACCAGCCACTAGCCCACCACCCACCAGCCCACCAGCCCCTAGCCCACCAGCCACCAGCCACCAGCCACCAGCCCACCAGCCCACCGGCCCACTAGCCACTAGCTCAGCAGGCCACCAACCACCGGCCCACCAGCCCACCAGTCACTAGCCCACCAGCCACCAGCCACCAGCCCACCATCCCACCAACCCACCAGCCACCAGCCCACCATCCCACCAACCCACCAGTCACCAGCCCACCAGCCCACCAGCCCACCAACCCACCAGCCACCAGCCACCAGCCCACCAGCCCAGCAGAAAAGACAGGATATAGCTTCTCAGTAACTTACATTAGTTCCCTTTCTTAAGAAAATCTTAATATTTGGTCTTTGTATTTGACACTCCTCAGCATCACTACAGTGCGACTGCAGGTGGATTTATTTTCATGTATTCTGCTCATAATTCGTGTGCCTTTTCAGTTTGAGCACTCACCCTTCTTCAATTCTGGTGAATTCTCCTCCATTATCTCTTCAATATGTTGCCTCTCCCTCACTCTCCCTATTCTCTGCTTCAAATCCCTATTTAGATTTATATTGAATTTGTCATTCTACTCTTCACATTACGTTGATTTCACTTTCATAATTTCTGCTCTTTCTCTGTGTTTTGGTCTGATTTCCTTAGAATCATCTTCCAAACTACAAGTCCTCTATCTAGTCATCTAGTTTAACTTGCCTAGGGAGTGTTTTAACCTTAATGGCTATTTTATTTCTATTTGCTTCCTTATTTTCCCCAATATCCTCTCCCTGCCCTGTGGATTCTGTCCTTTCCTTTGTTTCTCTGAGCATCTTAAGCCTCTCAGACTGTTTAATCATCATTAGGTTTTGCAGTGTGGGTCCCACCATTGGCTGTGTCTGCTGAGTCTCTCTTCCTTACGATCTCATGTAGACATGAATAGTCACCTTACACTTCTTCAGTAACATAATTCCAGTTTTTCAAGATAATATTCACTGTCTTCCTACACTGAATGCTCAGTTTACAGACTATTCTTCCCACTGATTTCCAGACCTCACATTTCGTGTGAGATAGCTCATAGTGTTTTAAAGCCCTGATTGGAGGAGAGTACTGTGGGCTGGCTCTTCTATAATTAAGATTGGGATGGGAGAAAGGAAGAAGAAAGCATGTTTCGAAATAAATTTATCAACAAGGTTTAGCAGATGGCAATTTGATTTTTTTTGAAAAAACAATAACAACAGCTTGCTAGGATGTTGTAGCTACATCACTATGAATGCTAGATTTTAAGGTTAAAAAAAAAACCCTAAAAATCTTTATTAAAGGACATCACATGATTATATTTTCTTAATGGAAAATTCTTATGTTTCTGGCTGTTCCCCATCAGAGGTCGTTTCTAGACTACTAGACATTGGTGCTTCCCTTTTTTTGTGTATTCTTGGTGTTGCTATGACAGTCCATCAGTGTGCAGGGATGAAACACAATGTCACACCAGTTGAGAAGACACAAAACCCTTGCCTTTGTCCTGGAAACTGAGCTTCTATTCATGCAGCCCAAGATCATCAAACCATTTTAGATAACATCACACCTCTGAGTATAAGGTTTAGTTATCTAAAACCTTGAAGATCTCACATAGAACCTGCTGCCTGGACTCTGGAGGCAGCTGGTTGTGGGACTGCTGCTATCTCATCATTGCGACCTCAAGGGACATGTATAGAGACGGCGTGATGTGCTGTTGCACTCTCAGTATCCTGCCATGGCCCTTGCCTGGGTCTTGAATTTAGGAGCCAGTCACAGAAGGAAATGGAATGAGCTTAGGCCTCTGCCCAGAAGGACTGTCATCTTTCTGAGGGAGGAACTCTGGCCTATGTGAAACAATGGGGGTACATGGCCAAATGCTCATCACGTGGGCCAGATGAATGCTACAGGAGGGAAGGGAGAGGCCAAGGGTTGGTGAAGCTTCACAGGCAGACTCAGCTTGAATCTGGCCTTGAGGGATGAGTTGGGCCTGTGCATACAGCCCTGGAGGTACATGTGAGGATGGGTGCATGCTGGCAGCTCAGGCTGCCCCTGGGTATGAATGGGTGGACAAGTGTTGGTCATGGGTGATAGTGACAGGCAGGAGGTCAGGGGTAAGGAAGCTAGAGGGGAGCCTGCTGATAACTGACTGAACATAGGAGGGGAGGTGGTGGCAGGCAGGTGACAAGCAGGAAAAGGTAATAACATAAACAGCCACTGCTCACTGAGTGCTTTCTATGTGTCGGGCTTGGTAGCTCTGTTACATGAATTATCTCATTTAATCCCCACACATCCCATCAGGTAGAGGAGGCTACTATCCTCATCTTCCAGATGGGGAATCTGAGGCTAAAGGGAGTTAAATGAGTTGCTCCAGGTTATACAGATAGCAAGTGATAAAGTGTAGATATGAACCCTGGCCATCAGGCCCCAGAGTTTGTGCTCCTAGTCATCATGAAATACTGTGCCTCAGAGGATTGCAGTGACTTGTCTTAATGCTGCTAAATATTGCAGGGTGGATCATCTTGGTCATGATCCTTGATTTCCACTGGCTGTCATCTTTGGAAGTAAGAATTGCTCACTCAACGGTTATGATGCTGCCAATGCCTGGCCTTATATTGTGCGTTGAGGACATCTAGATGAATCAGATTGGTCACTGCTCTTGAGGAGGTGACAGTCCCCACAAGGAGGTCACAAGAAGAGCCATGTAAACATATAATTATATTGCAGCATGGCAAATGATGACTCAGTGGATGTTTCTACAAAGTGCTCGGGAATCTCAGGAGAAGGAGTGGCCAATTCTATGAGAGGGAGGTGGGGAAGGCTTCAGGAAGATGAAGATGGTTAGGATAAGTTTTGAAGGATGAATAGTTAATCAGATAAATGTGGGAGCGTAAAGGGTTTCAAAGCAGAGGAAGTAGGGTTCAGAGGTGTGGCAATATGGGAGAGCATGGCAGGTCAGAGAATGGGCACAGCTGGAAGATATCCAAGCATAAAGTCCAAGTCTCAATTATGTTCTGCAGATTACTGTCTCTGGGAGAGTTGAGTTCTGCAGTCAAATGTGTGCTAGGATTATAGGTGTGAGACACCGCACCCGGCGTCTCCTATCTGATTTAAAAGACAATTGCAATAAAGCAATAATTGTAAAACTATGTTGATAGGTACACAATGTATAAGGATATAATTCACATGACACAGACAGCACAAAGGAAGGGGAGGAAACAGAGCTATGTATAAGCAAAGTTTTTAAATCTGATTGAAATTAATTTGGTATCAATACAATTTGATTTTTATAAATTAAGAGGCTAATAGTATCCCAAAGGCAAACACCAAGAAAATAACTCCCCAAAATATAGTTAAAGAAGCACCAGCCAGGCATGGTGGCTCATGCCTATGATCCCAGAACTTTGGGAGGCCAAGGTGAGTGGATCACCTGAGGTCAGGAGTTGGAGGCCAGCCTGGCCAACATGGTGAAACCCTGTTTCTAATAAAAACACAAAAAAAATTAGCCAGGCATGGTGGCGTGTGCCTGTAATCACAGCTACTTGCGAGGCTGAGGCACGGGAATGGCTTGAACCTGGGAGGCAGAGGTTGCAGTGAGCCGAGATCATGCCTCTGCACTCCAGCCTGGGTGACACAGCGAGACTCTGTCTCAAAAAAAAAAAAAAAAAGAATGTCATATGTCATATAAAGGAATCATGCAGTATGTAACCTTTTGAGGTTGGCTTTTTTTCTTTTTTTTTTTTCCTTTTTTTTTTCTGGAGACAGAGTTTCACTCTTGTTGCCCAGTCTGGAGTGCAATGGCGCAATCTTGGCTCACCACAACCTCCATCTCCCAGGTTCAAGCAATTCTCCTGCCTCAGCCTCCCAAGTAGCTGGTACTACAGGCATGCGCCACCACACCTGGCTAATTTTTGTATTTTTAATAGAGATGGAGTTTCTCCATGTTGGTCAGGCTGGTCTCGAACTCCCGACCTCAGGTGATCCGCCCACCTCAGCCTCCCAAAGTGCTGGGATTACAGGCGTGAGCCACCTCGCCCAGCCGAGGTTGGCTTTTTTTTCACTCAGCATAGTGCCCTTGAGGTCCATTCAAGTTATTGTATGTGTCAGTAGTCTATTCCTTCTTACTGCTGAATAGTATTCATGGTATGAATGTACCACAGTTTGTTTAACCAGTTACCCATTAAAGGACATGTGGGTTGATTCCAGTTTGGGGCTATTATTTAAAAAGCTGCTAAGTTGTCTCTTCACTTTCTTGGTAGTATCCTTTGAAGCACAGTAGGTTTTAATTTTGGCTAAGTCCAATTTATATGTATATTCTTTGGTTGCTTGTGCTTTTAGAGTTATAGCTAAGAAAGCATTTTTCTAATCCAAAGTCATAAAGATTTACCCTTCTGTTTTTTCTAAGAGCTTTAGAGTTTCAGCTCTTAGATTTATGGCTTTGATCCATTTTGAGTTAATTTTTATATATACTGTGAGGTAAGGATTCAGCCTCATTCTTTTTGCAGGCGGATATCTAGTTTCCCAGCACTATCTGTTGAAAAGAATCTTCCTTCTCCCATATCAATTTTTAGAATCAGCTTGTTAGTTTCTTCAGAGAAACCAGTTAGGATTTTGATAGAGATTTCACTGATTCTGCAGATCAAATTGGAGAGTACCGCCATCTTAACAAGATTGAGTCTTTTTATTAAACTCTCTCCAAGTATACAATGAAGAACTTTTTCCCAGGGCCATTTGACAGTAAGTTGCTGATCTGATGCCCCATCACACGTGCATGTATTACTTACAAAGACATTCTCTCTTTTTTTTTGAGAGAGGGTCTTGCTCTGTCGCCCAGGCTGGAGTGCAGTGGTACGATCTCGGCTCACTGCAACCTCTGCCTCCTGGGTTCAAGCGATTCTTCTGCCTCAGCCTCCCGAGTAGCTGAGACTACAGGCGCCCGCCGCCACGCCTGGCTAATTTTTTCCACTTTTAGTAGAGACGGGGTTTCATCGTGTTAGCCAGGATGGTCTCAATCTCCTGACCTCATGATCTGCCTGCCTTGGCCTCCCAAAGTGCTGGGATTACAGGCGTGAGCCACTGTACCTGGCCCGACTCACTTCTTAATTTTAAATTTCTAGTAGCAGAATTTCATGGACTTAGAGTAAGGAGGAACATTTTAACATTTAAGCTGTTTAAACTGGGATGGGCTGTGCAGGGAGCTGGTAGAGTGCGGTCGTTGGTGAGGGTCAAGCACTGGCAGTGTTTTCATGAGTCAGGAACAGTGTAGAGGAGACACCCATGCTAATGTCCTGGAGCACTAACCACGTGCCAAGCATGGCGCCAAGTTAACCTCTAAGCCCTCAACAACCCTATGAGGTAGTGATATTATTGTTGCTCCTTTGCAAATAAGGAAACTGAAGCACTAAAAATTATTCAAAAAAAAACAAAGACCAACTGACATTGGGGTGCTGTTATGTAACCAAATCTTAGAAATCAAAAATTGTACAGTAGATGTTGGAGCTTTGCTCTACACTAAGGCAGACTAAAGTAGTTGGCCTTGCCACCCCACCTCTCCTTACATTTTTAAAAAAATTATTCTTTTAAATAGTTTTTCATTTTCAGTGACTAGTCACCTAGGGGCATGTCCAAACTCTGTCAGGTGTGACAAGTCACATTGTCTGTGATTCTGACATGGAATGAAAGGTACAAATTAGTTATAATTGGCTATTTGTATTTTAACATAAAGTTAAAATAAAGTGTTATAGACTATGTAGAAAAATGATTAGTCAAAGACATTAGAAACTTTAAAAAACAGCCAAAAACCCAGAAACAAGTAGAACACTGATCAGGAAATGGGAAGTCTTTCTAAGACTGTGAGTGAACTGAAATTTCTGTATGTGTGGTCTCCTTCCATTCCTTGTGGTACAATAGAAGTGAAATTAATGGTGAAGAAGGTTTCTCGAGTTAGGAACAATCCCTGTCATTGACACATTCCTCCTTTCCCCACACTGGGCACCTTCTGCTATACAGTCCCCCTTGGCCCCTGACCTCACAGTCTCAGCCCCTCACATGCTCCCAAGCTGGCCCTCATTCCAACAGCCTTTTAAGCAGCAAGTTGTGAATCAGGGTGTGTCTGAGCCTCCCAGAGTTGCTGTAAAAAAACACTGCAAACAAGGTGGCTTCGAGGAACGGAAATGATTATCTCACAATTCTGGAGGTTGAAAGGACGGAATCAAGGTGTGGACAGGGCCACCTCCCTCTGCAACCTGCAGGGAAAAGACCTTTCCTTGCCTCTCCCTAGCTTCTACCAGTTTGCCAGCAGACGTTGGTTTTTCTTGACTTGTAGGTGCATTGCCCCAATCCTCCCTCTTCACGTGGCCATCTTCTTTCTGCGTGTCTGTCTCTGTGTTCAGATTTCTCCTTTTTATAGGGATACCAGTCATACTGGATTAGGGCCCACCTGAATGACTGACTTCATTTCAACTTGATTACATCTGGACAGACCCCATTTCCAAATAAGGTTACAGTGCTCACACTGTACAGGGGGCTAGGATGTCAGTCAACATATCTTTTCCGGGGAACACGATTCCACCCATCACTGGGTGCTAGGTCAAGGGTTCAGTTCTATGTCCTTCAGCACTTATGAAACTGAGAGGACCCCATGGTTCTGCTTCCTCAAATTACTCCCATCTTTGGGCCTGCCCAGGACCAGGCTGCAGTGATGCCAAGTGCCTGGGCTCCCAGATAACACAGCGGGCAGGCCGTCTCTATGTGAGTAACGCATCTGACGGCTCCCCAGGGCTGGAGATTACCCTGGAGCCCTCCGGCTTCATCTGACCAGGTCTCCTTGCTTTCCCTTCACTTGAAGGGCTATTTTTATCCTGTTGTGCTGTGTGTTTGCTCTCACAATTCTCCTCAACTGTTTCAGGGAGGAAATAAGGTATAAAAATAAATTACATGAATGGCAATTCCCTACCACAGTTTGGTGGCTTCATTACATAGCAGCACAGGGGCAGGCTATGAATGCCAGGGCCCCAGTGTTGCCATGACAACAGCAGGGCGCCGCCTCCTCCACTTGGCCCTTCCCCAACCTCCATTCCCAGTGCCAGTTCAGCCTCATGCCTCTGCCTTCTGAGAAGCCACCCCTGAACAACAGACAGGGCTGCAGCCCTCCTCGTGCTGTCCCAGAACCCTGGGCCCTTCTGGCCACTGCACTCACCGAGTGGCCTTCCCTTAGTTCTGTCTCTCTAGAACACAAGCTCCTAGAAGTCAGGGACCATGCCTGTTCCATCGTTTGCTCCCATCAGCATCGAATTCAGAACTCTACCCATAGTAATTGCTCAAGAAATGCTAACGAATGGTAGAAGGGAAAAGCCTATGGGGAATTGCCACAGCAGACTGGAGGACCAGGAGCTGTGATCATGGAGGGTGTCCCCAGAGCTGCTGTTATGTATTGCCACATGTACCTATTTAAATTCAAGCTTAGTTAAATTTAAATTAACTGAAACTAAAAATTCACTTCCTGGCCGGGTGTGGTGGCTCACGCCTGTAATCCCAGCACTTTGGGAGGCTGAGGCAGGTGGATCACCTGAGGTCAGGAGTTCAAGACCATCTTGTCCAATATGGTGAAACTCCATCTCTACTAAAAAAACACAAATTAGCTGGGTGTGGTGGCACATGCTTGTAGTCCCAGCTACTAGGGAGGCTGAGGCAGGAGAATTGCTTGAACCCGGGAGGCAGAGGTTGCAGTGAACCGAGATGGCACCACTACACTCCAGCCTGGCCAACAGAGTAAGACTCCATCTCAAAAAAAAATTCACTTCCTCATTCCCACTGGCCACAAATGCTAAATGGTCACATATGGCTAGTGACTATCATATTCGACAGTGTAGCTGCTGAACATTTCCATGATCACAGAAAGTTCTATTGGGCAGTGCTGCCCTAAGAGGACTCCATAACCAGTGTCCCTGGGGTGCTCTTGCTGCTTGTTAATTGCACTCCCAGCCCATTGGAACCATTTAACTAGATTTAACACTAGGAACCAAAGAGAAAATGTCAGCAGTCTATCCCTCTGTCAGGATCATGAGCTAATGTCCCCTCACCAGAGAGAGGAAACACAAGTGACTCCTTAGTTTTTCAACAAGCCTCGACCTTTATGCCTCCATGTCTTTGCATATTCAGTTCCTCTGCCGGGGAAGTCCACGCTGATGAGAACTCCTGAGTTCTTATCTATGCTTCAGGTGAAGGCAGAAATGCCTGTACATGCATAAATCCTTTTCCCCCTCATCCTCCCCTCAATTGTGTGTGTGTGTGCGTGGGTATGTAGAATCTATCTTCTCACACTACATCCTCTCTATCTGTTATGCGGTGGCATCGAAATTGATGAGCAGATAATGTGTCGTAATTAGCCCAGAGGCAAAAATCAAGCAGAACCAGAAGTGCCTTAGAAAATCTCTTAAATCTGCTGCAGAGCCTGCATCCTTGGTTTCATTTATGCAAAGCTATACAGAAATTCTTATCCTCATAAGAGAGGGTTCTACATGAAGAGAGGTACAGTCATTGGATGCAGGCAGGCTCTAATGATACAGTCCATTAAAATGGAGACCAGGTCTGAAGAACCCCTGAGCAGACAGAACCATAAGTCAGGCCTCACAAATGACCACGACCTTGCTTGATTTGTAAACATAAGCAAAACTTAACTCGAGCTATTTCTTGTAAATATTTGTATTAAAGGAAAACAGAACTTAAGCTCAACCAGTCAGAAGCATCCAACAAACTTGTAATTATATAACTAGAGACTTTCCAACAGGATAGACTAGGGGTCCCCAATACCTGGGCCGTGGACTGGTACTGGTCCGTGGCCTGTTAGGAACTGGGCCGTGCAGCAGGAGGTGGGTGAGCAAGGAGTATTACCGCCCCAGCTTTGCCTCCTGTCAGATCAGCGGTGGCATTAGATTCTCAAAGGAGCACAAACCCTATTGTGAACTGTGCATGAGAAGGATCTAGGTTGTACGTGCCTTATGAGAATCTAATGCCTGATGATCTGAGGTGGAACAGTTTCATCCCGAAACCACCCCACAGCCTTCCCATCTGTAGAAAAGTTATCTTCCATGAATCCAGTCCCTGGTGCCAAAAAGGTTGGGGACTGCTGTTCTAGTGGATTCTTTTTAAAGTAAACTTTTTGGCCTGATGCGGTGGCTCACGTCTGTAATCCCAGCACTTTAGGAGGCCAAGGTGGGCAGATCACCTGAGATCAGGGGTTTGAGACCAGCCTGGCCAACATGGTGAAACCCTGTCTCAACTTAAAGTACAAAAATGAGCCGGGCATCATAGTGGGCGCCTGTAATCCCAGCTACTCAGAGGTTGCAGTGAACAGAGGTCGCGTCACTGTACTCCAGTCCGGGTGACAGAGCGAGACTGCATCTCAAACAACGACAACAACAAACTTTTTAACTGAAGTTTCAGGTTGTGATACAATTTATGTTGTGCTGGCCTCTTAATCTTTTTGTCTTTTCTCTGTAAAGGTTTACATAATATCGTGGGATATTGGGAGAAATTTTCTATTGGCACCATCAGAGCTTAGCTTATTCTTTGTGACAGATTTTAAATTATATATTCATTTTTACCTAATAAATATAGAATGACTTATATTTTTTATTCCTCATTGTGACTATTTTGGAAAATAGTGCTTTTCGAGGAATTTGCTCATTGCATCTAAATGTCTAAGTTTATTGGTATCAAGTTATTTATATTGCCTTCTCATTATCCTCTTATTGTCTTTAGGATCTTTATAACTGTATGTTGGTGTTTTATGCTTTTTCTCTATTTTTCTTCATTGGTTCAGGTAGGAGATTATCAATTTTATTAGTCTAAAAACTAATTTTAGGCTTCTTAGATTTTTAAGTATTGCATGTTTGTTTTTTATTACATTGATTTTTGTTCTTTATTATTTTCTTCTTTCTATTTCTTTTGGTTTTAATTTGATGATTATCTTCTAGGTTTCTTGAAATAGTTACTTAGGTAATTGCTTTTCAGCCTTTTTCTCCCATTATAAATGCATTTAATGCCACAAAGTTCCCTCTAAGTATGACATTAGCTGAATGCCATACATTGTCTGTTTTTTTTATCATTTAAAATATTTCATAATTTCCATTGTGATTTCTATGTTGACTTCTGGATTATTTAGAATAATCACATTTTCTTGTTAAATTGACTCTTTTATTATTATAAAATGTTCTTTGTCTCTAATAATAGTTCTTGTCTTAAAGTCTACTTTGTCTGATATAGCAAAGCTACACAATTTACTTTTGGTTATATTTTTTCTATCCTGTTAATTTCAACCTTTCATAGTTTCTATATTTAAAATATTTCTTTTAAGCAGCATAGTTTTTGGCTCATTTTAATTGAGTCTGACAATGTTTTCGGTTTTTAATTACTTAGTTCATTTACATTAATATAATTAATTCTATATCTGGGTTTAAATCAACCGTCTTATCCATTTTTCTATTTGTTCTATATTTTCATTGTTTTTTAATATTTATCCTTTCTTGACTTCTTTTAGATTAACAACCTTTTTTTGGTTGTGTTTTTGTTATTCCATTTCATGCCCCTTCCTTTATTATTAGTTACATATTCTCTTATTATTCGCTTGCCTTAGAGATTGCAAAATGCATTTTTGACTTTGTGAGTGTCCCTTAAATTAATGCTTTCACCACTTTTCAGACAGTGCAACGACCTTAGAATGCTTTATTATATGTAGTTTTGGAGACAGGGTCTCAGTCTGTCACTGGGGCTAGAGTGCAGTGGCACAATCACAGTTAACTACAGCCTCCACCTCCTGGGCTCAAGCAATCCTCCCACCGATGCCCCACCCCACCCCAGGGAAGCTGGGACTACAGGTGCGCATCACTGCATCTTGCTAATTTTTTAGATTTTTGGTAAAGACAAGGTCTTGCTATGTTGCCCAGGCTGGTCTTAAACTGGGCTCACGGGATCCTCCCACCTCAGCCTCCCAAAGCGCTGGGATTATAGGCATGAGCTACCACACCTGACCAGAACACTTTGATTTTATTACCTTCTTCTTGCCTTTTATACTATTGCTGTTATGTGTTTTAATTGAACATATAAGATCCTCAATAAAAATACTATTTAAAACTCAGTATTGACTTAGATTTATCCTCATGTTTCTGCTGGTTCTCTTCATTCCTTCTTGCACCTCCAGCTAAGATCAATCTCTACCTGCTTAAAGAAAACCTCTTCAGTTCTCTATTAGTGGACTCTGCTGGTAATACAGTCTCTCAGGTTTCTTGATTTTTTGTTTGTTTGAGTTTTTGAAAATGACCATCTCTGCAGCTTTTGAATCCTGTTTTCTCTGGGAAGAGAATTTCAGGTTGGCCATTGTCTTCTTTCAGGACTTGAAAGATGACAATGCATTTCTTTGGGCTTTTACAACTTCTGTTGAAAGTTAACTAGAAGTGTCATTGTATCTTTGAATGTAATGTGTTTTTATTCCCTTTTCTGTTTTAAAAATGTCCTTAAAATTTTCCCTTTATCCTTTTTACAATGTGCCTGGGTGTGGTTTTCATTACATGTATCCTGGGAGGATTCTTTAACCTGTGACTTGATATCTTCTATCACTTTTGGAAAATTACAAGCCAGATTATCTGCAGTGCATGTCAGACTTTTTCACCACGTCCCAGATGTCTCTTATGCCCTTTTTATATTTTCTACTCTTTGTTTTTCCTTTCAGGACTTCAATTTAGGTATTTTCAACTTACTTATTTTCCCATTCCTTAATTCCCTCTCCTGGGCTCAGTCTGGTGGTATTCTCATGGGGAAAGCTGGTCTGATACTAACCAGCCCATCGTAACTGAAGATATCCTCTGCAATCATTTTAAACTCTCTGGTCATTTTAATTTCACTTTGCTCACCTTTCTCAATTCTCTCTCCCCTTTATCTTACCGTGTTTCCAACTCAGTTTCTTCTCTTGAGTATTGCTTCACTTCTGGGCTCAAGTGATCTTTCCACCTCAGCCTCCCAAGTAGCTTGGACTGCAGGCATGAGCCACTGCGCCCAGCCTGTGTTTCTGAAATGGTTTCACTTTTTATCTCCCTGCTTTTCCATGCTCTGCCAACTCACATTTCATCTCTCTCTGTGCCTTGCCATGTCTTTCCTGGGCTCTCGAATTTGTGTTTCATGCTCTCCTTTGAAAAGACTAAATGCTTCATTAATTGCTTTTTTAAATTTCTGGCACTGCGTTTGGTTAACTTTTCATCTGTTTCATGGCAATGGCTTTTTTGGTGAGGGTTTTTCATGCCACTTCTCGACTGTTACTTTCATCTTTTCCTTTATTGTGGTATCTTTGTTTAGATCCTATGACTTTTAAGAAAAAATATTTTGTAAAGAGGTGAATTCTTCCTAGAGGCTTAGATTGAAGAGGGGCTAGTGCTATGTTCCCGGCTAAAGATGGCTGTGTGTGTATGTGAGAAAGTTCTTTTATCCTCTATTTTTCCCAGATACCATAAGCAGGGTAAGACAGTTTGCACCATGCTGCCTCACCATCAGAATGCCAGCCTAGCTTGTCTGTGTTTTTTCTCACTCAGTCCTGCCTTTCTTAGTTGTTCAGACTATGGATTTAACCAGCCTAGGGAGTCTCCAGTCACAAACCTCTAGACTGTTCCTATTGGTCCAAAAAGGGGCTGTTGGCTTTGCTACTCAGGGCATGTCCCTTACTTTGAGGAACTAGGCTTTCCTGGTTTGACTGATGGTTCCATCTGTGGGCATCCTCTCTCATTATCTTCCCACACGCCTGCTTGACCTTCACTGTATTTGGAAGTCCTTCCTCTTCTATTTTGGTTCAGGGTTCAGATGTCTCTTAATTTCTTTCAAGATAGAGTTTTGTTCCTGTTTCTTATTCTCCTTCTCACTTTTGGGTGATTTCTCAGAGAAGAGGGAAATGGTCCTCTTTATGCCACATTTAAAAACCACAGGCTTACCCTCAGAGTCTTTTGCATTCTGCATTATTTTTAGTTTCAGTTCTGTATCACATATAATCTTTTTATGTTTTTAGAGACAGGGTCTCACTCTGTCGCCAAGGCTGGAGTGCAGTGGCATGATCATAGCTCACTGCAGCCTTGAACTTCTGGGCTCAAGTGACCCTCCCACCTCAGCCTCCCAAGTAGCTGGGACTACAGGAATGAGCCACTGCATCCAGCCTGCATCATACATACTCTTTTAAGAGTCATTTAAGATTAGGATTAGGGACCTGAATTCAAGTTTAAATTCAGTCTTGCCTGGTGCTACCAATGCAAATAGCTCAACTGAAGTGACAGTCAAATCATCTGATACGGTCACACATGGCTAAACTTGCATATGTGCAGGCAATGACAACCCCCTCGCAGTATACTTCTCTGTCTGACTGCTGGTAAGTGTCATTTGACATGAATGTAAGATGCTTCCCAAAGGCAGGAATGTAAAAATGTGAAAAAATGGCGTATGATATTTCAGCTGGGGCTGAAGAATGGTCCAGCAGGCTGGCAAGGACAGTGAGCATGGAGCAGACAGATGCAGGCAGACAGAGCTGCAGCAGCATGGGGCTTACCTGCCTTCCCTGGAGCAGCATCAACTTTTGAAAGGCTGAAATTTCAGGGAGGGTTTAGGAATCAAATAGGAAACAATCCAATTGGGGAGAAAACAGTGTTCTGTGACACTTGACAGCTCATTTTCTATTGAATTGAATGCCAATTCTTTGCCTCAGAAATGAGCTCTGCCCTCAACTTTCCAACACACCTATTGTCTTCTCATTGTCTGCAGAACAATGCTTAAATGCTATAGCCTGCCATTCAAATCCCTCCACTCCATGAAGCCAAAATGAAAGGGAAGGAATCAGGTTAAAAAGCCAGGCAAATTCCCTTCCCTCTGAGATTTGGCAGCATCCTCTCCCCTCCACCCCTGCTGCGTGCGACTGGTCTAAGCTGTTCACCAAGCATGCCTTGCGTTTGTCCCATACCAGTGCCATTGCTCATTCTGACTCTTCCACCATGATTCCTTCTCTTCCCTGATAACCAGCTCTGCTGCTCAAAACCCTGCTTATCCTTCAAAGCCCCACAGGCCTTTACTGATTCCCCAACCGGATATGAACTTTCTGTCTACCTCTGGGAAATTTTTCACAATCTTTTTAGATCAGGTACTACTCCCTAGGAAGCAGGACTATTACTCTGACACCTCATCTCGCTCCTCTGCCCTGCCAAACCAGGCTCAAACTCCTGCTGTCCTGGCTCTCACTGCCCAAACCCATTTTTTATGCTCAACTGGACTTTCAACTTTGTTCCTCTATGCTTCTTGCTTTGACCTGGAACTTTCAGATTTGGGGCCTACCGTTTCCATCAGTGTCTTGGTAGTCCTAGCTCCTGCCTATAAATGTACATATATTCCCTTGATACTACTGTACTGACAAACCAGTCAATGAGTTTCCAATTTCCAGAGCCCTTTACTCCAGCAGCCATTGCTGCTGCCCTTGTCAGACCCCAGGCCACAATCTCCCAGCTGCCCACTGAGCACTGCTGGCCAGGCTTTAGCCATTGGATCATGTCATTAACTTCACGGACACAGAATATTTTTCTTGGATCTGAATTCTTTGTGTGTTTGTCTCACACTTTTGACCTCTTAAGGGTGGAGTCTGCAATGCCTGACACAGTGCCTTGCAAACAAGAGCTCAGAAGATATTAACTCAACACTGTTTGAACACGGGCACCTTAAGGTGACTCGGGCAGCTCCCAGTGGGTTCCAGCCATGGCCACACCTCAGGGTGCTGCTCACCCACAGCTAGGCGCAGGTTACGCTGTCTCTTAAGGTTGATAACTGGACACTTCCAGAATGAAAAGGACCAAATGTCCCCATTTTGAATGTATGTCCCCTGCTGTGTTCCCAGGACCCGTCAGTCTCCTCCTTTCCTGCTTTTGCTCAACTTGTACGTGACCACCAGTCACACCAGAAAAAAGAGACTCTCTCTGGCTAGCCTGCAGGGTCCCTGAGGCCAGGTGCTGGGGTTTTTGTATGTCTGTACCTCCCCAGGGCCAAGCCCCTGCCTGCTCCGTGCTGGGCCTAGAGTTTGCACTCATTACAGTTTATGGCTTGAACACTTTCGGCCCCAGCCCGTGCCCTCTGTTCGTGCCATGTTTGCTTTCGGTGGTTGCTAGAATCTTTTTTCTCTCCTTTAAATTTCTGCCTGAACATTTTATAACATTTGCATTTTGATTTTTAAGTATTAATGTATTCTCCATTTATTATTGATAAGAGAAAAGGCGGAAGACAGAAGGGCCTGTGGGAAACTGATGGCATCACCCAGGGGTCAGACAAGCTTCTGTTTGAACCCTGCTGTGCTAGTTCTCTATGCTATGCAGCTGATTACCTCAACGTGATTCATAATAACACAAGTATTTCTTATTTCATTTTCAGTGAGGCAGGAATTTAGGGGTGACTTAGCTGGGAGGTTCCAGTTGAGAATTTCTCATGTGGTTGCAGTCAAGATGTCAGCTGAGGCTGAGTTATCTGAAGGCTTGACTGAGGTTGGAAGATTCACACCTAACATGGGTCACCCACTTGGCTGCTAGCAGGAGGCTTCAGTTTCTCGCCATATGGGCCTCTTCATAGACAGTGTGAATGTCCTCATGACTTTCGGCTAACTTCGCCCTAAGCAAGCACTCCGAGAGACAGAAGGCAGAAGCCACATATCATTTATGGCCTAGCCTCAGAAGCAATATACCATCACCTCTGCCACATTCCCTTGGTCACATAGACTGATCCTGATTCAGTGTGGGGGGCTGGGACTGTGGAAGGGCATAAATACTGGAAGTAGGACTCATTGGAGGTCATCTTGGAGGCTGGCTACCACACTTGCTTATCCAGGGAGTGTCTTTGTGCAAGTTATTTAACCTCCCTAAGCCTCAGTTTGTGCATTTGTAAATAATAATATTTACAGAGATTCGTGAAGATTAAATACTTATGAAGTCCTCTTACAAAGTGCTTGGAACTGCCCCAAGGTCTTCCCACATTTCCCAGGACTCCTCCAGGAAAGCCAATTGCAGCTTCTCTTTTAGAAACCCTCCATCCTCTGCTCTCACCTCCTCCCCTATTCATCCTTTCCCTCCTCACTTGTCAGGAAATTTTCTAATCTGACAGGGTTGTTGTGGGGGTGAGCCTCCTTCTTCAAACCTCATGTCCCCAAATACATGTCTATGCTTTGGTCCTCCGTGTTCCCCTAGGGACCATGCTTTGGAATCCATGCCTTCAGATTACTGCAGCCCCAGCTGACACTTTGACTGTATCTACAGCAGAAATTCTGGACTGGAACCACCCAGCTGAGGGACTCCCAGATTCTTGCCTCATGAAAGGTGTGAAATAAAAATCTTGTTTTAAGTCACTTTGGGAAGAATCTTGCTGGTAATTTCCACCGTCCCCCACCATCCTATCATCTCCCTGACCATATCAGGACTGAATATTTGCTTGGGAAGAACGCCAGAAAAGAAAAAAAAAAAGTTTTTTTAAATAATAATAACCCCAAAATTGGTTATTTTAGAAATCTTATTTTACCAAACACAGGATAAATATAAGATATCATAGGAGTTTCACTCACATCCATGTGAAGAGACCACCAAACAGCCTTTGTGTGAGCAACAAGGCTGTTTATTTCACCTGGGTGCAGCGGGCTGAGTCCAAAAAGAGAGTCAGGGAAGGGAGATAGGGGTGGGGCCGTTTTATAGGATTTGGGTAGGTAAAGGAAAATTATAGTCAAAGGGGGTTGTTCTCCGGTGGGCAGGGGTGGGGGGTCACAGGGTGCTCAGTAGGGGAGCTTTTGAGCCAGGATGAGCCAGGAGAAGGAATTTCACAAGATGATGCCATCAGTTAATGCAGGAACAGGCCATTTTCACTTCTTTTGTGATTCTTCAGGTACTTCAGACCATCTGGATGTATACGTGCTGGTCACAGGGGATATGATGGCTTAGCTTGGGCTCAGAGGCCTGACAAGAAGTATCTCCTAAATTTGACTGGCTTCTTGGAGGAGATTACTATCAAGTGCAAATGAGAGCCACCCAGTGTCTTAGTCAAGATTCTCCAGAGAGACAGAACCAATAGGCTAGACATATAGATGATTGGATAGACGATAGATAGATAGATAGATAGATAGATAGATAGATAGATAGATAGATACATAGATACATAGATACATAGATAGATACATAGATGGAGTAGGTAGACAGATACAGAGGAGGGATTTTATCAGGGAAACTGGCTTATATGATTGTGAAGGCTGAGAAGTCCCATAACAGGCTGTCTGCAAACTGGAGACCCTGGGATGCCAGTAGCCTGGCCTAATCCAAGTCCACAGGCCTCAGAACAAGGGAAGCAGATGGTGGAACTCTCAGTCCAAGACCAAGGACCTGAGAACCTGGGGAGCCTCTGGTGCAGGTCCTGGAGTCCCAGAGCTGGAGATCCTGGAGTTCTGGTGTCCACGGGCAAGAAAAGAAGGGTGTCCTGCTCCAGGAGAGAGAGAGGAAATCACCTTTCCTCTGACTTTTTTGTTCTTTCTGGGCCGCAGCTGATTGGATGGTGCCCACCTACCTTGAGGGGAGATCTTCCTCATTCAGCCTATCAACTCACACTCCAGTCTCCTGGAGACATCCTCACAAACACACCCAGAAATAATGCCTTCCTAGTTCTCTAGGTATTCCTTAATCCATCTAGGTTGACACCTAAAATTCACCATCACATGCAAAGTATCAGTTCCTAGGCTGCTGTAACAAAGTACCACCAACTGTGTGGCTGAAGATAGAACTGTGTTGCCTCGCAGTCCTGGAGGCTGGGAGTCTGAGATCAAGGTGTCAGCAAGGCCTGCTGCCTCTGAAGCCTGGAGGGGAGTCCTTCCTTGCCTCTTCCTGGCTTCCAGGGGTCACCAGCATCTGTGCTGTTCCTCGGCTTGCAGCTGCATCACTCCCATCTCTGCCTTTGTCATCCCATGCTGCTCTCCCTGTGTGTCTGTATCTTTGCATGATGGTTTTAAAAATAAGGACATTATCATATTGGATTAGGAACCTACCCTACTCCAGTATGACTTCATCTTAACTAATTATATCTGCAAAGACACTCTTCAAATAAAGTCACATTCTGCAGTACTGAGGGCCAGAACTTCAACACATCTTTTTTGGAAGAGCACAATTCAGCCCATACACTTGGAGAGGGATGGGGTGGGCCCTGGATTCGGTTTCAGCTCCTTGTGTAGAAAGTGACTGTGTAAACTCAGGTAGGTGTGGAGTATTTCTGCCCCTGCTGCCAGCAGGGATTGAGCTGGGGTGGGGGTGGTTGGCCCCAAGCTACAGGGGGAAGATAATCAAGGAGGCTAGGGGATCAGGGTGACCCGAAGTGAGTCAAAGACAATAGTCAGACAGTGAAAAGGAAGACTGTCCCAAACGGAAGCTGGGACAGGAAGGGAACAAAGAAATGAGTATGTTTAGATTACCAGATACTCTTATAAGTTGAAATGTTGAAACACTTGAAAAATGACAATTATTTAGGATGGTAGGAAGAGGGAGGCCCAGGCAGAAGCTTCAGATACCTTTGTATGAGATAGTTGTGGGAATAGAATAGACTTCCAGAGGCATGTTCTCGGGACTTCTGGAGATGGTGCCTGCTGTCGGGGCACAGTGTGGAGAAACACTCACCTCTTTGAAAAGTAACAATGGAACAATTTTTTTCTCTCCTGGGAGGCAAAGATGAAGGCTTATGTGCCCCAGCGTGGAGCCCTCTTCAGCTAATACTCACTGTCTCACCTCCTTCCCCAAGTGGCTTAAACCAGTCAAAGGCCACTTTTGGCTTCAGTAATGGCTCCCAGACTGCACTCGCAACTTAGCCTACTCCCATTATCAGCCAACACCCACATTTTGTTCAGTTGATTTATTTAATTAAATTAATTAGTTAATTAATTTATTTACAGACAGCGTCTCTCTCTGTCACCCAGGCTGGCATGCAGTGGCATGATCTCGGCTCACTGCAACCTCTGCTTCCTGGGTTCAAGCGATTCTCCTGCCTCAGCCTCCTGAGTAGCTGGGATTACAGGCACCAGCCACCATGCCCAGCTAATTGTTGTATTTTTAGTAGAGACAGGGTTTCACCATGTTGCCCAGGCTGGTCTTTAACTCCTAACCTCAGGTAATCCACCCGCCTTGGCCTCCCAAAGTGCTGGGATTACAGGCGTGAGCCACTGTGCCCGGCCAATTTATTTATTTTAAAAACTCACTCTGCAACTCCAAAGTGGCTGCTTGCTATCTTGTGAGCAAAACTTGCTCATGTGAAAGGAAAAGAAATCTCAAGACCTCAAAATCACAAAGCCAAGGGAAAAGTCAAGCCAGGAACTGCATCAGGCAAACCTGCCTCTCATCTTATTCCTAAGTAAGATAGCTACAAAGATTAAAAAAAAAGCTATATACCTTCCTCACAATTTGTCCACAAGAAAATTCCTTGTAGGCCTTAAGATCTTCACCCTAAAACAGTTCTCTTGAATTTCACCCTGGCAGTGTAAACTGATAGCTTATCTTCACAGGTACGGGACAAAAGTCATCCCTCCGCTCACCTGAGACAAACGCATATTTGATTGCTTCCTCTGCCTTATTGTTTATGTAAAAATACAGATTCACTGAGCCAGACTAAATTGTGTATTCATTGAAAGGCTGATCAAGGACTCAAAACAATGCAAACTTTTGTCTCTTTTCTACCTTTGTCTCTTATCTACACTCCCCTCCCCTTACCGGACCAAACCAATGTACATCTTACACATACTGATCGAGGTCTCCTGTCTCCCTAACATGTATAAAAGCAAGCTGCACCTTGACTACCCTGGACACATGTCGTCAGGACCTCCTGAGGCTGTGTCATGGGCACGCCCCTTAACCTTGGCAAAATAAATGTTCTAATTTGATTGAGATCTGTCTCAGATACTTTTGGATTCACATCCATCACTAAAGGCAAATTTCATACTGACTGCTTCATGTAGTAATTTAGGCAAGTTTGGAGAGACATCTGTTCCTGTGAATTCTATAAATATTTTCAAATTCATCCAATCTTTCAAAAATTACTTGAGTGTCTACTATATACCTCAAAATGGAATGTAAGGTCAGCCGAGAGAGAAAGGACAAGACAGAGAGAGGCCCAAGTCCAGGCAAGCCTTTGTTAACCTGCCGGCTGCCCTCTTAACAGTCAGAGGAGCAGCCCTGAGCTTACAAAATGAGGGGTTTATAGTGGGGAGGGGAGTTTGGGGGAGTCCTTTGGCATGGCCGCATCCCGGGGTTGTTTGCTGGTTAATTTTACCACATACTGCCTTGTGACGTTTATGGTAGAATTTACAGGAGGGTGTAGGTAAAGTTGGTTTATGCTTCCCACAACCTCCCACTGTGCGGTCCGATGGCTTGTAATTGGGGTTTGCTTATCGCAGCAAGGCCTGGTAGGTGAAGTCTGCTGGCTTCACCACGGCACCTAGATAAGGGCTTAGAAGTGTAACGGGGCTCAGGGGGAAGGGTGGGCGGCACGAAGGGTTGCAGAGCATAAGCGGGAGGAGTGGGCAGCACGGAGAGGTTTGGGGGAAGTGTCGGCAGTACCAAGAAGCTTTTTTGGGGCAGTTCGTCCCTAACAGAAATATTCTGCCTTTCCTAAGGAATTACTCACCTGGTTTGTAAACTTTACATATGTGATATCTTTGGGTAAGTTTTTTAGTTTAAAATACTTCTATCTTAGCCTGTTTATTTCTCTCTAACCTAAGTCCTTTCTTGCTGTCTTTTTTTTTTTTTTTTAGTTTAGCAAGGGTAATTTTAGAAAACGATTTCTAAATTAGAAGTAAAATTCTTAACAATAACTTAATAATAACTTTTTATTTATTTGAGACGAAATCTCGCTCTTGTTGCCCAGGCTGGAGTGCAATGGCGTGATCTCGGCTCACCACAACCTCCGCCTCCCGGGTTCAAGCAATTCCCCTGCCTCAGCCTCCCAAGTAGCTGGGATTACAGGCATGCACCACCACGCCTGGGTAATTTTGTATTTTTAGTAGAGACGGGGTTTCTCCATGTTGGTCAAGCTGGTCTCGGACTCCCGACCTCACGTGATCTGCCCGCCTCAGCCTCCCAAAATGCTGGGATTACAGACATGAGCCACCGTGCCTGGCAACAATAACTTCTTAAGTTTGGATCCTCTTTCAAACTCATCATTAAGAAAAACATTTTCAACCAAAAGCCTTAGACTATTGAAGCAAAGTTGTTTCCTAATTTGGAAAACTTGTTCTTGGAATAGAGAAGCCTTTTTCACATTGGAGAACTCACCAACACGAATTGTTTTGTTTTTAAAGGGGAGCACAAGATGCATCTCAAAAACATTATGCTGGCTAAAAGAAGCCAGACACAAAAGAGTATATTTATATGAAATTCTAGAAGAGTCTAAACTAATCTATAGTGACAAAAAGCAGATCAGTGGTGGCCTGTGGCTGGGATAAGGGAGAGGGCTGACTGCAGAGAGGCTAGAGGGAACTTGCTGGGGGAATGAAATGTTCTATATCACGATCGTGCCAGTGGATACATAGATGTCTACGTTTTCCAAAACTTATCAAAGTGCACATTTAATTCTATGTAAATTACACATCAGTAAAATTTAAAAGCAAGAACATAAATGCAACCTGGAGCTAGGATCTGACTAGACAGGAATTTTGAAAGAAATGAAAGTATATATATGTGTGTGTGTGTGTGTATATATATATATATATATATATATATGTATGTATATAAAATATATCCTCTTTCTGTTTTTCTTTAAAGAGTTTTATTGAAGTATAATTTATGTACCATAACACTCGCCTGTTTTAAGTGTACAATTCAATAGCGTAGTAAATGTATGGAGCTGTGCAACCACCATCATAATCCAATTTTATAGTGTTTCCATCACCCCAATAAAATCTTTCATGACCATTGGCTGTCAGTCCCCATTGGGCTAAGCAAGCACTTTTAATAGGCTGAGCTCATGTGCCAGGGAGCCTGTGCAAGACTCCAGCCTCCGTGGGCTCGGCTTTCTTTGGAGCAGCTTCAAGCACCGTCCCTCAGGGGCCCCACACAGGCAGGCTCTTCACCTGCTTGCAGTCACAGGTGTGATCTCTACTCTGTTCCTTGGGTCCCCAATGCACAGGGCATGAGGAAGACTGTGGCTGTCCTTTGGGGGCATCCTGCTGCTCTCTGCACCCAGCACTGTCCAGTCACAGGGCAGCAGAACCTCTCAGTCCCTGCTGTCCCAGCTCCAGGCCACCTGCTTCCCTTCTGTGACCAGGTTGCTACTGGACAGGGCTCAAGTGCACAGCCTCTTCTCCTGCCAGCTGCCTGAGAGCAGGCCCAGGAGGAGCCTGTCCTGCCTGTCAGCTGTTGCCTGGAGCAGTGACAAGCGCTGGGCTGAATCTCCCCGCAGCAACACGGTAGGTAGAGAGAACACACGCATGCTCGCAGTAGACTTGGAACAAAACTTAGCCCCACTTTAGGCAATAATTGTGTTTAATCTAAAAAGGCTGACACATACCCAGAAACAAGTGGTAAAGCTGCAACCTTAATCTTCGGAAGTCAACGGCAACCAGCTGGCAGGAAGGTGGAGGACAGATGAGTCTCCCCTTCCACACTCCCATTGAATAGTAAAATTAAGGGAAAAGCTCACGACTGACTTTTTAAGTACATCCCTGGGATTCTACTGGTAGAATTTAGAAATGAACAAAATAATCATAATTTACTTATACATAGACTATCACAATCTAAGAGTATGTGTAAGGAGGATGAGTTCCGTTGCAGGAGAGGGTTAGCTCTTGCTCTTTTAAGGGAGCTGATAACTGGTTTGCTCAGAGTTCTGAGCTATGGACCAGCTGTGAAGACTGGTCCGTCTTTTGAGAGCAGTGTGACAGGCTGAGTGTCCCTGGAGAGCTACTTTTAGTATTAAAAATAGGTTTTAAAAATCTGGAATGTTGGGGCTGTGTTAAGTCAGCCAACAAGCAGCTCATGGGCTTCTGGGCACATTCATGTTGCTTTTCTAGACAGTATAATAGGTCACTGCTATCAAGGCTGGTTATATAATTTTCAAGGACCAGTGCAAGATAAAAGCATGGATCTACATGCTTATAAAGAAGGAAAAAGGCTTGTTTCCTTTCCTTTGCAGTCTCTCTTTTTCTTTCTTGACCTGATAAGGCATTTTTAAAATTTGCTATTTAATATGCTCTTTTGGTCATGGTGGCATGCCCAGGCCCCCAGCAGGAGTGGAGGGCAGTGGCAGCTGCTGGTTGAGGGTAAGGAGTGGGCAACTGAGCCCAGAAAGGCTGGGAGGCAGCAGGAGTGGGACCGCATGTGAGCTGAGGCTCCAAGCCCCCCTGGAGCATGTTGCATTGGCCTTCACTAATAGAGCATAGATTCAAAGATCAAATTATTAGGAATTTCAACATGCCAGTTGCAAAGCACCAAACCCCAGGAGAGGCCCCCTGCTTAGCATGTGGTCCTGGGTGGCTGGCTCGTTGCAGGCTTAGGCAGCTGGCCCTGATGGCTATTTCTGTTTTATCATTTCTATGGAACCTCCTGCTGGCAGGATTTGAACCCAAATGGGCCAGGAGCCCCTGGGATGGCCAGCAAGTGTAAGCCTCTGAAAAGAAGTTGGCTTGATGCCAGCTCTCCTACTTGCTCCTTGGAAAACTAACTTAATCTTTATGAGTTTAACCCTCCTGTCTATAAAATGGACATGTAAATAGCTGCTTTTCAGAGATCTTGTGAGCAGCATCAGAGATATTGCTGCAGGCCTGTATGGACTCACTGTCAGTAATAATAATACATTTGATCAAATAACTTTTATGTTTTAACCCAAGAAGTAAGCCAGCTAGAGTTTCAGAAATTTCAGAAATAAGAAGAAAATACATATATTTACATTTATGATTTTATTATTTTTGGGTCTCTGGCATCAAGCCAAATGCCTCAGCACTATTTAGATATAGCGTTTCTCTGCCAGGTCTCCTTCTTCCTTTTCATTTATTTATTTATTTATTTATTTATTTATTTATTTATTTTTGAGACAGAGTCTTGTTCTGTCGCCCAGGCTTGAGTGCAGTGGCACGATCTTGGCTCACTGCAACCTCCACCTCCTGGGTTCAAGTGATTCTCCTGTCTCAGCCTCCTGAATAGCTGGGACTACAGGCGTGCACCACCACACCCAGCTAATTTTTGTATTTTTAGTAGAGACGGGGTTTCACCATGTTGGCCAAGCTGCTCTCAAACTCCTGACCTCAGGTGATCCACCAGCCTCGGCCTCCCAAAGTGCTGGGATTCCAGGCGTGAGCCACCGCGCCCGGCCTCCTTCTTTCTTTTCTACATAACTTTCCTTGTCCTCATGGTGCATGCCTCTGCCCAGCTGCCGGATGCCTTATCCAGTGTTGTTCTGTCTGGACTGTGCCCCCCAAGCAGTGGCCTGTGGCTCCAGCTCTCCTGATTCCCCTACCTAAATTGAAATGTACCTGTCAAATGTCCCCTTAGCTTAAGACTTTGCAGGGTCTTCAGAGAGATTAGGTGATGGTGCAATCTATGTTAATCTACCTATATTATAGTCCTTGATGACAATGTTATAGTAGGTAACTAGTCAGACATGAGCAGGGCAGGAGAGGCCCTCACCGCCCACCCAACCAGGAATGTCAGGCGACCATCAGGTGATGGTCAGGTGGTTGTTAACTGTCTTCTCTAAAAGAGTAATTGGTCACAGCCAGTGCCAGGGAAAGGCAGTCTCCCAATAGATAGAAAAAACCTGGAACTGGTGATCAGCAGCTTCCGGATAGGATCTCGGAAATTGGGTGAGTGGGCTCAAGCATGCATACTAAGAGGCAAAATGGTGGAATTTAACTGGTATATGGCCTATGGAAACACTCAACTGGTAAGGAAAGAACGCCTCAAGTGAGCACGGGTACAACTCCAGTAAACACACTGCGCATGCTCCCCTCCCACGTGCTGGCAGGCAGGTCACTCTACATATGGACAGCTCCCCACCAAAGGAAGAATCGGGAGAGCCGATGCAAGACCCTGGAAGCAGGCCAACATATAGAACCTCAAGTCAAAGTTCAAACCGGGCACTTGATCTCTCAAGGCGCCCACTTGGCCCTCTTCCAAGTGTACTTTACTTCCTTTTATTCCTGCCCTAAAACTTTTTAATACACTTTCACTTCTGCTCTAAAACTTGCCTCAGTCCTCTCTCTGCCTTATGCCCCCTCAGTTGAATTCTTTCTTCTGAGGAGGCAAGAATCAAGGTTGCCGCAGGCCTGTATGGACTCAACGCCAGTAACAATAACACATTCGAGCAAATAACTTATGTTTTAACTCAAGAAGTAATTTGGCTAGAATTTCAGAACCCCTAGGGCCAGCAGGGGAGGTTTTTGTGAATAGCTGAGAACACCATCTATATGAAGGTGTTGTGAATAAAGCCAGCCTACTTTGGAGGTAGAAGAAACTTCACCCCAGAGAGCAGCTGTAACGTGAGGATCAGCTGAGTCCCTGGAGAGCTTCCCAGCCGAATATATAATTTCCAGGTCCAGGAGCTGAATTGGGCACTCAGACATGCTTGTTTGGTTGGCATTGCTTCGTTTTTAAAAATCTGAATGTGAATGCCTTCAAGTGGCGCCGGCCATCTCTGGTTCACTGGAGGCCCTACCTCCCCTATTGTCTGAATGCCTCCCTTTTGGCTGGGTCATTAGTCCATGCCCCCATATTAGAGGTGCAAAGTTGGTCTGGTTCACTGAAAGGTCAAGGCCAGAGGGCCTGGCTTCAGCTGGGCTCTGCCTTTGCCCCTCAGATCCTTTGCCGTTTTTCTGGCACACCTGTTCAGATGTGCCTTGACTCCCAACAGCCAGCACCTGGAGTTGACCTGGCTTGGTGTGCTGGTTTACTAGGGCTGCTGCAGCAAAGTTCCACAGACTGGGTGGCTTGAAGCAGCAGACATTTATTCTGCCACAGTGCAGGCAGCTGGAGCCTGCAGTCAAGGTGTTGGCAGGGTTTGTTCCTTTTGGAGGCTCGGAGCGGGATCTGTCCCATGCCTCTCTCCAAGATTCTGGTGGCTGCCAGCGATTCCCAGCGTTCCTTGGCTTGTGCCTGCTGCACTGCAACCTCTGGCTCTATCTTCAAATGGCAATGGTCCGTGTGTGTGTGTATGTGTGTCTGTCTGTCTGTATTCTCTCCTTATGAGGACACCGGTCAGTGGATTAGGGCTGCCCTACTCTAGTATGACCTCATCTTAACTGTTTACATCTGCAAAGACACTTTTTCCAAACAAAGCCACATTCTGGGGTTCTGATGAACATGAATTTTGGCGGGGGACATTGTTCAGCCCAGGAACCCCGAGCTCAGGAAGAATCCAGAATGCCTAGGAATTTATACCCCTCCAACTCCTTTTTGGGGAAGAAGGCTATAAGTACTCTACCCCCTTGTCTAGGACTGGCTACCTAATTTACTGGGCCCAGTGGAAAATAAAAGCATAGAGCCTCTTGCTATTAATAGAAAATGGTGGAGAATTTCAAGATGGTGACAGCAGAAGGTTAAACCAAGCATGGGCCCTTCTGAGCACAGGGTCCTGTATAATTGCATGCTCCCATGAAGACCCCCACCCTTGCCTCTGATCAGAACGACTCAGAGAGGACACTTGTACTGTCCCTCCTGCTCTGCACAGGATCAGGCCAACATCACCCTCTGTGGATCATGCCCCCTTGTTTGGCCTCCCTCACTTCTTAGTCCCACCTCCTCATTCCCCTACTGGTTATTCAGTTCTTCATAAATCCCTTTCACCCAGATTCCATCTCAGGTCTACTTTGGGGGACCTGAATGTCAGACAGGCAAGGGCAGCTCTGCTCTAACTGGATAATTATTAAAAAAAAAAATGTGCCTCAGCAGTGTGGCCTTAATGTGGGGGAAGGCAACGTCCTCCTTTCCTTTTCTCCATCTAAAGATAACTTCCAAAATAAGTCTTAAAGATGCACTAAGGGGCTGGGCACGGTGGCTCACACCTGTAATCCCAGCACTTTGGGAGGCTGAGGCAGGCAGATCACAAGATCAGGAATTCGAGACCAGTCTGGCCAACATAGTGAAACCCTGTCTCTACTAAATATAGAAAAAATTAGCCGGGTGTGGTGGTGTGCACCTGTAATCCCAGCTACTTAGGAGGCTGAGTCAGGAGAATCATGTGAACTTGGGAGGTGGAGGTTGCGGTGAGCTGAGATCGCACCATTGCACTCCAGCCAGGGCGACAGTGTGAGACTCTGTCTCAAAAAAAAAAAAAAAAAAATACTAAGGGACTTCTGCCGAGAGAGTAGGTGGACTTTGCGTATTCTTCCTGTGAAGCACAACTAAAAACCTTGGACATAGGCAAAACAAACACAAGAAGACTGAAAGGTGGAGAGGAGAAGAAAGACTGGCTAGGGACTTCAGGACTGAAGGAATAACATGATGATGAGTTCCCTCGATTTCTCCCCCTTATATATACCAAAGTTAGAACAGAAGCAACTGGAAAACTAGAAATGCCAATGGCACAGACAAAACAAAACATAACAAAAGCCTCAACAACGCTTGATCTTCCTAGCCAAAGAGCCAGCAGAGGGACAGCTTAGCAAGATAGGAAACTGTTAGACAATAATTGCTCTACGCCAGCTAAATGCTACAGAAAAGACTGTGGTCCCACTCCCACTTATGCAAGCAAAGGATTACTGGAGAGCCAAGAGTTCTACCCTCATCAGGCTGTAAAGGGGTGTCCCAATCTCCCTACTCAGGTGGTGTCAGAGAAGGTCTAGTGGAAGGTCAGGATGTTCACCATCACCTTGTGATGACAAGGCCACCCCCAGTGGTGTCACTGGAGACCGTGTCGGGAGAGTGTGGACAAACTCCTATTCTTTCCAGTGCAGAAGGTACAGCCCAGTGGGGGAGCCAGAGCTTCCACTGTACCCAGTAGTATTGAGGACCCCTCACTCCCCTAGTGCCAAAGGAGGCCAGCTGGGGGACCTGGGCTTTGATCCTCACTAGGCAGGAATGAGATGGCAACAACCTCACTTCTTCTGCCAGAGTGGCATCAAAAGAAGGAAGCTAAAAAGAATGTTTAAATAAGATCCAAAGTCTCATAGTATAACAACCAAAATACCTAGGATTCAATTTAAAAAACTCATCAAGAACCAGAAAGATCTCGGAATGAAACAAATCAATAAATTTCAACACTTAAGTTGACAAAGATGTCAAAGTTATCTGACAAAGATTTTAAAGCAGCTATAAAAAATGGTTCAATGAGCAATTGTAAACCTGCTTGAAGCAAATGAAACAATAGAAAGTCTCAGCAAAGAAATAGAAGCCATAAAGAAACAAATGGAAATTTTAGAACTGAAAAGTACAACAACCAAAAAAGCAATAGAAAGGCTCAAAAGCAAGTGGAAGAGACAGAGGAAAGAATGAAAGAAAATGAAGATAGCACAATAGAGACTACCCAATGTGAAAGGAAAATAAATCTCAGGACCCACAAATCACTAAGCCAAAGGGAAAATTCAAGCTGGAAAATGCATCAGGCAAACCTGCCTCTTATTTTATTCCTAAATAAGATAGCTACAAGGATAAAGAAGCTACATCCTTCCCTCACCATTTGCCCACATGGGAATTCCTTGTGGGCCTCAAGATCTTTATCCTAAAACAATTCTGTTGAATTTCACCCTGGCAATGTAAATTGATAGCTTATCTTCACAGATGCTGGAAGGACAAACAGAACTCAAAGTCATCCCTCTGCTCACCTGAGTCAAATGGTTATCTAATGGCTTCCTCTGCCCTACTGTTTATGCGAAAATGCAGATTCACTGAGCCAGAAGAAGGCATGACTGTTCCTCTATCTTCACCCCCTCCCCACCCACATATAAACTGTGTATTCAGTGAAAGGCTGATCAGAGACCCAAAAGAATGCAACTGTTTGTCTCTTATCTACCTATGACCTGGAAGGCCCCACTTTGAGCAGTCCTGCCTTTCTGCACCAAACCAAAGTACATCTTACACATATTGATTGATTTCTCATATCTCCCTAAAATGTATAAAAGCAAGCTGCACTCTGACTACCTTGGGCACATGTCATCAGGACCTCCTGAAGATGTGTCACGCAGGGCTCCTTAACCTTAGCAAAAAAAACTAAATCGATTGAGATCTGTCTCAGATACTTTTGAGTTCACACCCAAGGTGAACAACAGAGTAAAAATAGACTAAAAATAAATAAATACATAGACAGAACCTCTGGAACCTATGGGACTATAACAAAAGATCTAATATTTATCTCATCAGAGTTCCAGTAGGAGAAGAGAGAGAGGGCAGGGCTAAAAAAGTACTGGGAGAAATAATGTCTAGAAAACTTCCTAAATTTGGTAAGAGATGTAAACTCACAGATGGAAGAAGCTGAGCAAACTCTAAATAGAATTAACATAAAGAAATCCACACCGAAACACATTATAGTCAAATGTCTGAAAACTAAAGTAAAAGAATATAAATCTTTAGAGCAGCCAAAAAACAACAATACATTTGTTGTAATTTAATTACAACAAATTTCTCATCCAAAACCATAGAGGCCAGAAGGAAATGGCACAATATTTCAAGTAAATAACTATCAACCCAGAATTCTATATCCAGTAAAAATAGCTTCCAATAATGAAGAAGAAATCAAGACATCCTCAGATGAAGAAAAACTAAATAATTTTTTACCAGCCGATCTACCCTAAAATAATGAATAAAGGAAGCTCTCCAAACAGAAAGAAAATAATAAAAGAAGGAACTCTGGAAAAGCAGAAAGCAAGAAAACACAGTAAGCAAAAATACAATATACTCACTTTTTGATTTTCCTAAATGACATTTGATGATGGTGGAAGCAAAAATTGTAACGTTTCCACTTTTTGGAAGCAAAAAGTGTAGCCACTATTGTGGTTTTAAATGTAAGCAGGGGAAATATTTAAGACAATTTTATCATTAATATCTATAATTATATCATTATTGTCTTAAATATTTAACATATTACATAAAAAAAGCTATTCAAAGATATACACTGTCACGTGCATCCATGTGAAGAGACCACTAAACAGGCTTTGTGTGAGCAATAGAGCTTTTTAACCACCTGGGTGCAGGTGGGCTGAGTCTGAAAAGAGAGTCAGCAAAGGGTGGTGGAATTATCATTAGTTCTTATAGGTTTGAGATAGGCGGTGGGGTTAGGAGCAATTTTTTTGCGATCAGGGGGTAGATCTTACAAAGTACATTCTTAAGGGTGGGGAGAATATTACAAAGTACCTTAAGGGCAGGGGAGAATATTACAAAGTACCTTCTTAAGGGTGGGCAGGGTGTATTGTACAAAGCACATTCACAAGGATGGGGGAATATCACAAAGTACATTATCACAAGGGCGGGGAGGGTGTATTGTCACAAAGTCAATTGATCAGTTAGGGTGGGGCAGGAACAAATCACAATGGTGGAATGTCATTAGCTAAGGCAGGACCTGGCTATTTTCACTTCTTTTGTGGATCTTCAGTTGCTTCAGGCCATCTGGATGTATAAGTGCAGGTCACAGGGGGATATGATGGCTTAGCTTGGGCTCAGAGGCCTGACAGTAGGTGGATCTCCTCACAGAGTGAGTGCAAGGACAAGGGACAGGTCTCCCAAAGGAGTCCCCCTGTCCTGGATCTTCGGCACCTAAATGTCATGCGTGTCCATGTGAAGAGACCACCAACAGGCTTTGTGTGAGCAATAAAGCTTTTTAATCACCTGGGTGCAGGTGGGCTGAATCTGAAAAAAGAGTCAGCAAAGGGAACTAGGGGTGAGGCAGTTTTATAGGATTTGTGTGGGTAGTGGAAAATTACAGTCAAAGGGGGTTGTTCTCTTGAGGGCAGGGCGGGGGTCACAAGGTGCTTGGTGGGGAGCTCCTGGGCCAGGAGAAGGAATTTCACAAGGTAATGTCATCAGTTAAGTCAGGAACCGGCCATTTTCACTTCTTTTGTGATTCTTCAGTTGCTTCAGGCTATCTGGATGTATACAGGCCGGCTTGGGCTCAGAGGCTTGACATACGCTTTTAAAAGGCATAGATAAATCAAAATGGAGTTCTAAAAAATGTTCAAGTAACCCAAAGGAAGTAAGGAAAAAAGAAAATAGAGAAATTAAAAGCAGAGAGAAAAACAAAAAGCAAAAACTAAATAGCAGCCATAGCCCTGAGATCTACCATGTTAAACACTAATCGAAAGAAACCTGGATGGATTAGTTTGCTAGGGCCACTATAATAAAATACCATAAGCTAGGGCAAGGTGGCTTAAACAACAGGAATTTACAGTTTTCTTAGAGTTGTGGAGGCCTTGCTCAAAGATTCAGGCTTTAGGAGGGCCACCACTCTGAAGGCATTAGGAAGGGCTCTGTTCCAGGACTCTCTCCTACCTTCTGGTAGGGCCTTGGCTGGTGGCGGGATAACTCCAGTCTTCCCATGGCATTCTCCCTGTGTACATGTCTGTCTCCAAATTTCCCTTTTATATAAGGACATCACGTCATATTGAATTAGGGACTCTATTCCAGGGCTGTCTTAACTTAATTAATTGTATCTGCAACAACACTATTTCCCAATAAGGTAAAATTCTGAGATACTGGGGTTAGGACTTCAATATCATTTGAGGGTGTCAGAGGCGTGTGAACCAGAGCAACTCCATCTGAAATAGGAGCTGGGTAAAATGAGGCTGAAACCTACTGGGCTGCATTCCCAGACAGTTAAGGCATTCTAAGTCACAGGAAGAGATAGGAGGTCAGCACAAGATACAGGTCACAAAGACCTTGCTGATAAAACAGGTTGCAGTAAAGAAGCCAGCCAAATCCCACCAAAACCAAGATGGTGATGAGAGTGACCTCTGGTCGTCCTCACTGCTACACTCCCACCAGCACCATGACAGTATACAAATGCCATGGCAACATCAGGAAGTTACCCTGTATGGTCTAATAAGGGGAGGCATGAATAATCCACCCTTTGTTTAGCATATCATCAAGAAATAACCAAAAAAATGGGCAACCAGCAGCCCTTGGGGCTGCTCTGTCCATGGAGTAGCCATTCTTTTATTCCTTTACTTTCTTAATAAACTTGCTTTCACTTTACTCTATGGACTCACCCTGAATTCTTTCTTGGGTGAGATCCAAGAACCCTCTCTTGGGGTCTGGATCGGGACTGCTTTCCTGTAACATATTTCTGGTGACCACAGAAGAGACTTGTAGTGCAGAAACCCTGACCCAACAGCTACCTTTGGGTAAGTGTTGGAGTCCTGTAACATATTTGTGGCAACCACGGTAGTGACTTTACTGCAGAAACCCCTGACCCAAATGCTGGCTTTGGGTAAATGGTGGGGTTCAGTAACATTTTTCTTGTGAGCCACAAAAGGGACAATACTGAGGAACGCCCCCCGCAACCCAAAGGAAATAGACTGCAGCACTGATTGGACAACTTTGGGTAATTGGTGGGGTACCTGGATAAAGGTAAAGTGATTGGACAACTTTGGGTGAGTGGCGGAGTACCTGGATAAAGAATGGGATTGGGTTACAGACCCAGCTAGGGAAGTTACAGTCTCTCCTAAAACAGAGTGGGTTAGAGGTCCCTCTTAATAAAAGGCAAGGACGCTTGACCGACCTTGGGTTAGAGGCCCAACTTAGGAGGGTTAGAGTCCCTTCTAAGATTTAGGAAGTTAGAGGCCCCTCTCAGTATAAGTCCTTCTCGGCTAAAAGCAGGTTTGGCACTACGGGATGTTAACTGCTATTCTCTTTGGATTAATCTGCCTTGCACTCTTTGCTGATGGCTGTGGGTGACAGGGTTAGGCATGTACAGGATCATGGGACATGCGGAGCTTTTTCCTCCCTAAAAGGGGAAACTTAAGAGCTGATGGGACTGCTGGAAAAGATCCCTTTGCTACTGAAAAGCGGCCACCTGAGCTTTTCTTTTCTTCTGTTTTTTTGAGACGGAGTTTCATTCTTGTTGCCCAGGCTGGAGTACAATGGCGCGATCTCGGCTCACCACAACCTCCGCCTCCCAGGTTCAAGCAATTCTCCTGCCTCAGCCTCCCAAGTAGCTGGGGTTACAGGCATGCACCACCACGCCCAGGTAATTTTGTATTTTTAGTAGAGACGGGGTTTTTCCATGTTGAGGCTGGTCTCGAACTCCTGACCTCAGGTGATCCTCCCGCCTTAGCCTCCCAAAGTGCTGGGATTACAGGCGTGAGCCACCGCGCCTTGCCTTGCCTTGCCTTGCCTTGCCTTTCCTTTCCTTTCCTTTCCTTTCCTTTCCTTTCTTTTCCTTTCCTTTCCTGTCCTGTCCTGTCTTTTCCTTTCCTTTCCTTTCCTTTCCTTTCCTTTCCTTTCCTTTCTTTTCCTTTCCTTTCCTGTCCTGTCCTGTCTTTTCCTTTCCTTTCCTTTCTTTTCCTTTCCTTTCCTGTCCTGTCCTGTCTTTTCCTTTCCTTTCCTTTTTCCTTTCCTTTCCTTTCCTTTTCTTTCTTCCTTCCTTCCTTCCTTTCTTGTTTTTTGAGATGGAGTTTTGCTCTTGTTTCCCAGGCTGGAGTGCAATGGCACGATCTCGTCTCACCACAACCTCCGCCTCCCAGGTTCAAGCAATTCTCCTGCCTCAGCCTCCTGAGTAGCTGGGATTACAGCAATGCGCCACCACGCTAGGCTAATTGTGTATTTTTAGTGGAGACAGGGTTTCTCCCTGTTGGTCAGGCTGGTCTTCAACTCCCGACCTCAGGTGATCCACCCGCCTCGGCCTCCCAAAGTACTAGGATTACAGGTTCGAGCCACCACACCCGGCCTTGAACTTTTCATTGTCGGCTGCAATGAGTGGGCGTTTTCTCTGGCTTCCCTGAGCTCTTCACCTTCCCCACCCTACCACAGGTAATACTTTCCTTCTCTACTTTTCCTTTCCTATATTTTCTGTCACTCAGGGTGACCATCTTGCCCAGAGACCATATGTTGATACTCCAAGTCGGAGGTTGGATTAAAGATGATGGGACTCATCTGGGGGAAAATTTAAGCCTTGCCAGTTTGATATTGGGTGCTAAGCAGAGTGGCTAATGTCTGTGTTTTATCACATGTATTTTGCTCTGGCCAGAATGAAAAAAAAAAATTCCTTTATAATGTGGCTTGGCCCCAGGGTGATGGTGCCACAAGCTGGATCACTAGGACTGCTCAGAGAAAGAGAACCCAGAAGATTGGCATGCCGGCAAAAGGGTAAAAATTTCTTACCAGTCAGATTTCTGACTTCTCTCTGTGGGAACGATTGAAGGAATGGTAAAACAAATCTCTTCTGTTTGGATTAATGCAAAAAAGAATTCTAAGGCTAGTCTTAAACTGGTGTACTTTGTGCTATGAATTCGTTTTTCTTGTCGAGGGGAACTTCAGGATAAAACATGGGCTTAGAACACCTGTAAGCCCGCTTTTCAAGACAACTCAGCAAGCTGGTCCGTAACGAACTTGGCTGCAGGTCCCTGAAACAAACAAAAAACAACTGGATGAAGTTTCCACCTTATTTTATGTCCTTGGGAGCTTGACCTTTTAACCACATGGCGGTACTTTCTCTTGGTCTCTGCCTTCCAGGGAACAGAAATTTTAGGGTTCATGTCATAGTTAGTGCTAAAAATCATATTAAAAAGTTAAAAGCCTTTACAAGCTCAAAATTAACTACTCTAGACTCCGTCTGGGGAAGGAAACAGAGGCTGTCCCATGCTGCACCTCTGTTGCTAAGGTTTTGCGCTTTCACAGTAGCGGTCCAGGTTCAATTCCCCACCTAGGAAGTAAGTCGTTTCTGGTTTAATACCTGCATGACCTTGTCTATTCTCTTCTCCTCTGTGGACTGTCTTAAATTTTCCTTTCTCTAAGCACCTGGGAGGTTACCTTTGGTAAAGTTCAAAAGTCAGAAATATCGGCCGTTTGGCATAAGAAATTCTAAAAGGACTTTATTAAAGAGTGCTATGGTTAAAATCAGTACTATTAAAAGCGGATAGTTAAACTCTAACAGCCTAGACTCCTTGGGAAAAACAGGAGGAAACAGAGACCACTTTCCTGGCCCTGTTCTTCCGGGGGCTCCATCCTAAAGCCAGTAATCCAATGAAGAAACTTAAAAACTGGCAAATGAAAAATTTTACAACTACTGTAGTATAATCTTCTGTCTTTCTTGTAGCTACATATGTGTTGTGTGTAATGTTTATATATAAGAGCTCTAATTAATTGGCTGAAACAAAAATAAGCACTTACATCAAATATTTTAAAAGCAAAATAGAAACTGTAATGCCTTTTAGTTCATATAACTTTAGTAATCTTTGGGAAAAACAGCTTTTAAAATTATTGTTAAAATAAAAACATTTAGTCTAAATTATGCAGGTCAGATATTAAGTTTGCTAAAGGCTTTAAGGTCATAAACTGCTGCTTTAACTTTTCCAAAATTGTTCAATTTACCTACCTTAAAGCCATGAGGTTCTAGATAAGGCCTGGGGACATGTGGAATTAGCCATGCCCCTTTGCTATACAAAGAAGATTATTAAGAAAGGGATTTTATGTAAGAAAGGATCTTGTATGGGAAATTCTTGTCCTAAAGTAAAATGACTGGTTGTCTAACAGGAGGGATGTTTAGGGCAGGTCAGAAAGTCCAATAATATCTCAGATGGTCTGTGTAAGTCATGAAAGGATTTGTGAAAGGGAATTTATGCAAGAAATGTCATACAATTCAAAGGTTGTTAAGCCTTGTAAATGCTTCATAAAATGCCACTATGACTCTTGCTGTACAACTTGCCTGCTTTATAGCTAGGTAAGGCCTGGGGACATGTGGAGTTAGTCATGCAACCTAGCTATGCTGGAGAGTCAGCTCTTATCTACACTTCTGTCTGGTGTGTCCTAGGCTAGGCGCCACACCTTGTATATAATTAAAATCCCGAACTTACCAAGTTTTTCACCAAAAATAAAAGTTGCTAAAAGTTAACGTTATAATATGTAACTAAAACTACTAAAAAAAATTTTACATGCAAGGTGTGTAAAGAAAGTAAAATGTGTTTTTGGCGAAAGATTACAAGAAGGCATGGGAATGTGCATTTTTTTTGCCTAAGGGGTTAAAGAATTGTTTTAAGTTAGAATAAAGGTTTGAACAATTGTGGAGGGTTTGTAGAAAATTAATTGTAAAAGAGATTCTGTGTGTGGACATTGGCTAAATTAAAGGAGTATTATTCAGTTTTTCTATAAATTAAAAATTGGAATAAAAGCACAACAGATTTTTCTTAGAGCAAAAACCTGCTTATGATCTGCTATTTAACAAAAACTTGTAAAGGGTTATAAAAGGTTTATAAGAATCTTACCTTATGGTCAAACTGATTAAGATTGGATCGATATATTTATAAGGTTTTATTAAGAATTGGGTTTGACATTGATAATGCACTAATGCAACAGTGACATTTGGCTTATTTGGTACAAAAATCATACAGGGAGCATTGTCAAATATAAAATGGTGTTTGGTTTTCTTTGGGCCATATTTGTATAAATATGTTATTGGTATATATATTCCAAAATCATGGGAAACTCTTATAATTCTGATATGACTTAGTGTACATTATCAGTAATAATGATAATCGTTACATAAAATCATTGTATGCCATGGAGGTAACAAATTTCCTTGTCAATTGTTTCTTTGATCGTGGCTCCCCTAAAACATTTTGTCAGCCATAGACAATTGTTACCTGGTTTTTTTTCTTTTTGAGACAAAGTTTCTCTCTTGTTGCCCAGGCTGGAGCGCAATGGCGCAATCTCAGCTTACTGCAACCTCTGCTTCCTGGTTTCAAGTGATTCTCCTGCCTCAGCCTCCTGAGTAGCTGGGATTACAGGTGCCCACCACCATGCTCAGCTAGTTTTTGTATTTTTAGTAGAGATGAGGTTTCGCCATGGTGGTCAGGCTGGTCTTGAACTCCTGACCTCAGGTGATCCAACTGCCTCGGCCTCCCAAAGTGCTGGGATAACAGGTGTGAGCCACTGTGCCTGGCCCAATCGTTACCTCGTTTTAATCCTCTTTAAAAGGTGATTTATAATCAATTATAGAACTCTAATAGGTGTTCTTAAATGCAGGTTTTCTGATAACTTTGGAGATTGTGTCATCAGAATAAAGGAAAAAACTTTCAGAACTCTAATGGAGAACTGAAATATTCATAACTATCAAACAGAAGTTAACTATATGGACTAAACTGAAGAAGTCTAATCTTTTTAACTTTGCTTAAAACATTGCTGATCCTTTGTTTTGTTTTTCAGAGTCAAGGAAACTTTTCTTTTGAGCTATTTACAGCTTTTAACAGTTGAGTGTACTCCTATGAACAGAATTTGGAGCATATTTATTTTTATTTCTTTGTATTTAATTTCTCTAAAATTTGGAAACTGTTTGTAAGTATTCTTAACTTATGGCAATATAGTTATTTGCATAGGTGCAATAAAAATCCGTTTTCTTTTGTAACAGGACACAACGGGAGACATTGGTTATTTTGCTAAGGCTTTGACTGGAACAGCATGTTTTCCTTTAGGGTATTAAACCTAACATATAGAGCCAATAAAAGCCCCCTGGGGGACTGGCCTCATACCTTGCCTAAAACAGTCTCTGTGCAGAATTTCTAACCTGTGGTGAGTAAAGAATGTCACTTTCTGACAGGTCATGGAGCCCCAAGTTATCTTGTGACCTCGAGAGGAAAAAAATTTACCCAACTCAGGTATTTGAGGGTGCAAACCCATGGCTGGGCTCGGCTGTAAAATAGTCTTACCTGAGGCAGAGCAAAGTGGATCCCAGCAGTTTGGGAGGCCGAGGTGGGCACATCACTGGAAGTCAGGAATTTGAGACCAGCCTGGCCAATATGGTGAAACGCTGTCTCTACTAAAAGCATAGAAAAAAAATTAGCTGGGCATGGTGGCAGGGCCTGTAATCCCAGCAACCCGGGAGGCTGAAACAGGAGAATCACTTGAACCCAGGAGGTGGAGGTTCTGGTGAGCCGAGATAGCACCACTGCACTCCAGTCTGGGCGACAGAGCGAGACTCTGTCTCAATTTAAAAAAAAGAAGTCTTATCTGAAATTCCTTCTATGGAATAGAGTTCAAAGCCAATTTAAAATGAGCTTATGTGAAAAATAATTATTCTTGCTGTACAAATAATCAGGCCAAGTATAATAAAGCAAATCGGTCTTACCATGATTTGTCTTTAGTAAAAATAGGAAACTGGAGAGAGAAATATTACATTTCAAAAACTGGTATACTTTGTATTAGATTCTAGTCTTATCAGTTGTTTTTAAGTTTGTTTCTGCAATTTAGTCTAACACTGCATATTCCTGTGAACCAACCACTGATGTCTAACTGCTGCTCAGAAGAAACAAGAGAGATGGGTAATGCAAAAATCTGGATCAGTATTCTAATTCTGGGCACATTACAATCAGCTAACAACCCCATATCAGCTTAGTTCCAACAGTTGCCCAGTTCATGAAAAGCTTTCTAATTTAGTTTACTTGGAATAACTTTACTTATTTTCCTTTACTCTTGTGAAATATATTGCTGTTATACTCTTTGTGTAGGAATACAGGACAAGCTTACTAAATGTTTTCTTAAATTAAACACTTATTAATTTTCCAAATACTCTTTGTGTAGGAATACAGGACAAACTTACTGAATGCTTTCTTAAATTAAACATTTATTAATCTTCCAAATATCACCTTTTGTTGAAACTCAAAAGTTATAAATGGACCTTACCATACTAATGCTTTCTGACTGAGCTCCTCTCTACCCTGAATGCAAGAGGCCCTCATAGTTAGGCAGGAATATCATTGCCCCTATTCAGCATGAAGAAGTTACAGAAGACGGATCTTTATGCCTCTGCAAGCCTTAGGATTAAGGGTTTATAAAAAGGGTGGGGGGAAATGTCAGAGGTGTGTGAACCAGAGCAACTCCATCTGAAATAGGAGCTGGGTAAAATGAGGCTGAACCTACTGGGCTGCATTCCTAGAGAGTTAAGGCATTCTAAGTCACAGGATGAGACAGGAGGTCGTCACAAAATACAGGTCATAAAGACCTTGCTGATAAAACAGGATGCAGTAAAGGAGCCAGCCAAATCCCACCAAAACCAAAACGGCCACGAGAGTGACCTCTGGTTGTCCTCACTGCTACACTCCCACCAGCACCATGACAGTTTACAAACGCCATGGCAATGTCAGGAGGTTACCCTATATGTTCTAAAGAGGGGAGACATGAATAATCCACCCTTTGTTTAGCATATCATCAAGAAATAACCATAAAAATGGTCAACCAGCAGCCCTCAGGGTTGCTCTGTCTATGGAGTAGCCGTTCTTTTATTTCTTTCCTTTTATTACTTTCTTAATAAACTTGCTTTCACTTTGCACTGCGGACTTGTCCTGAATTCTTTCTTGTGTGAGATCCAAGAACCCTCTCTTGGGATCTGGATCAGGACCCCTTTCCTGTAACAAGGGGATAAGATTCAACCTATTAAGACTGGAGTGGTGACATTAATTTCAGACAGAGCTGACTTCAGAGCAAGGAAAATTATCAGGAATAAAGACAAACTTACATAATAACAAAATGGCCAACTCTCTAAGAAGAAAGAACAATCCTTAATGTGTTCACCGATTATGAAATTGATAAGTTAAATAATTCTATAAATGTCATGAAATTGGATTAATAATTTTAAAGCTCCGCCAAAGTGGCCAAACTGCCACAGATCCTGACAATTTCATCTGGATCCATTGTACCCTGCTGGGCCACCAGTGGACTGGGGGCTTCCTGTGTGGTGGTTGGCTTCTGTGTCATGACTGATTTCTACCTTCCCACACCTTATCATGAAAACACTACGTTCCTGTTGTTCTGACCATGAGGTCTCAGGGTTTGGGCTGCGCTGTGAAGGTCAACCTTACCTCATTGCTGATGGCTTTCTTGTACACAGTAGGCTGCTACTTCATGTTTCTAGAGAGAGTGGAATTTGAATCTGCTAAGAGGGCTATCCGCTCTCCTGGGACTATGCAAGCTTCATAATGCAGCCATGAGCTTGTCTCTGTGCCTTTGAGTTTCATGAGCTTTTTCTATAGCAGCATCCTGCAAAAAAGAAAAGAAACAGCCCATCTGGAGGTCAAGAGGTCAGTCTCTGGCTGTGTTTTTCTCATTGAAGTAATATACCTTTGGTCCTCGAATCTTTTCAACCTATTTTCTTAAATTCCTCCTAGAAAGCAGGGAATGAGAATTGGATTTCTGTAAGAGAGGGCGCAAGTTTTCTGGGTACGTCACCTTGTTTTTGATGACGTTTGGAAACAAACTTGATCTTGGTTTCTACACCCTGATCTCCAAAAACACTTGAGAAGAACTGAAGGTCTTGTGTATGTGTTGTGTCCTTCCTTCGGAGGAGGGATGGGGACACTAGAGGAAGGTTCTGTCGAGGCCCCTGTAAATGATAAAGGAGCATTTCTCACACGAAGATCCAGGCACACATCTTCAAGGAACTGTGAATTTATGAAAAATTTTTAAATTCTTTTTTTTGTTTGTTTGTTTTGTTTCTTAGAGCTTGGGGTCTTGTTATGTTGCCTAGGCTGGTTTTGAACCCCTAGGCTCAAGCCATCCACTTGTGTAGCTGTGACTACAGGCAGACGCCATTATGCTTGGCTTAAAATTCTTGTGTTTTTATTTCAGTGATAACCTAACAAAAATATTAGTGTAAACACTTTTGAGGTTGTCTGGAGGACCCATATGTAGATATGGCCATTGATTACAGCATCATTTGGTGTCTTGTCATTTTACTTTAATAATTGCAGGCTCAGGAGGAAGGAACAAAGGAGAATATAAAGTAAAAACAGTGCATTCTTCCAATGCAAAGGCCAAATGATGGCAGGGCTTGAAGAAAATTTCACAGTGGTTCAGAAGGAGACAGTGATGGGAGACCTGAGTCATCATATGGAACACAATGGTGGAGGAGTTCTCTGTAGCATGTTCCAGTGTGAGCAGCAGTTTGGGTCTAGCAAAACCAGTATTATTCATCACATGGAATTAATAATGTCAATTATCAATGAGGAAAAGTAATTAAAATTTAATAGTATATATTGGTTAAAATTTTATCTCATCTGTTGTTTTGCTTGTCTCAAATCTCTAAAATTATTTACATAAGGAAATCCGTTATTGAGTTTTAACTTTACATGTTTAAGAAACATTTTGACTAAAATAATCAAAAACAATACTGGAGGGCCACACAAATGCTTTTCCTTTAAGTGTTGTGCTGCCATAGAATAATTTTTGAACTGGAAAGTTCTTGGGAGATTTAGTAGAGAGGAAGCTGAAACCCCAAGAGATTAACAGACTTTTCCAAGGTCAGACAACACATCCTCAGCAAGGCTATGATTAGGCCCTAGGTCTCCTGATGTCCACCCCAGGCCCCTTTCCAAGGCACGGCTGTTCAGAAGAGGGCTCCAAGAAGGTGGATTATTCAGGCCCAGGTGATTGGATGGCCATGCCTTCCCTAAAACAGAGGCTGGGAGCTTTACTTTTTCTTTTGCAGGCCACTGGCACATGGAATATATCAACTGTGGGCCAGGCACAGTTGAAAAACAAGAAGAGAAGTTTAGAGACAAGATTCAACATCAGTCTCCACTCCACCCCCAGCAACCCCACCAAAACCAGCATTACCATATACTCCACCTCCATCACGTTTGTGTAGGTACAGAAGATGACAGAGGATGTGCTAAAGGGCTATTTTGAACATTTCTAAATGGATGCCACAGATTATATGCATTAGAGAATGAGCTTCTCAATGGTTCTTTACTGGTAGGTTTTTGTTTGTTTGTTTGTTCGTTTGTTTGTTTTTTGAGACAGAGTCTCACTGTTGTTGCCCAGGCTGGAGTGCAATGGCTCTATCTCGGCTCACCCCAACCTCCGCCTCCCGGGTTCAAGTGATTCTCCTGCCTCAGATTCCAAAGTAGCTGGGATTACAGGCGCGTGCCACCACACCTGGCTAATTTTGTATTTTTAGTAGAGATGGGGTTTCTCCATGTTGGTCAGGCTGGTCTCGAGCTCTCAACCTCAGGTGATCTGCTCGCCTCGGCCTCCTCCCAAAGTGCTGGGATTACAGGGGTGAGCCACCGCGACCGGCCTGGTTTTTTTTTTTTTTTTTCTTAAAAAAAAGAGATCCATTTCTGAGGGCATCATCACTGAACTGGGAATATAAATTCTGAAATTTAAGTTCCTGTTTCTTAACCTTGAGTACACAGTGAAATAACAGCGGTAGTGTAATTATTGATTTTCAGGTTTTCAACTTGTACTTGTACTGTTTGTAGAGGAAACCCATCTGAAACATTCTAACATAACCTACATTTCATTGGTTCTATCCAACCACCAAATAATGCAGGAATTTCTTCAGGCATTTTATAGGGGTGCCCAGGCTACCTTGCAAATGTTTACAAACACGTTGAATTAGTTACTAGGTGAGGTTAGCCATTTCAGCAGTTTAATTTCTTCTGCTCTGGCCCCATCATCTTCACTTCCCAATTGTTTCTTAGGTCTACTCCTGCTCTGCTTCCAGCTGATCGTACTACAGCTTCTCCGAGACCCCCACTCCTCCCATCTGGCTAACCCCTGCGTCTGCAGCCCCCCACATGGTGCCTGCATAGCCCTCATCTCCCAGAATTCTGTTGTGAAGAGAAATGCCTTAAAGGGTCTATAACCTATTTTAAGATGATTCTGTGTAGACAGTGTAATAGAATGAAATTTTTCTTCCCCCTGGTGCTGTAAGTCACCTTTTGAAGCTCCCTAATTAGGAATCCACTTTCCATATCCATTGGAGGATTCTTCACATGAGGTCCACTGACCGCCCAGGAGTCTCAGGATAGAATTTAGGAAGTCCATCAACCGGAATGGAAAAAATTACATACTTATTTCACTATCTTTAAACTGAAAAACTGCATTTCCTTCCATTACAAAAGTAGGCAGCAAACCCCAGTAGGAGAGGAGCAGTAGCTCTGCTGTGCAGGAGTCCCAGGGACTCTCACTGATGTCCCAGTTGCTGCAGATATCTCCAAATATTTTTTACATTTGTCATCACTTCTAAATGACACTAATTATTAGATTTTCCACTAGAGCTTGTTATTTCAAGGGATAATCATGAAGCACATATATTACTATAGCACAAATTTGATTTTTTCTAGTATTTTGAGAACTATATTTCAAAATAATTGCTTTCCTTTGCAAAGCTATGTATTTTATTTTAATTTAAAAGATTACAATAAAAGAGTAAATGCATTTTTTTTTTCAGAGAAGAGAGTCATAGCCTTCTCAGAGTGCCAAAGGAGTCCATGGCACAAAATTTTTAAGAAACCCTCATCCTTAGAAGGTTAATTATCTGAGGGATGTTAGATATTATTCTTCATTTGTAGAACGAGAGATGTTCAAGTTACGAGCTTTGCTCCTGTATCACTGGGACACAAGCATGAGAAGACCCGGTAGTACCACGCTCGCAAGTTCCACTTAGATCTTGGACCCGCTTTACATACGTCATCGTCACCTGGTCCTATAGTTGGGACGTTACCATGTTGGCTTTTGAGTGGCCTTTTCTGGCACGATGTGGGTTGAATTGTGCTCCCCCAAAATATATATTGAAATCCTAACCCCTGGCACCTATGAATGGGACCTTTTTTGGAAACAGGGTCTTCGCAAATGGAATCGAGTTAAGAGGAAGTTATACTGGAACAGGGTGGGCCCTTGATCCAATATGACTGGTGTCCTGATAAGAAGGGAAGAGCCACACCGAGAGAAGAATGTCACATGATGATAGAGCAGATACTAGAGTGATGCAGCTGCAAGCCAAGGAATGTGAAGGATTGCCGGCAGCAACTCGAAGCTCGGAAGAGTCAAGGGAAGATTTTACCCAGAGTCTCAGAGGGAGCCTTGCCCCGCGGACACCTTGATGTCAGACTTCTAGCCGCCAGAACTGTGAGATAATGAATTTCTGCTGCTTTTTACCATCAAGATATCATTACTTTGTTACTGCAGCCCTAGGGAACGAATCCAGTGTATGGGTGCCAATAAATGGAAAGAGGTGGGAAACCACAGAGGTCACAAAACTGGTTGTGTGACTTTGGGAACCTAGTTGCTAATGAGACCTGTACATTGCAGATTCCAGTCTGAGACGTACAATGATTGGTACGTACCATCTGGTTGTGAGGTTTTGGGGAATGAAATATATAGCTTCCGCCCACTTCCAACTGGCAGAGCCTAGAGATACCCAAAATAGCAGTACAAATGTTGGGCCTAAAGATGGGTTTAGCTCAGCTGAAAACAGAATGCCTCTCTCCCTTTTTGTGTTACACTCGGCTAAAGCTGCTTCCATCTCACAAATGCTTCAAGGAAAATTGCCTCCTTCCATTTTTACTCATTGTCCCTTCTTTCCCTGGGGCCCAGATATAATAAGTTCAGGGAAGGCCGGGTGCGGACCAAACTCAGTAGCAAATCTATGTTAGTTCCATGACACTCTGCCTCCTCTTCCTTTGGATGAGTTCTCTCCTAGGGAGAGCTCTATCCCTTAGGCAGAGACATAAGCAAATCTACCTATTAAGTGTGCTAGACTTCCATCTTGTCTACTTCCTAAGGGTAGGCAGGGTCTCCTCTAAGTTGGAAAATACAACAGCCTTGTTTACCTGAGAAGACAAACCATGTCGTCATATATCAGGCTACTAATTCAGACACTCATTTCAGAAGACTTTTTGAGCTTCCAGCCTCAAAGTTCTAGGGCTTTGAACTTCTTGCCTCCCTGGTTTGGATACTCAAGGAAAGGATAGTGGGGATCAAGAATCACTAGAGACAAGGACATCTCGATGCTTGAGTCAGCCAGTACGCTATAGCTGCTGCTCCTTCCCTCTTAAGTTCTATTTCCTTTGTGCTTGACTCCCTGCGTTCAATATAGACCTCCCCACTGCGATCACTACTTTCTGCTCTTGCCTGGAGATGTATCCTGAAGTCTATCCCCACTCCCAATAGATTTATATATAAAGCCTTTAAAATACATGAGAGCATTCATAAGAACCACCCAATCTTTCAATGAATAGTTTGTCCTGGACTAAATGCAAAGTCAAATATTGAGCTCAGTAAACTTATTACACTCATGTAATCTAATCTTCAAATGTCAGAAAAATTACCTTCAACCTTTTCCTCCATTCTGGAAAGAGAAACTGCAGCTCCTTTGGCCTCATATAAAACCTTCTTCGAAGTCTCCAGTCCTGCCCTCAAATCGAGTTTGCAGTTGTTGCTCAAAATATCTACGATCTAGACTTTCGTGTTACTAAACTACTCTGCTCCATCTGGTATTTTTGGCCACTGAAGCAGCTCTCATTATTGATTGATTGATTGAGATATAATTCGCATACCATGAAACCCATCTGCTTAAAATGTACAATTCAGTGATGTTTATTATGTTCACAGAGTTGTGCAACTGTCACCACTATCTAATTCCACAACATTTTCATCAACCCTGAAGAAACCTGCACCCATTAGCAGTCACTCTTCATTCTCCTCTACCCCAGCCCTTTGCAAACACTAATCTACTTTCTGTCCCTATGGATTTATGTTCTTTATGTTTTTCAACCCATTTCCAATCCCAATAGTCCGATACAGTCCTATTACAGGTGGTTAGACAGGCATGAGCGGGCAATGCCCCTCAGTTGAATCCTTTCTTCTGAGGAAGCAAGAACTGAGGTTGCTGCAGACCTGTAGGGATTCATTGCCAGTAACCAGGACAACTTCCATCAGTAACAGTTCCAACTAATTACTTCTGTAGTGAAGGCCTACTATACCCGAGACTCGTTTGAAAGGCCGACCATATTAAATCCTTCTTACTCAAAATGTAAAGAAAGAGGAGCCGGTGGCCTTACCCATCCCTAGGAGGAGCTGGGAGACAGGGGCTAAGGAAACGTGCAGCAGCAAGTGTGAAAAAGCACTGGACACCCTCACTTGGTCAGCTTACGCCAACATTCTTTATTAGCAGTAAGGTTTCTGATAACCATGGAGAATGTTTGTCAAACTCAAGAACCTTTGTTTCTAACTCCTGGAGCATTGCTGTAGGCAGTTGCTAGCTTCCAGTGCAAATAGAAACAAACTTAAATGTTCACTGGATGAATGGAAACTTGATTCTCTTAATACAGTCCACTTGGGCTCCATTTGTCTTCACAGCAACCATTTGCTGGATTTATTGCTCAATTGACATCATTTATGCATTCCTTCTGCCAGTACCATATTGTGTTGATTACTATAGCTTTTTTTTTTTTTTATACTTTAAGTTTTAGGGTACATGTGCACAATGTGCAGGTTACTTACCTATGTATACCTGTGCCATGCTGGTGCGCTGCACCCATTAACTCGTCATTTAGCATTAGGTATATCTCCTAATGCTATCCCTCCCCCCTCCCCCCACCCCACAACAGTCCCCATAGTGTGATGTTCCCCTTCCTGTGTCCATGTGTTCTCATTGTTCAATTCCCACCTATGAGTGAGAACATGCGGTGTTTGGTTTTTTGTCCTTGCGATAGTTTACTGAGAATGATGATTTCCAATTTCATCCATGCCCCTACAAAGGACATGAACTCATCATTTTTTATGGCTGCATAGTATTCCATGGTGTATATGTACCACATTTTCTTAATCCAGTCTATCATTGATGGACATTTGGGTTGGTTCCAAGTCTTTGCTATTGTGAATAGTGCCGCAATAAACATACGTGTGCATGTATCTTTATAGCAGCATGATTTATAGTCCTTTGGGTATATACCCAGTAATGGGATGGCTGGATCAAATGGTATTTCTAGTTCTAGATCCCTGAGGAATCGCCACACTGACTTCCACAATGGTTGAACTAGTTTACCGTCCCACCAACAGTGTAAAAGTGTTCCTATTTCTCCACATCCTCTCCAGCACCTGTTGTTTCCTGACTTTTGAATGATCACCATTCTAACTCGTGTGAGATGGTATCTCATTGTGGTTTTGACTTGCATTTCTCTGATGGCCAGTGATGACGAGCATTTTTTCATGTGTCTTTTGGCTGCATAAATGTCTTCTTTTGAGAAGTGTCTGTTCATATCCTTTGCCCGCTTTTTGATGGGGTTTTTTGATTTTTTCTTGTAAATTTATTTGAGTTCATTGTAGATTCTGGATATTAGCCCTTTGTCAGATGAGTAGGTTGCAAAAATTTTCTCCCATTTTGTAGGTTGCCTGTTCACTCTGATGGTAGTTTCTTTTGCTGTGCAGAAGCTCTTTAGTTTAATTAGATCCCATTTGTCAACTTTGGCTTTTGTTGCCATTGCTTTTGGTGTTTTAGACATGAAGTCCTTGCCCATGCCTATGTCCTGAATGGTAATGCCTAGGTTTTCTTCTAGGGTTTTTATGGTTTTAGGTCTAACGTTTAAGTCTTTAATCCATCTTGAATTAATTTTTGTATAAGGTGTAAGGAAGGGATCCAGTTTCAGCTTTCTACATATGGCTAGCCAGTTTTCCCAGCACCATTTATTAAATAGGGAATCCTTTCCCCATTGCTTGTTTTTCTCAGGTTTGTCAAAGATCAGATAGTTGTAGATATGCAGCGTTATTTCTGAGGGCTCTGTTCTGTTCCATTGATCTATATCTCTGTTTTGGTAACAGCACCATGCTGTTTTGGTTACTGTAACCTTGCAGTATAGTTTGAAGTCAGGTAGCGTGATGCCTCCAGCTTTGTTCTTTTGGCTTAGGATTGACTTGGTGATGCGGGCTCTTTTTTGGTTCCATATGAACTTTAAAGTAGTTGATTACTATAGCTTTGTAGTAAGTTTTGAAATCAGAAAGTGTGAATCTTCCAACTTCGTTTTTTCCTTTCAAGATTGTTTTGGTTGTTTTGATTGTCTTGCATTGCCACATGAATTTTAGTATCAGCTTGTTAATTTCTGCAAAAAGCTGAGATTTTGACAGGCATTGCAATAAGTCTACAGATACCAGTCTAGGTAGTGCCACCATCTTAACAATATTAAGTCTTCTGATTCTTGGACATGAGCTATCTTAACACTTAATTAACTCTTCTTTAATTTCTTTAAAAAATGTTATGTGGTTTTCAGAGCATTTGTATACTTCTTTTCCTAATTTTATTTCTAAATATCTTATTCTTGATGTTATTATAAATGGAATTGTTTTAATATCATTTTTAGTTTGTTCATGACTGATCTATAGAAATACAATTGATTTTTGTACCTTGATCTTGTATCCTGCAACTTTGCTAAACTTGTTTTGTTAGTTTTTAATAGGCTTTTAATGCATTTCTTAGAATTTTCTATATGTAAGACAAAAATCCTCTGAAAATTGAGTTTTATTTCTTCCTTTCCAATCTGGATTCCTTTAAGTTCATTTTCCTGCCTAATTAACATGGCTAGAGGTGGTAGTGCAACACTGAATATAAGTGCCAAAGCAAATATCCTTGTCTTGTTCCTGATGTTAGGGAGAAAGCAGATAGTTTTTCAACATTAAGTATGATATTAGCTGTAGGTTTTTCTTTTTCTTTCTTTTTTTGTATTTTTAATAGAGACAGGGTTTCACCATGATGGCCGGGCTGGTCTCGTCTGGAACTCCCGACCTCAGGTGATCCACCCACCTTGGCCTCCCAATGTGCCAGGATTACAGGCGTGAGCCACCACACCTGGCCAGCTACAAGCTTTTCATATGTGCCCTTTGTCAGGTTGAGAAAATTCCCTTCTATATTTCTAGTTTGTTGGGTGTTTTTATCATGAGGGAATGCTGGATTTTTTCAAATGCTTTTTCAGTATTGATTGAAATAATCGTGTGGTTTTGTCTTTTATTCTATAAAGGTACATTACATTTGAGGTAGTAGGTGGGACTCAGCTCTGCAGGCAGGGCTTGGACACCAGACCAAATTGAGGACTAGCTAAGACAGACACAGGGCAGAAGCAGCTTTTTGTAAGCCACACCCACCAGCGTGCCATGTCAGTTTACCATTGCCATGGCAACATCCAGAAGTGATTGCCCCTTTCCATGGCAACAACCCAACAGCCTGGAAGTTACCAGCTTTTTTCTAGAAATTTATGCATAATCTGCCCCTTAATTTGCATATAATTAAAAGTGGGTACAAATAGTACTGCCTCTGAGCTGCTGCTCTGGGTATAGTGCCTATGGGGTAGCTTTGCTGCACAAGGAGCAGTACCTCTGCTGCCACTATACACTGCTGCTTCAATATACGTTGCTGTTTCACACCACAAGTTCACACTTAAATTCTTTCCTGAGCGAAGCCAAAAACTCTCCCAATTTTGGGGCTTGCCTGCCCTGCATCACATTGATTGAACTCATCTTGCATTCTCGGGACAAATCCCATATGTTTATGGTGTAAAATCCTTTTTATACATTGTGGGATTCAGTTTATTAGTATTTTGTTGAAAATAAATGTTTGTATCTATATTCATAAGAAATGTTGGTCTCTAGTTTTATTTTCCTGTGGTGTCTGTCTGGTTTGTGTATCAGGGTAATTCTGGTCTCATAGAATGCAGTGCAAAGTGTTCCTTCCTTGTCAATGTTTTGGAAGAATTTTTGAAGGATTGGTATTAGTTCTTTAAATGTTTGTTAGAATTTAACATTAAAGCAATCTGAGCCTGCCCCCCCCTTTTTTGTCAGTAGCTTTTAATTAATAATTCAATATCTTTAATTATTATAGGCTTATTCAGATCTCCTATTTTTTCTTAAGTCAATTTTAGTAGTTTGTGTATTTGTAGAAATTGTTCAATTTCACTTAAGTTTCCTAATCTGTTGGCCTACAGTTCTTCATAGTATTCCCCTATAATCCTTTTTATTTTTGTAAGATTAGTCATAATGTCCCTTCTTTCATTCCTAATTTTAGTCTTCTAGTCTTTTCCTTGGTCAGTCTAGCTAAAGATTTGTCCATTTTGTTGATTTTTTCAAAGAACCGTCTATGTCATTAATTTCTGCTCTAATCCCTGTTATTTTCTTCCTTACATTTGCATTAGTGTTTAGTTTGCTCTTCTTTTCCCAGTGTCTTAAGGTAGAAAGCTAGGTTGTTAATTAGAGACGTTTCTTCTCTGTTTAGTATAGATGCTTACAGCTAGAAAAATTTCCCTCTGATCACTGCTTTCCCTGCATTCCACAGTATTGTTATGTAGTGTTTTCATTTTTATTCACCTCAAGGTATTTTCTAATTTACCTTGTGATTTCTTCTTTGACCTATTGATTATTTTGAATTATGTTGTCTAATTTCCACATATTTGTGGATTTCCCAAATTTTGCTCTTATTAGTTTATACTGCACTTTCAAGTATTTATACTGTTTTTTAAAAATGCATAATCACCTTTACCAGAGCTTTTTTTTTTGCATGTATGTGGCTTTGAATTCCCATCTGAGGTTACTTGTAGACTCTCTTAAAGGAAAAGGGCCGGGCGCAGTGGCTCACGCCTGTAATCCCAGCACTTTGGGAGGCTGAGGTGGGCAGATCACAAGGTCAGGAGATTGAGACCATCCTGGCTAACATGGTGAAACCCCGTCTCTACTAAAAATACAAAAAATTAGCCGGGCGTGGTGGCGGGCGCCTGTAGTCCCAGCTACTAAGGAGGCTGAGGCAGGAGAATGGCGTGAACCCGGGAGGCAGAGCTTGTAGTGAGCCAAGATTGCACCACTGCACTCCAGCCTGGGGGACAGAGTCTCGCTCTATCCCCCACCCCCCCAAAAAAAAGAAAAGAAAAGAAGACGGCTACTATTCCCTTACATTAATTTTCTTTTCTTTTCCTTTCTTTTCATTTCTTTTCTTTCTTTCTTCTCTCTTGCTCTCTCTCTCGCTCTCTCTTTCTTTCTCTTTCTCTCTCCTTTCCTTTCTTTCTTTCTTTCTTTTCTTTCTTCCTTTCTTTCTCTCTTTCTGTTTTGCTCTTAGTGCCCAGCCTGGACTATTCCCTTATCTTATGTTTCCTTTTTTGAAACAGAGTTTTGCTCTTGTTGCCCAGGCTAGAGTGCAGTGGTGCTATCTCGGCTCACTGCTACCTCCGCCTCCAGGTTCAAGCAATTCTCCTGCCTCAGCCTCCAAGTAGCTGGGATTACAGGTGCCTGCCACAATGCCCTGCTAATTTTTTGTATTTTTAGTAGAGACGGGTTTTCATCATGTTGGTCAGGCTGGTCTTGAACTCCTGACCTCAGGCGATCCACCAACCTCGGCCTTCCAAAGCGCTGGGATTACAGGAGTGAGCCACTGCGCCCAGCCATATTATTTTTCTTATAATATTTCTTAAACATGCATCAACATAAAGCTAGTAATAAACTCTTCATGTGTATAACACCTATTGCTATTTTAAAACAAAAAGAAATTTACAAATTGAACACAAAAGACCACCAAACCCAACAAAATTCAAGTTGCCATTTCATGGGATACACTGCTGTTCTGTGGAGACTACGCCTCATCCTGCAGTGAGGCCATGTTCTGACTGTCCCTACCACAGTCTCCATGACTGCATATGACATGATGATCTCATTTTCCCACCGCTGGTCTCTATCAAACTGCTATGAAACCTTCACTCACAGACATAGTCTTGACAGCCATTCGGCTTTCACTTTACCGAATGCATCACTTACATATTTATGGTATTTTCCCATTTCTTTTCTAATTAGTTGAGACATTTAATTTCTGAAAACCAGCACATAAATATACACATGTAAACATGGTCACCCAAATCCCACTGGTTAGCAAGACTTCCTTCAGCTATTCATTCATTAATTAATAATAGAGTTAAATATTTTTAAGTAGACCAATAATCAAAATGAAAACACAATATTAACAAACTTTTATAGAACATCCATGGACATCCAAAAAAATTTAGAGAATGTGGGATTGGGAATTCACTCTGAAAAACATTGCCATTGGCTATTCTTTGATGCATTAAAAATGTGTTGGTCCCTTTTATGTTTAGACATGGCTAAGCATGGGCATTCAATGGGAGTGATACGGTGGAGCGGGTAGAGGGCCACAGCAGTCAGTTCAATGTGAGAGTGCAGCTTGCGAGGTGCTCTGGAGACTAGAGGGAAGACTTAGATTCATCAAAGCCCAGTGACATCAGTTACTGTGCTTGGATGAATGACAAGGAATTCCCCATGTGTGGAACAAGAGAGGGGAACTTGAGGCAGAGAGAGCAATATTCCTGGAAAGAGTGTGTGTGTGTGTACATAATTTTATGTTATTATAGTTAGTCAAATAAGCAATAATGAGTATCTACTTTATGTTCGGTTCAGTAGGGGCCCCAATATAGTTCATGGTCCTGCCTTCAGAAGCTGAGAATCTAGTTGGAGAAACAAATCACAACTGACTACACAGTGAACATCCAAGGCAGTGTATTACCACCAAAGAGTGTGGTCCAGAGTTTAGGTGCTATAGCAGTCCTGAGTGGCCCAAGTGGCTCAGGAGTGGAACAGTGAGAAAAAGTTTCATGGGAGGGGCAGCTGAATGGATCCCAGGAGGACAGACCAGAACAGAAGCAAACCCTGCAGTCATAGGCCTCCAAAAGGGAAGTCAATGAAAAAGTGGGACTGAGGGTATCCCAAGACAGATAGAGTAACCTTACACATGGGAAGATCCAGTGTGGCCGTTAGAGTAATGGTGCCAAGGTTAGCCTCAATTTTGATTATCAAGCTCAATGTATTTTACCCCATCAATGAAATCAGTGACTTTCCTTCACCCTCTATTCTCTCTACCCACCGTGATCAACAACTGTGTAGCAAGCAGGATAGAGTAACTGATAGGTTGCTTTGTCAACTGTAGCCCACAGAACACATTACATTTAACATTCTGCCCATAGCAATCAGGTTCTTGAAAAGAGTATCCATGACTGAGCTTTAGGAATGTGTAGACTCTTTATGCATTACTTTTTTTCTTTTTTTTTGAGACGGAGTCTTGGTCTGTCACCCAGGATAGAGTGCAGTGGCGTGATCTCGGCTCACTGCAACCTCCATCTCCCAGGTTCAAGTGATTCTCCTGCCTCAGCCTCCCGAGTAGCTGGGATTACCGGTGTGCACAACCACGCCCAGCTAATTTTTATATTTTTAGTAGAGATGAGGTTTCGCCATGTTGCCCAGGCTGCTGTCAAACTCCTGGCCTTGTGTGATCTGCCCGCCTCCGCCTCCCAAAGTGCTGGGATTACAGACGTGAGCCACTGCGCCCAGCCCCATATGCATTACTTGTAGTGAGTAAGTTGGAAAAAACCTTATGGGATATGCTGGTTGAGGTCCCAAGCATTGAAGGCTTGCCAGTGACACCAAGGCAAGGACTTGACTAAGGCTGATAAAGGTAACTTTCAGTTACTATCGATTAAAATTTTAATTTCCAAGCTTTAAATTAATTTTTGAATAGGTTACACATTTAGAAGATATAAAACAATGTTGGGTGAAAAGCCTTCTATCTACTTATGTCCCTAAACACTTATTTCCCCTCCCTGGAGGCAATCAATAATGCTATTTCTTGAGTCTCCTTCCAGAAATAGCTTATATACAGACAAGCAATCACATATATATTCTTAAAGAAAGTACTTGAGGCCAGGCGCGGTCGCTCACGCCTGTAATCCCAGCACTTAGGGAGGTCGAGGTGGATGGATCACAAGGTCAGGAATTTGAGACCATCCTGGCTAACACGGTAAAACCCCATCTCTACTAAAAGTACAAAAATTAGCCGGGTGCAGTGGCAGGCGCCTGTAGTCCCAGCTACTTGGGAGGCTGAGGCAGGAGAATCGCTTGAACCCGGGAGGTGGAGGCTGCAGTGAGCCAAGATCACGCCACTGCACTCCAGCCTGGGCAACAGAGTGAGACTCCATCAAAAAAAAAAAAAAAAAGAAAATACTTGATTAGCATCAGATTTTTATATTGTAAATAACATTAGGGATGCATTTTTCTTTCACTTAAGGGGGAAATAATTATTAGTTTTGTCAAATTACAAAATAATGCATATTTATTATAGAAAATATAAAAAGAAAAAAGAAGAAAATGAAAATCACCCATTATCCTTCCATTTGGAGATAACCTCAGGTGACCTATAATTATTTGTACTTCCTTCAGCACATTCGCACCATATATGCAGTGTATTTCATTGGTGTTTGTTTTCACTTACTATACTGTTTCCAAATCATTAAGTGTGTCTTCTACACCATTTTTAATGGCTGGTTTGTATATAATTTATTTAACCAAAGTGTCCTGTTTGAAACTCAAGTTGATTACAATTTTGCACCATTATAAAACTTCACTTGAGGCTGGGCACAGTGTCTTATCCCTGTAATCCCACCACTTTGGGAGGCCAAGGCAGGTGGGTCATCTGAGTTCAGGAGTTCGAGACCAGCCTGGCCAACACAGTGAAACCCTGCCTGTACTTAAAAAAAAAAAAAGAAAAAAGCCAGGCGTGGTAGTGTGTGCCTGTAATCCCAGCTACTCGGGAGACTGAGGCAGGAGAATCACTTGAACTTGGGAGGTGGAGGTTGCAATGCGCCGAGATCACGCCACTGCACTCTAGCCTGGGTGACAGAGCAAGACTCCATCTCAGGAAAACAAAATGAACAAAACAAAACAAACACTTCACTTGATATATATTTACCCTTTGTTTATTGATTTTATTGATGATTTTGTAATTTAGGTGCAAATCTCCTAAGACTGAGGACTATGCTTGTCTTGATGACTTACATCCCCTGAGCACAGTGCTTGAATAGCTGAATTTAGCTATTGAAGGCCATAGCTGCAATTAAAAAAACTGCAAGTTTTGTTTTTGTTTTTGGTTTTTTTTTTTTGAGACAGGGTCTCCCTCTGTAGCCCAGGCTGGAGTGCAGAGGCGCAATCTTGGCTCCCTGCAACCTCCACCTTCTGGGTTTAAGTGATTCTCCTGCCTCACCCTCCCAAGCAGCTGGGATTACAGGTGCCCGCCACAACACCCGGCTAATTTCTGTATTTTTAGTAGAGATAGGGTTTCACCATGTTGGTCAGGCTGGTCTCAAACGCCTGACCTCAAGTGGTCTGCCCACCTTGGCCTCCCAAAGTGCTCGGATTACAGGTGTGAGCCACCGCGCCTGGCAGAAAAAAATACAAGTTTTTAGTGAAATTAACTTCATAAAAGGTTGGGCTGATGTTTAGCTGCTCTTTGGAAGATGGGACAACATTCTTTCCCGTATAGCTACAAACCTGTTGAGAATATGCCAAGGGTTTGCTCATGCTCTTCTACAGAAAAAAAGAGTTGTGACTTGGGGTCTTAAATATATGAACAAAGTTGCAGAATGGGCTTCTGTTTTTAGTAAGCAGCATCCTCTATATTAGGACAAAAAGTACATTTTATCGCACTGGAATAAACTAGTGGTAGGGCACTCACATGTGCTGAAAAACAACAGATAAAACGCTCTCTGTACAAGTAACCATAAAACAATGCCACTTAACACATTCCTAAAAGCTACTTTCTCAAAACAGTCCCCTGTTCCTCAGGGAAGGTTTATTTTAAAAGATGGTGCTCACTAGACAATTGTGGTCTTGTTTATTATTATTCTAAATGAGGTAGCAGAATCCTTGTAGCTTGTTCGGTCTGTAAAGAAACTTTCCCTGTCCCTGTGAGCCTCCACAGCAGGAATAAAGAAGGGAGCACCCAGGGCAAAGGAGGGCTGACAGAGCAGGCGTTTATGGGGGTCCTACTGCGGCTCAGCCAAAGGCTGCCATTCCAAGTCAGAAAGACCGTCTGGAGATGATCATTGTTGTGCTGACGAAGCCCCGTGCCTGGCTGTGGAGATGCCGTGAGGACCCGCAACTCTGAGGGCCCAGTTGTTGTAATCGCAGTATTAGGAACCATCACACACTCGGGTGCCTGATGCCCTTCTTCCGTTTAAGGGAAACTTGCATAGTCAGGCCCAATCTATGTTTAGATTTGTGCATGGGAAAGAATTCTCCTGCAAATCTGACTCTGAATGCATTTACAGAGACAGAAGCAGAACAACCACAGGTTTTCTTCACCGGAAACTAGACCTTTGACTATGATCCGCAGAAGAAAGCTCTTAAGTTTGTCCTTTCCTGAAGGTATAAAAAGCACTTCTGCTTGTTAATGTTTTTTTGATTGTCCTTTAAACACTGTTGGAGGAAGTTCCAATACCCTGGAATGATACTTTTACTGCTAATTTGACCCTTATTTGCTCCATAATTCATCTGACCTCATAACAGACCCAACATCCCAGAAAAATTACCAGACAATTCTATCTGTGTCAGGAACAAAGTATAATCAGCAAAAGTTTATAAAGTCAACTATATAAACTTTGAATGATATGCCACTATTCTTTTTTTAACTTTTATTTTTAAATAAGTGTAGACTCAATTATTTAAATTGTTGTAAAAGTAGTACTGAGAGTTCCTTAGTCTCTTCCCCGAGCTCCAGTGGTAATACCTTACATAACTGTAGTACACCCCAAACCAGGAAAATGGCATTGATGTTGCTGCTATTGCCACTATACTTTTTGACATCTGACAGTAGAAAGACTGACAACTCAAACTCCTAAAATCTAAGAAAAGCAATGAGTCCCATCTCCTGCTAAGATCTACTACTCTCAGGTTCAAGTTCTCTGCACTCCACACTGCTCAGGCAATTTTGGCTTTGTAACCCTCGTGCCCTTTTTGAGCAGAAAAACGCTGTGTCCTCTAAGATTTGTTAATCCTAGTCTTGAATACACAGAGCAGCCTCCTTTGTCCCTTGCTCCCTGTCCCAGACAATTTTCCTTTGTCCTACTGGAAAGGGAAGGTGGTAGTTTTGGGAGTCTCTACTAGTGCTGTACTTTAATGTACTTTTTAAGAACTTTTTATTTTGAAATAATTATAGATTCATAGGAAATTGCACAAATATTACAGGGAAGTTCTAGGTATGCTTCACTTTGTTTCTCCAAATAGTTACATCTTTAATGCTCATTTTTCCAGGTTACTACATTTGGAAAAGATAATCAATTCCTGTGTTGTTTCCTTTTGTTTTGAACTAGAAAACAACAAATCTTTTCTTTAACCATTCCTTTTGGCCAGTGAAAGAAGGTGTCTTACAACTGAGATTCTCTAATTCAAAGGATTGAGGCTAATTGTTAACCAGTTAATTGGTAAATATAGAAACCATTAAAAACGATACATAGACCTTACATACTTCCTCTAACTTGCCTCATATAAATGTGTTCATTCTCCAATCTTCTGACTTGGGTTGTAGAAGAACATGTTGTACTTCAACGGGAAACTTTGCATCCTCTGTAGCACAGCCTTCTGCCTTATCAGGCTGAATCTATGGGAGCTCTTGTAGAAATCTCTACATTGTAGGTAACTGATAGACACACAATTTATGTCTTGTCTGCTGGAAATTGTTTTCCCAGTCTCACGTGGGAAAGCCCGCCTGTGTCCATTTGCACATTTAATTCAACATTTCTGCTTATAAATGTGTTTCTTTTTTGACCTTTCCTTTGAAGGTTAGAACACTTACCTGGTTCCTTCATTTAATAAGTTTAATAAAGTCTTTAATATGTGTTCTTTTTTTATATTTGAATAAGAGTCATGATTTTACCTTTTATTGAAAATTATCTAACAGGGTCAAGGTAATTTCTTTGAATATTTGTCCACTGGTTAGAGTTTCTTCTTTCTTTAGAATATTATACTGGTAATACATCACAGACAGCAAAGATTTCCAGTTTTACTCTTATAAAGTGAAGGTAAAGCTTAAAGATAGGTGCCAGACAATGAGAGCTGAGTACTTCTAGATTTGTCTGACTTTTTGTCCCCTATCCCCAGTCCTTTACCAGGGTCTCACCCACTCCTAATTCAGTAGCAGTGTTATTTAGTGACCTACCTCCATCTAGTATCCCCAAAGCATTCATTCATCTTTCAGTTTCGCAGACATAATAACTTTTCCTCTTTTAATACTTATATTTCATTAATTTATAACATCTAATTAAACTACATATCAGTGTAGCCAGCATAAATAGATTTGAGAACGAACATACTTGACAAGATAAACATGCATGCAGCTCAGCTGGCTGAAGCAGCACCTACACCTGGCTGACTAGCTTGCTATTCGCGGGAGCTGATGGCGCTGTGGTCAAGTCTGTGTGCTCCCTGTTGGTTAATTGGTTAATCGTGTAAGGGCGCTGCAGGCAGGCCAGGGAAGAGGGTGTGTGGCAGAGGCTGGCTGCCTATTTGCACATTTCTTTCTCTTCCTGGGCACACAGCTGGGCCTCATATCCCAATCTCATTTGCAGTTAGTGTGGTCATGAGACTGAAGTCCGTTCAATGGAATTTAACTGAGAGTGACAAATAATTCTTCCAGGTCTGCCACTGTCACTCTCCAGCTTTCTTTCCCCTTCATTTGGCTTGATGGAGACATTCACCTTAAAGTCAGTGATAAAGATGCTGCAGCCAGAAGACATAAGGAGCTGGGTCTCTAAATCATTGCTTGCAGGGCCTGCTGACAGTGAATATCCAACTTTTGGAGATATTGAAGAAACTATCCCTTCTCCAGTGTGTCCTCTTGATGTCTTTGGCAAAAATTAGTTGATTTTATATATTTTGACTTATTTCTGGGCTCTCTATTCTTTTCCATTAGTCTACACTTCTGTTTTTATACCAATCCCCTACTGTTTTGATTACTGTAGCTTTGGAATATAATTTAAAATCAGGAAGTGTGATGCCTACAGCTTTGTTCTTTTTGCTCAACATTCTTTGGGCCATTTGTGGTCTTATGTTTCCACACAAATTTTAGGATTTGTTTTTTCTATTTCTGCAAAGAATGCCAGTGGGATTTTGATAGGGATTGTGTTGAATCTGCATATTGTTTTGGGAAGTATGGATATTTTAACAATATTAATTCTTCAGATTCATGAGCACAGGAAGCTTTCCACTTATTTGTGTCCTCTTCAATTTATTTTCTCAAGTTAGGTTGGCATTTGTGAATAAAAATGCTACCGATTACTGTATATTGATTTTGTATCCTGCAACATTATTGAATTCATTTATTAGTTCTAACAGTGTTTTGTGGAATCTTTGGGTTTTTTACATATGGGATCATGTCATCTTCAAATAGAGATAATTTTACTTCTTTCTTTCCTATTTGGATGCCTGTCCCTTTATTCATAAGTCAATGAGTAATGAATAAATGAATAATGAATAAAGAACAATTTGTCCTGCCTTAGTCAGTTTGAGCTGATAGAACAAAGTACCATAGACCTGGTGGCTTACAAACAACAGAAATCTACTTCTCACAGTTTTGGAGGTTGCAAGTCCAAGGTCAGGGTGCCAGTATGGTCAGGTTCTGGTGAGGTCCCAGTTCGAAATTGCAGACTGCTACCTTCTCATCATGTTCTCAGATGGCAGAAGGAGAAAGGGAGATCACTCTGGCCTCTCCTTATAAGGGCACTAATCCTATCACGAGGGCTCTACACTCATGACTTAACTACTTGCCAAAGGCCCCACCTTCAAATACCATAATATTGGAGATTATATTTCAACATATGAATTTTGGGGGACACAAACATTCAATTCATAGCATGTCCCATATATCAGGCCCTTAATTTTATACAGCCAATTAATTGATTCATATCAGTAAATGGAGGCAGTTACTGTGTCAGGCCCTTCTCACATTGCAATAAAGAAATGCCTGAGACTGGGTAATTTATAAAGAAAAAAGGTTTAAGAGCTCAGGTTCTACAGGCTGTACAGGAAGCATGGCAAAGAAAGCATGAAACAAAGCTGGCATATGCTTGGCTTCCAGGGAGGCCTCACAAAACTTCCAATCATGGCGGAAAATTAAGGGGGAGCAGGTATCTCACATGGCAGAGCAAGAGCAAGAGCAGGAGAATAGGAGGGAGGTATACACACTTTTAAATGACCAGATCTCATGAGAACTCACTCACTATCGTGAAGACAGCACCAAGCCATGAGGAATCTGCCCCCATGATAGAAACACCTCCCACCAGGCCCTGTCTCCAGCATTGGGAATTATAATTCAAACATGAGATTTGGGTGGGGACAAACATCCAAACTATATTATTCTGCCCCTGGTCCCTCTCAAATCTTATGTTCTTTTCACATGGCAAAATACAATCATGCCTTCCCAATAGTTCCCCAAAGTCTTAACTCTTTCCAGCATTAACTCAAAAGTTCAAAGTCTCATCTGAGACAAGGCAAGTCTCTTTCATCTATGAGCCTGTAAAATCAAAAACAAGTTATTTACTTCCAAGGATACTATGGTGGTACAGGCATCGGGTAAACATTACCATTTCAAAAGACAGAAGTTGGTCAAAAAAGGGGACTAGAAGCCCCATATGAGTCTGAAACCCAGCAGGGCATTCATTACATTTTAAAGCTCCAAAAAGAGAGAAGAATCAAATAGACGCAATAAAAAATGATAAAGGGGATATCACCACCGATCCCACAGAAATACAAACTACCATCAGAGAATACTATAAACACCTCTGTGCAAATAAACTAGAAAATCTAGGAGAAATGGATAAATTCCTGGACACATACACCTTCCCAAGACTAAACCAGGAAGAAGTTGAATCCCTGAATAGACCAATAACAGGCTCTGAAATTGAGGCAATAATTAATAGCCTACCAAGCAAAAAAAGTCCAGGACCAGACGGATTCACAGCCAAATTCTACCAGAGGCACAAAGAGGAGCTGGTACCAGTCCTTCTGAAACTATTCCAATCAATAGAAAAAGAGGGAATCCTCCCTAACTCATTTTATGAGGCCAGCATCATCCTGATACCAAAGCCTGACAGAGACACAACAAAAAAAAAGAGAATTTTAGACCAATATCCTTGATGAACATCGATGCAAAAATCCTCAATAAAATACTGGCAACCCGAATCCAGCAGCACATCAAAAAGCTTATCCACCATGATCAAGTGGGCTTCATCCCTGGGATGCAAGGCTGGTTCAACATATGCAAGTCAATAAATGTAATCCAGCATATAAACAGAACCAAAGACAAAAACCACATGATTACCTCAATAGACGCAGAAAAGGCCTTTGACAAAATTCAACATCGCTTCATGCTAAAAACTCTCAGTAAATTAGGTATTGATGGGAAGTATCTCAAAATAATAAGAGCTATTTATGACAAACCCACAGCCAATATCAGACTGAATGGGCAAAAACTGGAAGCATTTCCTTTGAAAACTGGCACAAGACAGGGATGCCCTCTCTCACCACTCCTATTCAACATAGTGTTGGAAGTTCTGGCCAGGGCAATCAGGTAGGAGAAAAAAATAAAGGGTATTCAATTAGGAAAAGAGGAAGTCAAATTGTCCCTGTTTGCAGATGACATGATTGTATATTTAGAAAACCCCATTGTCTCAGCCCAAAATCTCCTTAAGCTAATAAGCAACTTCAGCAAAGTCTCAGGATACAAAATCAATGTGCAAAAATCACAGGCATTCTTATACACCAATAACAGACAAACAGAGAGCCAAATCATGAGTGAACTCCCATTCACAATTGCTTCAAAGAGAATAAAATATCTAGGAATCCAACTTACAAGGGATGTGAAGGACCTCTTCAAGGAGAACTACAAACCGCTGCTCAACAAAATAAAAGAGGACACAAACAAATGGAAGAACATTCCACGCTCATGGATAGTAAGAATCAATATCATGAAAATGGCCATACTGCCCAAGGTAATTTATAGATTCAATGCCATCCCCATCAAGCTACCAATGACTTTCTTTACAGAATTGGAAAAAACTACTTTAAAGTTCATATGGAACCAAAAAAGGGCCTGCATTGCCAAGACAATCCTAAGCCAAAAGAACAAAGCTGGAGGCATCATGCTACCTGACTTCAAACTATACTGCAAGGCTACAGTAACCAAAACAGCATGGTACTGGTACCAAACAGAGATATAGACCAATGGAACAGAACAGAGCCCTCAGAAATAATACCACACATCTACAACTATCTGATCTTTGACAAACCTGAGAAAAACAAGCAATGGGGAAAGGATTCCCTATTTAATAAATGGTGCTGGGAAAACTGGCTAGTCATATGTAGAAAGCTGAAACTGGATCCCTTCCTTACACCTTATACAAAAATTAATTCAAGATGGATTAAAGACTTACATGTTAGACCTAAAACCATAAAAACCCTAGAAGAAAACCTAGGCAATACCATTCAGGACACAGGCATGGGCAAGGACTTCATGTCTAAAACACCAAAAGCAATGGCAACAAAAGCCAAAATTGACAGATGGGATCTAATTAAACTAAAGAGCTTCTGCACAGCAAAAGAAACTACGATCAGAGTGAACAGGCAACCTACAGAATGGGAGAAAAGTTTTGCAATCTACTCATCTGACAAAGGGCTAATATCCAGAATCTACAAAGAACTCAAACAAATTTACAAGAAAGAAAAACAAACAACCCCATCAAAAAGTGGGCAAAGGATATGAACAGACACTTCTCAAAAGAAGACATTTATGCAGCCAACAGACACGTGAAAAAATGCTCATCATCACTGGCCATCAGAGAAATGCAAATAAAACCACAATGAGATACCATCTCACACCAGTTAGAATGGTGATCATTAAAAAGTCAGGAAACAATAGGTGCTGGAGAGGATGTGGAGAAATAGGAACACTTCCACACTGTTGGTGGGACTGTAAACTAGTTCAACCATTGTGGAACACAGTGTGGCGATTCCTCAAGGATCCAGAACTAGAAATACCATTTGACCCAGCCATCCCATTACCAGGTATATACCCAAAGGATTATAAATCATGCTGCTATAAAGACACATGCACACATATGTTTATTGTGGCACTATTCACAATAGCAAAGACTTGGAACCAACCCAAATGTCCATCAGTGATAGACTGGATTAAGAAAATGTGGCACATATACACCATGGAATACTATGCAGCCATTAAAAAGGATGAGTTCATGTCCTTTGTAGGGACATGGATGAAGCTGGAAACCATCATTCTGAGCAAACCATCGCAAGGACAGAAAACCAAACACCGCATGTTCTCACTCATAGGTGGGAATTGAACAATGAGAACACTTGGACGCAGGAAGGGGAACATCACACACCGGGTCCTGTCAATGGGGTGGGGGGAGGGGGAGGGATAGCATTAGGAGAATTAGGAGATATACCTAATGTAAGTGACGAGTTAATGGGTGCAGCACACCAACATGGCACATGTATACATATGTAACAAACCTGCATGTTGTGCACATGTACCCTAAAACTTAAATTAAAAAAAAAAAAACTCCAAAATAATCTCTTTCACTCCATGTCCTACATCCAGGTCACACTGGTGCAAGGGGTGGGCTCTCAAGACCTTGGGCAGCTCCACCCCTGTGGTTTTGCAGAGTGCAGCCCCCAAGGCTGCTCTCACCGGCTTGAGTTGAATGCCTATGGCTTTTCCAGGTGCAGGGTGCAAGCTGCTGGTGGATCTACCATCTACCACTGTCCTCAGGTCTTGAGGACAGTGGCCCTCTTCCCACAGCTCCACTAGGCAGTTCACCTGTGAGGACTCTGTGTGGGGCCTCCAACCCCACATTCCCCCCTGCCTCAACTGCCCTAGTAGAGGTTCTCTGTGAGGGCTCTGCCCCTGCAGCAGGCTTCTGCCTGGACACCCAGGCTTTTCCATATATCCTCTGAAATCTACGAGGAAGCTACCAAGAATCCATCGCTCTTACACTCTGTGCACTTGGAGGCTTAATACCATGTGGAAATTGCCAAGGCTCATGACTTGCATTCTCCAAAGTGGCACCTGGAGCTGTACCTGTGCCCCTTTGAGCCATGGCTTGAGCTGGAGCAGCTGGGATGCCAGGAGCAGTGTCCCAAGGCTGCACATGGCAGCAGGGCCCTGGTCTTGGCCCATGAAACCATTCTTCCCTCCTCAGCCTCTGGGCCTGTAATGGGAGGGGCTGCTGGGAAGACCTCCGAAATGCATTCAACGCCTTTTCTGCATCATCTTGGATATTAGCATTTGACCTCCATTTAGTTATGCAACTATCTCTAGCAAGTGGTTGCTTCACAGCATGCTTGAATTTCTCTCCTGAAAAAGCTTTTTCTTTTTTGCTACATGGCTGGGGCTATAAATATTCCAACCGTTTATGCTCTGATTCCCTGTTAAAAACATAATTCCAACTTCAAGTCATTCCTTTGTTCCCTCATCTGAGCATAGGTTGTTAGAAGCATTCAGGCCACCTCTTGGACACTTTGCTGCTTATAAATTTCTTCTGTCAGCTATCCTAAAACATCACTCTTTAGCTCAAACTTCCATAGATCCCTAAGGCGTGAACAGAATGCATGAACTAAACTCTTTGCTAAGGCATAACACGAGTGACCTCTGCTCCAGTTACCAATCAGTTCCTCATTTCTATCTGAGACTTCAGCATTCTGGACTTCACTGTCTATAACACTTCCAGCTTTTTGGTCACAACCATTAAATTAGTCTCTAAGAAGTTCCAAACTTTCCCTCATCTGCCTGTCTTCTGAGTCCTCCAAACTCTTCCAACCTCTGCCTGTTATCCAGTTCCAAAGCTACTTCCACATTTTCAGGTATCTTTATAGAAATGCCCCACTCCTCAATACTGATTTTCTCTGTTAGGCCATTCTTGCATTGCTATAAAGAAATACTTGAGACTGGGTAATTTATAAATAAAAGAGGTTTAATTGGCTGATGGTTCTTCAGACTGCAGAAAACATGGCACTGACATCTTCTTGTCTTGTGGGGAGACCTCATGAAACTTCCAATCATGGTGGAAGGTGAAGGAAGAGCAGGCATCTCACATGGCAGAGCAGGAGCAAGAGAGAGAGAAAGAGAGAGAGTGTGTTTGTGTGTGTGTGATGGTTGGGGTGCGGGGTACCACACACTTTTAAATGACCAGATCTCATGAGAACTCACTCATTTTTGCAAAGACAGCACCAAGCCATGAGGGATTTGTTCCCATGATCTAAACACCTCCCACCAGGCCCCACCTCCAGCCTTGGGAATTATAATTCAACATGAGATCTGAGTGGGGGAAAATATCCAAACTATATCAGTTACTTTTTGCTGATCTTATTTAAGTAAATTTATTCTTTCACAGCATGGCTCTGTGGAATTTCTTTTTCACATTATTAGGAATTTACTCCTTGTCCTGTTCTTTCAGGAAATGCAGTTGGGATCCTAAAGGCTGGGGGCTGCAGCCTTGCCAGGGATTAGAGTTGAGTATTCATCAGGAAGTTGGAAAAGCCCTCCTCGGAGGGAAGAAGCCTACCACTTCTGTAACCTTTTAAAACCATCCTTTCAGTTAAGGAGGACCCAAAAAGACAAACAATGACATTTAGGTAATGACTTTTTGGGAATTTTGTTTAAACCTTTGCTACAATTAAAAATCAATAATTTCTCTTTCCGTGATTGCTTAATGATTTAAGAATCTGGCTCATTCATCAACTGGGAACAAGGACAAGTGTAAAGCTGAGTGAAATGACCAGGCTTTGAGGGTGGAGGCAAATTCCTGCCAGCTTGAGTGAGGAGGTGAGATCAGGGGCTCCTTCCTGTGAAGAGCTCTCCATGAGTGAGGCCTAAGGGGGCTCAGTTTGCCCCGTAGAGATCTTGGGCACTATGAAACTCTTGAATAACCTCAAGGAGTCGTAACAGGAGGACAGAATCCTTTCTCCCCCAAACAATTGAGCTCTGAAACACGTATGGCCCATTCCTGGGGGTGGAATGGCTGCTGTGTACCCCCTTATCACGCAGTTCTTTCTCAGCCCCTCTCACTAACAGTCTAGGCTTTGGAGGACACTGTACAAAGATGCCTCTGCTTTTCTGTTTGAGATTTTATTTATGGCTGTCTGAGTCCATTTTGTGTTGCTGTAACAGAATATCTGAGATTGGGTAATTTAAAAAGAAAAGGAGTTATTTAGCTCACAATGCTGGTGGCTGGGAAGTTCAAGAGCATGGCCCTAGCATCTGGTTAGCTTCTGATGAGGGCTATGTGCTGTGTCAAGACATGGTGGAGAAGTGGAAAAGCAAGCGTGTGTGAAGAGGCACTAAACAGGAGGAGGAACCTCACTTTATAACAACCCATTCTCAGAGGAACAAATCCCTTCCCTCCAGAGTGAGCACTCACTCACTCCCTTGAGATGGCCTTATTCTATTCATAACAGATCCACTCTGATGTTCCAAACACCTCCCATTAGGCCCCACCTCCCAATAGTGCTGCAGCGGCAATTAGCTTTAATGTGAGTCTTGTTGGGGACCAACCACATCCAAATCATAGCAATGCCCTAATCACATTGTGAAAGGCACTGGGTTAAACTTAAAGGCCCATTCTATATCAATCTGCCAAAGCCATTAGGATCAGACTAGATCTTAATGTTAGTAGATCTAATACCAGTTGAGAGCTGAAAGAGGGGAGGGAGGCTAATTATATCAGAAAGCTACTCTAGGTAAGTGTATTAGTCCATTTTCACACAGTTCCACATGCCTGGGGAGGCCTCAGAATCACGGCAGGAGGCCAAAGGCACATCTTACATGGCAGTGGCAAGAGAAAAATGAGAGAAGATACAAAAGCCGGAACTCCTGATAAAACCATCAGATCTTGTGAGACTTATTCACTACCAGGAGAACAGTATGGGGAATCCACCCCCACGATTCAAATTACCTCCCACCGGGCCCCTCCCACAATATGTGGGAATTATGGGAGTACAATTCAAGATGAGATTTGGATGGGGTTACAGAGCAAAACCATATCAGTGAGCTTCAAGCATAGTTCTGAGCCTCTTGGCTGTCACGACAAGAAGAGATATTCTATTTAAAAAAAAAAAAAAGGAAGCTACCAACCCATCAAAAGGTGCTCAGTTCCATAGCCCTAAACTCCAAAAAGTTTGTAGGGAATTTGAATCAGGACCTATGACAACATAATAGTGTCTTGAATAGATGCTTTTAGAACATAGAGAGATAATCTTTAGATGATCATTATTACATTCATATTTTACAAAACCCTTTGGCATAAAATATTATAAATCTCTTCTCTGTTACATCATTTCCATTTGAGTAAGAAAATCTTAGTATATAACTTTTTAACTTAATTTTATTTTTTGAGACAGTGTCTCGCTCTGTGGCCCAGGCTGGAGTGCAGTGGCACGATCTCGGCTCACTGCAGTCTCCGCCTCCCAGGTTCAAGCGATTCTCCTGCCTCAGCCTCCCTAGTAGCTGGGACTACTGGTGCCCTCCGCCATGCCCGGATGATTTTTCTATTTATAGTAGAGGCGGGGTTTCACCATGTTGGCCAGGATGGTCTGTAACTTCTGACCTTAGGTGATCCACCCGCCTTGGCCTCCCGTAGTGCTGGGATTACAGGCGTGAGCCACTGCGCCCGGCCTTCGTATACAACTTTAGATGCAGCTGGACCGTGTGTGTGTGTGTGTGTGTGTGTGTGTGTGCGCGCGTTTCCCACTCTGTGCCTCCCGCATGCCCTTGAAGCAGAGGGCTCCTTCGCTTCACTTCCTCTACTTCACCACATTGAAGCAGAGGCCCCTCTCCACTTCCTCAGGGGTTGTGTTCAGCACAATGGAAAGCAGCTGCGTCTGCAACGCCTTCTGGCTGTTATGCTCCGAGAACCTAAGCCTTGGATTAACACGGCAGAGAAAAATGCCCACTGCTCAGGGACTATCCCATGTTCTCCAAACTTCCCCATTTCCTGGTAATTAGGTGGGGGTCATGTGACTTGTTTTGGCTAATGGGCTGTGGGTAGAAGTAAACATGTGAATATATCAATATAATTGCGTGTATGTGTTGATGTAAAATGCAATGTCCTGCACATACACTCTGCAACTTTATTTTAAGGAAATACTTAACCTTGGAGACATTTCTATATTATTATACATAAGTTTATCTTTTTATTTTAAACTGTTATCATATCACAATAAGAATATAGCATAATTTCAATGACTCCCTTCTTGTTGGACATTTAGATGCTTTCCATTATTTTGCAATGATAAAAACACTTCTGTGTGTTTTCTAGGAAACCTAGAAATGAAATTGTTTGGCAGAAAGGTATCTATTTTTACAAATTAAAAAAAAATCATTCTTTTAAACATATTTCATTGAATTCAATTTGTTGGAATTTTTACCCAGCATTTTTACAATTATATTAATCAGTGAGAATGTTCTAAGTTTTTTTTTTTTTTTTTTTTTTTGAGGCAGATGTCGCTCTGTTGCCCAGGATGGAGTGCAGTGGCATGATCTTGGCTCACTGCAACCTCCGTCTCTCAGGTTCAAGTGATTCTCCTGCCTCAGCCTCCCAAGTAGCTGGGATTACAGGTGCCTGCACAAAGCCCCGCTAATTTTTTGTATTTTTAGTAGAGACGGGTTTCACCATGTTAGTCAGGCTAGCCTCGAACTCCTGACCTCATGATCCGCCTACCTCGGCCTCCCAAAGTGCTGGGATTACAGGTGTGAGCCACCGTGCCCAGCCCTAATTCTTTTAATGTTAAACTCTTTCTTGCTTTCCTCTCTCTTCTTCACTCCTCAAGAGGGGGGAACACTGACATAATTGGATGAGATTCCAGGATGTTGATGGTGCCAAGTTTATGAGCTACAAACCCTTGTGTGGCTCTCCCTTTGGTACTTTGCTCTTTCTCCAGGGAGAAAGGAGGACAAACAAACTGGAGCTGATCTCTTATTATGGACAGAACCTGTCATCTCTCTTCCTCCCTCGTAAGCAGTGTTGCTCATTCACCCTCCCAATCTTGGCAAGGAGCTGGTGGAAAGATCTGAGTGTAGAAGGGAGAAAGGCTCCAGCTTAGTGCCCAACTCCTGTGCCCACATAGCCAGGTCACCCCGCACTAGAGTTAGAGGCACTTAAAGTAAGGAAATTCCTTATCTCCTTCTGCCATTGTCTATCGTGCTGCTCATCTTCAGGAACTGCAGAAAGATGATGACCACACCAAGGCAAGACTGAGTCCATTCCTGAATATCATTCCTGTAAGATCAAAATCTCATTCTAAGAGTATTGTCTTTGCTAGGTTTTAGTATCAGTAACTATTTTGAAGAGTGATTTGAAATTTCCAAATATTTGAGAGTTTTTGTTTATATAAAATATTTTTGTTCAGTTTTTCTTAATTTGCTGTGGGGATATGTTAGTACCCTACAAGGCATCCAGCTTTTAAAATAATGCCACATTACAAAGGAATTGGTTAACAAGAAGTGTAGGGGGGAAGGGTAATTTTTTTTTTTTTTTTTTTGAGACGGAGTGTCACTCTGTTGCCCAGGCTGGAGTGCAATGGCACAATCTCGGCTCACTGCAACCTCTGCCTCCCAGGTTCAAGTGATTCTCCCGCCTCAGCCTTCCAAGTGGCTGGGATTACAGGCACCCGCCATCATGCCCAGCTAATTTTTGTATTTTTGTAGAGACAGGATTTCACCATGTTGGCCAGGCTGTTCTTGAACTCCTGACCTCAGGTGATCTGCCCACCTTGGCCTCCCAAAGTGTTAGGGTTACAGGCGTGAGCCACGGTGCCTGGCCGGGGAGGGTAATTTAAAAACAGACCTGCTTTATGCCATTTAAAATGGGAATATGTCTTGTTAAAAACACATTTAAATCCAGGGAGGTTTCTCTGTGCCATTAGTATCAAGCACTAAATGAACACTGTATGACTGAGATGACAGAAATTTCCTCTTGGAGAAAATTGAAGCCAACAGTTGATCAACACAGCATATAATTAACAGGGCAGGGTGTGGAGTCAGGCTGCCTGGGTTCAAATTCCGGAACCACCATTGAGTGGCCTTGGAGAAATAGCTTAATATTCTGTCTCAGTTTACTTATCTAGAAAATGGACATAATTATGATGTCTCCCTCAAAGAGCTTTTCTAAGTATTAAATGATGTAATATATTTAAAGAGGTTAGAACATGGTCTGACATTCAATACATTCTAGCTATGATTAAGTGTTAATTCAGTCTGGTAAAAGTGAACGTAGTCTTTGCCAAGGGTAGTAAAAAAGCTCTGACCCTCATCAAAGATGTTAGATTGAGAGCCAGGAGTCTACATTCATTGTCCCAAATAATGAATGCTGAACTCAAGAACATCACAGCATAGAGAAACCTCTGTTTGAGCTCTACCTCCCCGTGATGGCCCCTGTCCCCACCTACCTCTCCCAAGGCTGCCCCTGATGGCGAAAACTCCCTTCACCACAAGAGCTAACAAAGGTTCAGCAGGAACTGCCTCACTCTCTCAGTTTCTCCTTCCTCTTCAGAGGGAGTGCCTCTGTTTTAATTCCAGCTCAGGTTCTTTCTCACACATATATACAAGGAGTTAACATTCTCCGTCTCCTCTGGTTCCAGTTTTTGCAGTGGGCTTAGGAAAATGCTTTTCCTCCCTTCATTTCCTTTATCACCCTCCCTCCTCCACCAAACATTCTGATCATGGCCATAAGCCCAAGCAGTGGCAGTGATAGACTTGTATAAAGAAAAGGAAAACCCATTGAACCTGAAAAGTAAACAGCACAAAGGTCAAATAACAACGAAAGGCTTGTCAAAGGCTTGTACATGGTTGCCAAGAGTGTGGTACTGGCAAGCAATGCTTTGAGACTGTACAGGTAGAGAGAAGTTATTAGGGCCGCAGCATCCATGGGAGGGCTTTGGGGAGAGAGAGAAGAGCTAGAGCTGACCCTGAAGGGACGGTGATTCCCAAACTGTGGTAATCTGGGTGGCCTGAGTAAAGTCATCTGTGCTCAGAGGCAGGGACCAGGTGGGTCTCTCTGGGATGGGGGTTTGTGTTGGAGGCAATGAGCAAAAGTCTGAAAGTATAATTTGAGCCCTTAATGGTAAAGTCCAGAAGTTTGACATCAAAGATGGCAGTGATTTGATCAATGTCGCTTACTGAGGTTTAAGGAAAGATACAAATTATCTGTAAAAATGTAAACTCAAAACAAATTTGTCAAAAGTTCAGTATAGTAGTGTATCACCACTGTGCTAAAGGTTTTCTTATTTCAAATAACTCAATAAAAATGAGGCAAACCATTCTGTAACTAGCTAAACTGAAGTCCATACCAACTATTTAATGCTTCAAAATAACCTTAAACTTCTACTCACTTATCATTCTACAATTTAAGTAAGTAATGTTTCACATTTTCAACAGAATGTATGCTTATAGACACATAAACACGAAAGATAGGGACAGATCATCTTGGTGACTTGCACGTATGTGGCAAGTGTCCTAGGGAAAGGAGCAGGCATGGGGTGAAGGTGGGAACAAGAGTGCCTGGCGTGACCATGTGAGGCAGGGCATTTGGCTATGTGTTGCTGTGTGCTCTGTCTCACCCCCGTGACCCAAGAATATTAGTGTGGCAGGGTGTGGACAGCAAGGATTAATGGGTCATTGGCAAACATGGGCGAGGCTGGTGTTTTACTCCCTTCTGAACAGTCTTCAGTACTATCAAGCTTTTGCTTGTTTTTTGGTGGTGTGGATGGCAGGTTTCATTTGCAGGGCCAAATATATATAAACTAATAACTGCCAGGAATGATTTGTGATATGGAATGAAATCTTTCAGTACTTTTTAAATGATAGAGGCATTAAAAGAATGCAGGAGAAATAAATTCCTGTGGATGAAGCAGACTTTTTTTGGGGGGACAGAATTACTCAGTTCTAACATTAACTATGTTTTATTAGTTCTTTGAAAAACCTGCAAATGATCTGGTCAGTTCTATAATTTTAAAATCTAAAATCGTTTACTATCCCAATACCCTAAAAACAATACTTACTGTGGGGTCTTTTATTAAGACTTTAAAGATACTTTTCATAAGCACAATTTTATTTCCTGGTGACTGGAAAAATAGGAAAATATTTAGAGCCTTTTGCTTAATTGATAAGGTAACACTGAAACAAAGGTTAAAAACAAAGCTGAATGGAGAAAATAATGCCTATAGAAATATTCATGTCAAACAGGTAAGAATATTCTTGGCAACTGCAGCCCCTGCCTCCACAATTGCAAAATTGCAGCTCCCTGTCCCTTCTGTCTGTCTCAGCTCCGCCCACGTCCAGTGGCTGAGCTACAACGAACTGCCCCACCTCTTTTAAAGCGTCTTTCTCTGAACTGTGCAAGGAAGAGAGCATCGCCTGACAGTGGTGAGGTGAAAATTAAAACTACACAGGGGTCAATGCTCTGCTGAAAAGTATGAAAAGAAGTTCGTTTGTAGCGTTTCCCGCAGTCTCCTCGCCTCTCCTCGGCCTCTGGCGCCTTCCTCCCCTGTCTGCTCGCACCCTATATTTCTACCCCAGCTCATCAGTGTATTTGTTTGTTAATTCATTCATTCTTTCATTCATATTCTCCGCTGTTGTTAATTTTCCCATTGACAGTAGGCGCAAGGGGCAACGCCACTCGCCCTGTCCCTCTAGCGTGGCCTCTGTTTGGGGGTCTGGGGTGGAGGTCGTCCCGGCCCGGGTGGTTCCGGACGCCGGCTTTCCGCACCTGGCTCGGTGACGGCCTCGGCGCCCCGCCCTCTTGGCCACGGTCCGCAGCCATCGCCCCAGTGAGGGCGCGGTCTGTGGGCGGGGCCGGCTCCAGGAGCCGCGCTGTGATTGGCCGTGTCCAGGCAACCGCGGAGACGCCGTCGTCAACAGACCGCGCTCGGAACCAGAGGCGCGGGTCACAGAGACCTAGAACAGCTGGAATCCTTCGCCCCCGGCGCGCAGCCTTCGCCCGCCGGAATCGCTGCCTTATCCACCAGCGGGATGCTTACCTCGCCCGCCCTCTCGGGTCAGGCGGGCCCGGGAGGATGGGAGGGTGGCTGCTGAGCGGGAGCCGCCACGTCTTCCACCCGACATATTGCCTAGTAAGTGTGGGAGCGATGCCTGCCGCACGAGAGCCGCCGAGGTGCCGAGCCTTCCAACAAGCGGCCTAGGGAGGTCTTGGAAAAATGCCATTTCTGAGGTGGACTACACGCCCACTTTACAGATGCGGAAACAGTACCAGGAAAGCTCGGTGACTTGCCCTGGCCCACTTAATCGTCCGCTACCCAGGGCAAGCCGAGGGTCAAGGTACCGACCCCTCCTACTCTAGAGCTCTTTCCATCACACCTCACCCGAGCCCACGCCCAGCCGCTCTGGTGGAAAAGCGGTTTTCCTAGTTTCTGTCTATGCCATAGGCCAGCAGTTCAAGGTGATGAAGTCCACCTGGGCTTTGGAGGGAACATGGGAACCAGAAGAAACACATTTCCTGAACATAAGGATAAATATGTATAGTCTAAAAGCCAAAGCAACACTTACATGGTTTCACAATCATATCAGTTTCTTTCACCCTCCTTATATGGAAATAAGACTTAATAAGTAGATTTAGTTTCCATTTGGTAGAGCTTTTCCTTTCATTTTCTTGGAAGCTCTGTTTCTTCTCAGCAATGACCTTCCTCCTAAAGCACTCCAATTATTCTCAGATATTGCCTTCTTGACTATTTTCTCAACGGTGGGACAGTCCGTTTCAATATCCTTGTCTCTGTCCACATTATTTGAGCCAATGATCACAGCCAAGCCTTGTCCCTTAAGGGCAGAAAAAATGGGAGGAGGTTTAAGGGTTTCTGGGGAAGAGTTGCATCAGGATCCATCATGAAGCTTCGTCCCAGTTTCCTTTCTTCCTGGAAAAATCATCGTTCACAAATTCACCTAAATCACAAGATATATATCCACCTAGCCCAGACTTCTTTTTCAGAAACTAACAGGGGTATAGGAAGTTTGGGGTGTTGATAATAAAGTAGCTAGAAGCTTATTGAATGTCTAAACTGGATTAATGGACTCTCAACCCTGCACTGTCCCTGAACCTCCGAGCACATAGGACCTTTTCTCTGAGGGCATGCTGACTTCACAAGACTGTCGCCCAGGGCAGCCCAGGAGCATCTGCTTCCAGTAGACGGGGCCCTTGTACAGTTGCCAGCTTAACCTTTCTATTTTCCCCAAAGCTTTGCCTGCCCACATTTTCAGCTCAGACTTTCACTTCCTTGTTTTTCCTTTTACACTTCCTCCTTCTTCTAAGGAAATACTTTCCTATCCAAACTCTATGTATGGTTCTTGGGATGGCCTCTAAAACTTAGGGCAATGCTCAACTCCGGTATGTTGTTGTTTCCGACTTCTGGGTTACTTGGTTCCCCAATTTATAATAACCTCAGCTGAGGAAACTCTGAATAATAGTAAATAAATAAATAAATAGCATAGTTTTATCAGAAAATAATATATCCCCCTTTATTTTTTTTTGAGACAGGGTCTCGCTCTGTCCCCCAGGCTGGAGTGCAGTGGTGCAATCTTGGCTTACTGCAACCTCTGCCCCCTGGGTTCAAGCAATTCTCCTGCCTCAGCCTCCCTAGTAGCTGGGATTACACGTGTGTGTTACCATGCCCGGCTAATTTTTGTATTTTTAGTAGAGACGAGGTTTCACCATGTTGGCCAGGCTGGTCTCAAGCTCCTGACCTCAGGTGATCCGCCCGCCTTGGCCTCCCAAAGTGCCAAGAGAGCACTTTGGCACTTTAAGGGGGCATTACAGGAGTGAGCCACCGTGCCCGGCCAATATATCCCTTTTTTAAAAGAGCTGTTTCCTGATATTAGCCTTATTAACACTGTGGATATTTGCCTTCTTTGAACAAAATCAGGATTCTCTTAGTAGCTCTGAGTGATCAGTTTTATTCATCTCAACTCTCACACCAAGTGCCTGCTGCGTATGAGGCCCTGTGCTGAGAATCTTCCTGTAGTTTGTCTCCGTAGTCATTGAACTGTCTTTAAGTCTAGTGAGGACAAGCCTGAAGTGCCTAAGACCTTAGTGATAAAGTATCATAGCAAAAGTTAGGGTTTTCCCAGGGAGGGGCTGCGGAAGGTTGTGAAGGGGTTTCGGGGAGGCTTAATGGCAGAGGCAGCATTTGAAATGAGACTTGCAGGCTAAGAGTCTGCATAGGAGAGCCGTCTGAGACCAACCTGGAGGTGGGAAAGCAGGCGGGCTAGTGGGGGTGGGGTGGGGAGAAGGGGGCTACGTCCCGGCTCGCAGCAGGCTTCCTTGCTCTGATAGAACAGTTCCTATCCCACTTGAGTGGAACAATTCCTTCTGTTGGGAGATGGCTTTTCTCCCTTTCCCCCTTTCCTTCCTTTTTTTTTTTCCAGACAATACAAATATTCCATTTGTATTTCAGACAATACAAATATTCCATTTGTATTTCAGACAATACAAATATTCTCAGGCTACAAAACGCTGGAGGTAAGATCTGAATCAGACTGGACTGTACAGGTTCTCAGATCCAGTAGAGCCAATTACACTTTTTTTAAAAATTAATTTTTTAAAAGTCATATGAGTGCAAAAGGGACTGGGGCGTGCACCTTAGCTATACTGGAGAAGTTTTGATTGCCTTTTTTGGGGATCAAAAACATGTCCCTTTAGCTTAAAAACAACACCTGTGACTATTCTGAACCCCTCTTTAAGGTTCCCAAATCCACTTTACAAAATCTTATTAGGGCAGTTTATGTAAAAGTGCTCCCTTTTAAACCTAGTACTCCCTTCAGCAAGAATATTGTAGGAGGTGGGTGTGTTTCAGGGAAGAGAAAAATTAATTGGAAATGATGAAATAGTAAAGAAAAAAGTTTCTTCTGAGCTTCCCTTTCTTGTTTCTTGGAACAACTGACCAAATTTAAAAGACTTTCTTTCAGCTCCAGTCTTTGTGGATAGATCCTCAAAAACAAGTTGAGGCATATTAGTCTGCCCTTGTTTTCATGTTCTGTGATTCTAAACTTTCTAGCTCAGTATGATTGGAGACTTGGGGATAAAAAGTGCTTGGGATGAAAGTGGGTCTCATGAAACAAAATACAATGACTAAAGAACCATGACTTTTAGATCATTTATTTGCACATAGCTGTTTCCAACATATAAAGTGCTTATCCACGCATAACTTATACATCAGCACAGTTGTTCCTTGAATAGCCCTGGGAGTTAGGGTGTGCAGGTGGTATTACTATCCTAGAGAGGTGGAATCACCTTAAAGTGGCAGAATGGGCTTATACTGAGTTTTGATTCTAAACTTTTCCACTCCTACGTGATGCTCTCCAAGTAATATTGCAATATTCTCCTCAAATTGAGCCTTTGTAGAAAGAAAGCCAGATCTTCACCAATAATAATTTGTATACCTTTGCAACTCAACATATGTGGACAATACAAATTCACATAAACCTTGAAATGGAAATTATTATCTTTTTTTTTTTTTGAGACTGAGTCTCGCTAAAGACAAGTTCTTGCTCTGTTGCCCAGGCTGGAGTGCAGTGGTGCAATTAGAGCTCACTGCAACCTCGAACTCCTGGGCTCAAGCAATCCTCCTGCTGCAGCCTCTCGAGTAGCTGGGACTACAGGCATGCACCACCATGCCTGGCTAATTAAAAAAAAAAAATTAGTAGAGATGAGTCCTCCACTATGTTGGTCAGGGTAGTCTCGAACTCCTGGGCTCAAGCGATCTTCTCAACGTGCTGGGATTACAGGCATGAGCCACTGCACCCAGCCTCATTATCTTTAAAAGTTTGAGAGTGATAAGCCAAGAAGCTTATTGAGTCTGAGCTCTGAGAATAAAGATTAGCGTTCCGGATGAGGACCTAGGGCCCTACTAGAATGCAGTCCTACTGGAATGCAGATTGCCTTGTCCCATAAGACCTGGCTGGAGGAGGTTAATTGTAAAGATAGCAGAGTGGTTAAGAAATGGCTTTGACTCCTGCTTTTCTCACTGGCTGTGGCAGAACCTGTGAGCAAGTTCTTTAAATCCTCGAAGCTTGCGATTCCTCACATGTAAGTGGCGTGTTAATAATGAGTAACTGATATGGTATGAAGAAGCTGTGAGCTAGTGCGTATAAAAGGACCAACAAATGGAAGTTGTTGCATTGCTTCTATTACACTAAAGATCACAGAACACAGATCCTGGAGCTGAATGGCCTGGTTTAGAATCTTAACTCCACCCCTTACCAGTTGTAAGATTGTGGACAAGTTAATTAACCCCTCTCTGTCTTGGTTTCCTCATTTGTAAAATGAAAATAAGAGTAGTACCTACCTCATGAGGTTATAAGGATTAAATGTAAATTGCACATAACATGATGTTAAATAAGTGCTTGCTAATGATAATACTTCTAACTCCTTTTTATAAAACCTCCCTGACTTGGTCCAACTGATTTTTGTGTTTGACTGAATTTCCATGTCATGACAGTGAAACTTTTAGGAAATACAGTTAAAGTTTTAGAAATAGGGAAAGAACCTATTTTCATTGTTAAAAAGTTTTACAATTCAGGGTATCAGTTTACATGCATTGTGAATTCTGGATACAGAAGTAAGCAGAACTTTCTACACTTCCTCCAGGTCACCAGGCCCTGCCCATTTGTGGTGAGCGGGTTAAGATTGCATTATAGTTTGGCCCCATCCTTTCCTCTTGCATACACTAGCTATATTTAGGCAGGTCTAGCTAAGTTTAATATGTTGCATATGGCCTTGGGTCCAGTTGATCCCAGAACAGATGGCTACATGGGCCAGAATGCTTAAGTCCAATTGTAGAGCAAAGCCCCAGACAATAAAACATTCAGAAAGTGGATACATGTATTCCAGCTGGGCTGAGCTGTGGTCTGGTTCCCAACCGCCACCAGCTCCCAATTAGCCACTACACCTGTTCGACAGGTAAAAACCTGTCAGAGTTTTATCCTTCTCATCCTCATTGGGCACAAAATGTCAGGTGTGATTGTTATTGGAATACAGATGTGTAGTGAAGGTTCTGGGGCTAGTGTTTATTTTTTTCCAAAATGGAAGAGCTTTGCAGTTTTCTGATTATAAAAGTAAATTCCAGCTGGGCGCAGTGGCTCACGCCTGTAATCCCAACACTTTGGGAGGCCAAGGCGGGCGGATCACGAGGTCAGCAGTTCGAGACCAGCCTGACCAACATGGTGAAACCCCATTTCCACTAACAATACAAAAATTAGCTGGGCATGGTGGCACGCGCCTGTAATCCCAGCTACTCAGGAGGCTGAGGCAGCAGAATTGCTTGAACCTGGGAGGTGGAGGTTGCAGTGAGCCTAGATTGTGCCACTGCACTCCAGCCTGGGCAACAGAGCGAGACTCCTTCTCAAAAACAAATGAACAAAAAACAACAACAACAACAACAAAGTAAACCCCATTTTAGAAATATTCAAATAATGCAAAAATTTAAACAATATAGAAAAGGCAAAAACCACACATACTACCACCACACAGAGAAAACTACTCTAAACCTGTTACGGAATATCTTTCTAGATGTTTTTGTATATATATATATATATATATATATATATATATATATATATATAGTTGAATATTGAACTTTATGGATACCTCTTAGCAATTCATGTGACTGTCCTCTTTTCCACCAAATATACATGTATAATTTTAATTGATAAATAGCATTCCACTTCATGGGTGTACTATAATTTATGTTAAGCCAGTCCCCTGTTGACGTTAGATGATTTCCAAGTTTTTAGGAAGTCTGAGTTTATGATTGCCCTTACAGGAGTTTGCTGTGACTTAGATCTTGATTCAGAGATGGAGAAATCAGGCCCATCTTCTACCATCTCTGAGCAGCAGCTGCAGAGGCAAGAGGGATGGATTAACACCAAAACAGACTTGGCTGAGCAGAGTCTCATTTCATCTGAGAAATGGCTTCAACTGCATGGGCTTAAGAGCAACAAATTGACCTTGAAACAGATTTTGTCACAGATCGGATTCCCACATTGTGAAGGTACAGTACTCACAAACAACCAGCATGCTGCCATTTAGCCTTTGAGGTGGAGGTGGCTGCATCAGCTCTGAAGGCCCCTCAAAAACCACAGGTCTCTGAGCTTGCTTTGATCTTATATCCCTATCAGTAGAAAATGCTTGCACGTGTGCCCCCAATATATGTGTATTAAGTAGACGTACAATTGTCAATCCATGTATTAAATAATGCTTAATTTCATCCTTTCTTTTTTACTTTTTAAATTGACAGATAAAACTGTATGTATTTATCATGTACAACATGATGTTTTGAAGAATGTATACATTGTGAATGGCTGTATCTAGCTAATTAACAAATGCATTGCCTCATATAGTCATTTTTTGTGGTGAGAACACTTACCCACTCTTTCTGTGTTTTTCAAGAATGCAATCCATCATCATTAACTATGATCACCATACTGTACAATAGATCTCTTGACTAGATGTCCTAATTGTAGTGGTATATCCTTTGACTAACATCTTCCCGATTCCCACCGCCACAACCACCCCAGCCTCTGATAAGCATCACTCTACTCGCTACTTCTATGAGATAAACTTTTTAAAATTCCACATGAGTGAGGTTATGTGGTGTTTGTCTTCCTGTGCCTTGGTTATTTTATTTAACATAATGCCCTTGAGGTTCGTTCACGTAGCAAATGACAGGATTTCTTTCCTTTTTATGGCTGAATAGTATTTAATTGTGTATATATACTATGTTTTCTTTATCCAGTCATCTATTGATGGACACTTAAGTTGATTTCGTTATCTTGGCTATTGTGAATAGTGCTGCACCAAACAAGAGAGTGCAGATATCTCTTTCACTTACTGATTTTATTTCCTTTGGATATACATATCCAGTAGTGGGATTGCTGGATCATATGGTAGTTCTATTTTTAGCGTTTTGAGGAACCTCCATACTGCTTTCCATAATAGCTATATTAATTTACATTCCCACCAACAGTGTGTGTGGGTATCCTTTTCTCCATATCCTTGCCAACACTTATCTTTTTGATATTAGCCATTGTGACAGGAGTGAAATGGTATCTCATTGTGGTTTTGATTTGCATTTCCTTGACCATTAGTAATATTGAGCATTTTTTTCATATACCTGTTGGCCATTTGTATGATTTATTTTGAGAAATGTCTATTCAGGACTTTTGTCCATTTAAAAACCAGGTTTAGTTTTAATATTTAAGTTCCTTTAATATTTTGGATATTAACCCCTTTTCAGATGTGTAGTTTGCAAATATTTTCCCCTATTTCTGTAGGTTGTCTCTTTACTCTGTTGATTTTTTTCCTTTTCTGTAGAGAAACTTTTTACTTTGATGTAATCTCATTTGTTTATTTTTGCTTTTGTTGCCTGTGCTTTTGAGGTCATATCCAAAAAATCATCACCCAGATCGATGTCATAGATCTTTTCCCTTTTTCTTCCAGTAGTTTCATATTTTCAGATCCTACAATTAAGTCTGTAATTCATTTTGAGTTGATTTTTGTATATGGTGGCAATAAGGGCCTAATTTTGTTATTCTGCCTGTGGCTATACAGTTTTCTCAATACCTTTTATTGAAGAGACTGTCCTTTCCCCATTGTGTGTTCTTGGCACCCTTGTCAAAAATCAATTGGCTGTACATACATATGTGGATTTATTTTTTGGCTCTCTATTCTATTCCATTGATCTATGTGTCTGTTTTTATGCCAGTATCATGCTGTTTTGATTACTATAGTTTTGTAGTATATTTTGAAGCCAGGTAATGTGATGCCTCCAGGTTTGTTCTTTTTGCTCAAGGTTGCTTTGGGTATTCTGGCTTTCTTTGTGGTTCTATACAAATTTAAGGATTGTTTTTTCTATGTCTGTGAAGAATGTCATTGGTATTTTGTTAGGGGTTACACTAAATCTGTAGAGCACTTTGGGTAGTGTGGATATTTTTAACAGTATTCATCTTTCCAATCTATGAACATGGAATATCTTTAAATTTGTGTCTTTTCAATTTCATCCATGTTTATAGTTTTCCTTGTAGATATATTCCACCTCCTTAGTTAAATTTATTCCTAAGTACTTTATTTATTTGTTTTTGGTAGCTATTGTAAATGGAATGGTTTCCTTTTACACTTTTTTGGATAGTTTGCTGTTAGCATGTATATCACTGCTGATTTTTGTTGTTAATTTTGTAGTCTGCAACTTTACTGAATTTGTTAATTAATTCTAACAGGTTTTTAGTGGAGTCTTTAGGATTTTCTCTGTATAAGATTGTGTCATCTGCAAATAGGGACAATTTAGCTTCTTTCTTTCCAATTTAGATGCTGTTAATTTCTTTCTGTTGCCTGATTGCCTTGGCTAGAACTTCTAGTACTGTTGTGAATAAAAGTGGTGAAAGT